>NC_000002.12:96458417-96785484 GCF_000001405.40 Homo sapiens
GGCCAATAAACCTGATGAATATCAATGTGAAAATCCTCAATAAAATACTGGCAAACCGAATCCAGCAGCACATCAGAAAGCTTGTCCATCACAATCAAATCGGCTTCATCCCTGGGATGCAAGGCTGGTTCAACACATGAAAATCAGTAAGCGTAATCCATCACATAAACAACAAATGAAAAAAAGACCACATGATTATCTCAATAGATGCAGAAAAGGCCTTTGATGAAATTCAACACCCCTTCATACTAAAAACTCTCAATAAACTAGGTACTGATGGAAGATATCTCAAAGTAATAAGAGCTGTTTATGACAAACCCATAGCCAATATCATACTGAATGGGCAAAAGCTGGAAGCATTCCTTCTGAGAACAGGCATAAGACAAGGATGCCCTCTCTCACCACTCATATTCAACATAGTATTAGAAGTTCTGGCCAGAGCAATCAGGCAAGAGAAAGAAATAAAGCATATTCAAATAGGAAGACAGGAAGTCAAATTGTCTCTGTTTGCAGATGACATGATTGTATATTTAGAAAACCCCATAGTCCCAGCCCAAAAACTCCTTAAGCTGATAAACAACTTCAGCAAAGTCTCAGAATACAAAATCAATATGCAAAAATCACAAGCATTCCTATACACTAGTAATGGACAAGCAGGCAGCCAAATCATGAGCGAACTCCCATTCACAATTGCTACAAAGAAAATAAAATACCTAAGAATACAACTTACAAGGGACGTGAAGGACTTCTTCAAGGAGAACTACAAACCACTGCTCAAGGAAATAAGAGAATACACAAACAATGGAAAAGCATTCCATGCTCATGGATAGGAAGAATCAATATGAAAAATGGTCATGCTTCCCAAAGTAATTTATAGATTCAGTGTTATTCCCATCAAGCTGTCATTGACTTTCTTCCCAGAACTTGAAGAAAAACTACTTTAAATTGCATATGGAACCAAAAAAGAGCCTGTATAGCCAAGACAATACTAAGCAAAAAGAACAAAGCTGGAGGCATCATGCTACCTGACTTCAAACTATACTACAAGGCTACAGTAACCAAAACAGCATGGCACTGGTACCAAAACAGATATATAGACCAATGGAGCAGAACAGAGTCCTCAGAAATAGCACCACACATCTACAACCATCTGATCTTCAACAAACCTGACAAAAACAAGCAATCAGGAAAGGATTCTCTATTTAATAAATGGTGCTGGGAAAACTGACTAGTCATATGCAGAAAACAGAAACTAGACCCCTTCCTTACATCTCATACAAAAATTAACTCAAGATGGGTTAAAGACTTAAATGTAAAATGTAAAACCATGAAAACCCTAGAAGAAAACCTAGGCCATAACATGCAGGACATATTCATGGGCAAAGACTTCGTGAATAAAACACAAAAACCAATTGCAACAAAAGCCAAAATTGACAAATGGGACTTAATTAAACAAAAGAGCTTCTGCTCAGCAAAAGAAACTATCATCAGAGTGAACAGGCAACCTACAGAATGGCAGAAAATTTTTGCAATCTATCCATCTGACAAAGGTGTAATAACCAGAATCTACAAGGAACTTAAACAAATTTACAAGAAAAAAGCAAACAACCCCATCAAAAAGTGGGCAAAGTGTATGAACAGACACTTCTCAAAAGAAGACATTCATGTGGCCAACAAACTTATGAAGAAAAGCTCATCATCACTGGTCATTAGAGAAATGCAAATCAACACCACAATGAGATACCCTCTCATGCCAGTTAGAATGGCGATCATTAAAAAGTCTGGAAACAACAGATGCCGGTGAGGATGTGGAGAAATAGGAACACTTTCACACTGTTGGTAGGAGTGTAAATTAATTCAACCATTGTGGAAGACAGTGTGGTGATTCCTCAAGGATCTAGAACCAGAAATACTATTTGATGCAGCAATCCCATTACTGGGTATATACCCAAAGGATTATAAATCATTCTACTATAAAGACACATGCACACATATGTTTATTGCAGCACTGTTTACAATAGTAAAGTCTTGGAACCAACCCAAATGGTCATCAATAATACATAGACTGGATAAAGAAAATGTGGCACATATACACCATGGAATACTATACAGCCATAAAAAAGAATGAATTCATGTTCTTTGCAGGGACATGGATGAAGCTGGAAGCCATCGTCCTCAGCAAACTAACACAGGAACAAAAAATCAAACATTACATGTTCTCACTCATAAATGTGAGTTGATCAGTGAGAACACATGGACACAGGCAGGGGAACAACACACACCAGGGCCTGTTGTTGGGTGGGGGCAAGGGGAGGGAGAACATTAGGACAAATACCTAATGCATGTGGAGCTTAAAGCCTAGATGATGTCCCTCTCCCTCTCCCTCTCCCTCTCCCTCTGTCTCCCTCTCCCCACGGTCTCCCTCTCATGCGGAGCCGAAGCTGGACTGTACTGCTGCCATCTCGGCTCACTGCAACCTCCCTGCCTGATTCTCCTGCCTCAGCCTGCCGAGTGCCTGCCATTGCAGGCACGCGCCGCCACGCCTGACTGGTTTTGGTGGAGACGGGGTTTCGCTGTGTTGGCCGGGCTGGTCTCCAGCCCCTAACCGCGAGTGATCCTGCCAACCTCAGCCTCCCGAGGTGCCGGGATTGCAGACGGAGTCTCGTTCACTCAGTGCTCAATGGTGCCCAGGCTGGAGTGCAGTGGCGTGATCTCGGCTCACTACAACCTACACCTCCCAGCCGCCTGCCTTGGCCTCCCAAAGTGCCGAGATTGCAGCCTCTGCCCGGCCGCCACCCGGTCTGGGAAGTGAGGAGTGTCTCTGCCTGGCCGCCCATCGTCTGGGATGTGAGGAGCCCCTCTGCCTGGCTGCCCAGTCTGGAAAGTGAGGAGCGTCTCAGCCCGGCCGCCATCCCATCTAGGAAGTGAGGAGCGCCTCTTCCCAGCCGCCATCACATCTAGGAAGTGAGGAGCGTCTCTGCCCGGCCGCCCATCGTCTGAGATGTGGGGAGCGCCTCTGCCCCGCCGCCCCATCTGGGATGTGAGGAGCGCCTCTGCCCGGCCGAGACCCCGTCTGGGAGGTGAGGAGCGTCTCTGCCCGGCTGCCCCGTCTGAGAAGTGAGGAGACCCTCTGCCTGGCAACCACCCCGTCTGAGAAGTGAGGAGCCCCTCCGCCCAGCAGCTGCCCCGTCTGAGAAGTGAGGAGCCTCTCCGCCCCGCAGCCACCCCATCTGGGAAGTGAGGAGCATCTCCGCCCGGCAGCCACCCCGTCCGGGAGGGAGGTGGGGGGGGGTCAACCCCCCGCCCGGCCAGCTGCCCCATCTGGGAGGGAGGTGGGGGGTCAGCCCCCCCGACCGGCCAGCCGTGCCATCCGAGAGGGAGGTGGGGGGGTCAGCCCCCCGCCCGGCCAGCCGCCCCGTCCGGGAGGTGAGGGGTGCCTCTGCCCGGCCGCCCCTACTGGGAAGTGAGGAGCCCCTCAGCCCGGCCAGCCACCCCGTCCGGGAGGGAGATGAGGGGGTCAGCCCCCCGACCCGGCCAGCCGCCCCATCCGGGAGGGAGGTGGGGTCTGCCCTCCGCCCGGCCAGCCGCCCCGTCTGGGAGGTGAGGGGCGCCTCTGCCCGGCCGCCCCTACTGGGAAGTGAGGAGCCCCTCTGCCCGGCCAGCCGCCCCGTCCGGGAGGGAGGTGGGGGGGTCGGCCCCCCGCCCGGCCAGCCGCCCCGTCCGGGAGGGAGGTGGGGGGGTCGGCCCCCCGCCCGGCCAGCCGACCCGTCCGGGAGGGAGGTGGGGGGGTCGGCCCCCCGCCCGGCCAGCCGCCCCGTCCGGGAGGGAGGTGGGGGTGTCGGCCCCCCGCCCGGCCAGCCGCCCCGTCCGGGAGGGAGGTGGGGGGGGTCAGCCCCCCCGCCCGGCCAGCCGCCCCGTCCGGGAGGTGAGGGGCGCCTCTGCCCGGCCGCCCCTACTGGGAAGTGAGGAGCCCCTCTGCCCGGCCAGCCGCCCCGTCCGGGAGGGAGGTGGGGGTGTCAGCCCCCCGCCCGGCCAGCCGCCCCGTCCGGGAGGGAGGTGGGGGGGGTCAGCCCCCCCGCCCGGCCAGCCGCCCCGTCCGGGAGGTGAGGGGCGCCTCTGCCCGGCCGCCCCTACTGGGAAGTGAGGAGCCCCTCTGCCCGGCCACCACCCCGTCTGGGAGGTGTGCCCAACAGCTCATTGAGAACGGGCCAGGATGACAATGGCAGCTTTGTGGAATAGAAAGGCAGGAAAGGTGGGGAAAAGATTGAGAAATCGGATGGTTGCCGTGTCTGTGTAGAAAGAAGTAGACATGGGAGACTTTTCATTTTGTTCTGCACTAAGAAAAATTCCTCTGCCTTGGGATCCTGTTGATCTGTGACCTTACCCCCAACCCTGTGCTCTCTGAAACTTGTGCTGTGTCCACTCAGGGTTAAATGGATTAAGGGCGATGCAAGATGTGCTTTGTTAAAACAGATGCTTGAAGGCAGCATGCTCGTTAAGAGTCATCACCACTCCCTAATCTCAAGTACCCAGGGACACAAACACTGCGGAAGGCCGCAGGGTCCTCTGCCTAGGAAAACCAGAGACCTTTGTTCACTTGTTTATCTGCTGACCTTCCCTCCACTATTGTCCCATGACCCTGCCAAATCCCCCTCTGTGAGAAACACCCAAGAATTATCAATAAAAAAATAAATTAAAAAAAAAAAAAAAAAAAAAAACCTAGATGATGGGTTGATGGGTGTAGCAAACCACCACAGCACATGTATACCTATGTAATAAACCTGCATGTTCAGCACATATATCCCAGAACTTAAAGTAAAAAAAAAAAAAAAAAAGACATGTATTTCATCACAGATTTCCTGCGTGTAATGATATTAGATAGAACTTCAGCACTATGCTTAAGGGACTTCCTTTTTTTCTTTTCTTTTTTGAGACAAGGTCTCACTCTGTCGCCCAGGCTGGCCTTGAACTCCTGGGCTCAGGTGATCTTCCCACCTTGACCTCCCAAAGAGCTGGGATTACAGGCATGAGCCACCATGTCCAACCTTTAGGGGCCATTTTTAAACAGCAAAATCACCAAAAAAAAAAGCACAAAAATGTGAATAAATATGATACTAAATAGATCAGGAAAAGCCACTTTACAGTATGAAAGCTGAAAGAAGGCGGTAGAGAGGCTCACCTTGTTTGATTTCAGCTGGGAACGGCAATCAATTCAGATTTTTCTCTGCTCTGCAAATGACCGTAATAGTGCCATGATTATTAATTCGGGGGTAACAAATTTTGTTGGTAGGCAAATTTACAAACTTGGAATCCATGAATGATGAGGACTGACTATTCCATTCCTCAAATCTCTGTAGTCACATACACACTCCCTTAAAGGAGTCTTCCAAGAGTTTTCAGAGAGGAGGCTTTGTGCTGGAGGTGAGGACATGAGGCTGCCCTCCAGGAGGGGGGCTCTGGGGGAAGCAGAGGCAGGGCTGGACCATGACGAGATGTAGCAGACAGGATCAGGGGTATTGTGCCCAAGGGAAATTAGCAAAAGCAGGCAAGGAAGGGAGTCTAGCTTTACTGAACCTAAGCATGGTATAAAGCTGCAGAAATTAAAACAGTGTGGTATTGGCGAGGAACAGACCGACAGGGGGATACAGCAGAGAACAGAAATGGATCTAGTCCCTAAAGGAATCTGACAGATATCAAAATGTTTTGTGTTCAGTCTGCTTGGTCAACCCAGAGCCTACAGAGGCCAGGCCGAGGAACCAGGGTTGACTCAGTCCTGGAGGCAGGTTCTCTCCTGCTTCAAGGGCTGATCTGTGTGTGTACTGAGCAATGGCCAGCCCTCTCACCCTAGCTCAGGAAGGCTCTGAAGGGTCACTCCAGCTTCAGAGCTCCCTGTGTAGCAGCTGAGGCCGCCAGGGGAGAGAACCCAGCCTGAGTTCTCCCTCTGCGCAGTCCTGTCCCTGCCTCCTCCTGCCACCAGTGTGGTTCCCCAGAATGCTTTCAAATAAACCTTTACACACTAATCCCTTTCCCAGTCTATTTTTCCAGAAAACCAAACTTATGACAGGCCCAGTCTAGGTGACTTTTTTACCCCTCATGTGTTAGTGATCTATTGCTGCATAACAAATTACCCTAAAACTCAAGGGTTTGAAACAATAAATATTTATTATCTCACACAGCTTCTGTGAGTCAAGAATTTGGGAGCAACTTAGCTAGGTGCTTCTGGGTAGGCGCCTTGCATGAGAATGCATTTGAGATATGGCTAGGGTTGCTGTCTTCTCTCTGAAGACTTGACTGGGGACTGTTGGGCTCACTAACATGGCTGTTGGCAGGAGGCTTCAGCTTCTCTTCATGTAGACCTCTCCACCGGGGCTGCTTGAGTTTTCTCACAATGTGACAGCTGGCTTCCTCAAGGGCAGGTAATCCAAGAGATTACCAAGGGCAGGTAATCCAAGAGACAGTGGGGAGGAAGCAGCCATGCCTTTAATGACCTAGTCTTGGAGGTCATGCCCTGCCAATTCTGGATGATGGAGCCATTAGTTGATGACACCTGGAAGAGGGCAGGTTAGGAGAGTCTGTGTGTAGGGGGCAGTATTCAAGGTGAGGTTCGAGGAAGGATTTTCCAGATGCAGCATCTCTCAGGCCCTTTGGAAAGTGTGCCATTCATGAAAAACCTTGTGACTCGTAAGGCTTTAGTTGGCAAGAGAGATTTTTGTGGAAAACTATGCATAAGGGAAAAGCAATGGAAACATCAAACAGACATTTATTTATTTATTTTTATTTTACTTTAAGTTCTGGGATACATGTGCAGAATGTGCAGGTTTGTTACATAGGTATACATGTGCCATGGTGGTTTGCTGCACCTATCAACCCATCATCTAGGTTTTAAGCCCCACACACATTAGGTATTTTTCCTAATGCTCTCCCTCCCCTTGTCCCTCATGCTCTGACAGGCCCTGGTATGTGATATTCCCCTCCCTGTATCCATGTGTTCTTATTGTTCAAGTCCCACTTATGAGTGAGAACATGTGGTATTCGGCTTTGTGTTCCTGTGTTAGTTTGCTGAGAATGATGGCTTCAAGCTTCATCCATGTCCCTGCAAAGGACATGAACTCATTCTTTTTATGGCTGTATAGTATTCCACAGTGTATATGTGTCACATTTTCTTTATCCAGTCTATCATTAATGGGCACAACCAGACATTTAAAATCCGCTGTGTTAAAGTTCTAGTTTCCAAGCAGATCAGATTCTCTGATATTTAAAACCTACATTCCCTTTGTTCAAATCAATTTCTTCAATGGTCCAGGAAACCCCACCAAGTTCCCCCAGGCTCTCCACAGACTCTTTAAAGACCTGCAAGGTGGTGCCCTTGCCGCTGCATTTGCTCTTCATATGGTTCAGCTCAGGCTGCCTTAATAAAGCCCCATCGACTGGGGGCTTAACCACATACTGATTTCCTACAGTTCCTGAGGCTGGAAGTCCGAGATCAGAGTGCCAAGATGGTCAGGTTCTGTTAAGGGCCCTCTTCCTGGCTTGTAGGTGGCCTTTCTCACTGTGTCCTCACATGGCAAGAGAGGAAGATGAGTTCTCTGGTGTCTCTTTTTATAAGGATATTAATCCTATTTTGTATTGTTTCTGTCACTTTCAGTCCATGCTGATGGCGTTTCTGCCAACCATTTTCTTAAAACCTTTGTGAGTTTCTTGTAAATCTTAGTGGGGTTCACTTCACTAAAGACAAAAGTCACCCTTACAAAGCTTTCTGTTTGTTTGTTTTTGAGACGGGGGTCTCGCTCTGTCGCCCAGGCTGGAGTGCAGTGGTGTGATCACAGCTCACTGCAGCCTTGACCTCCTGGGCTCGAGCAATTCTCCCACCTCAGCTACCGAGTAGCTGATGCTACAGGTATGCACCACCACACCTGGCTAATTTTTTTTTAAGTTTTTTTTTTTTTAACTCTCAGAGCCCCAGCTCTGCTCTGTAGACATAGGGTCTCACTATGTTGCCCTGGCAGGTCTCCAGCACCTGGGCTCAAATGGTCTGCCTGTCTCAGCCTCCTACAAACCTTTTGGATAAGCCCTTCTCTACTGTGGACTTCTACTGAGACTGTAGCCCTAATTTTGCATAAATAGTTCTCCAAGGCACCTCCTTTAACTACCTTAAAAAGCAGTTCCATCATATCCTGTTTCTCTTTCTTTTAGAGACAGGGTCTTTCTATGTTGCCCAGGCTGGCCTTGAACTCCTGGTCTCAAGTAATGCTCAGGCCTCAGCCTCCTGAGTGGGCCTATGGGCACGCACCATCGCAACTGGCTTCCAGAACCTTTATTTGTCTCAGTGTGGTTTCACTCTGTGAATAGCTGTTCTGGGGTCTCTAGCCAATGTCCCATGTGTTCAAAGAACTCCCCGTTCTTTGGCTGGTAGAAACTTGAATAGTTCCTGGCTCTGTGTAAGATGTGAGAATTATTTGGCATGCAGTCATTGTTCTTTCCCAGGTAGTTGGGTTTTTTTTGTCTGGCTTTATGGAGTTTTCGCCTTATTCATTCACATACTGATATTCAGCCAAAAAGCTTATGTGACCCCTATTAGTATTTCTGGAGCTTTTCTCCACCTGGATTCTTTGTCTCTGGTACTCTGCTTTCCAAATTCTGATTACCACAGCCTAGCAAACACCGATTCCATTGTCCTCTACTCAGCAAGACTGCCACACCTTGCTGGGGATGCCCTTTCTATACTACACTCTGGGAACTGCCTCCAGGTAGGAAATTGGAGGTCACAAAGCTCACTCCATTGGCTTTCTTTCTCTCCTGTCCCGTGCTGCTCAGCCTCTGCAGTTGTTTCGTGTATTTTATCCAATTTTCCGACTGTGTGTTTGTAGTGAAAAAAATTACCAACGTGTCCATTGAGATTTGGGTCAGGACTTTTCTATGTACTTATATCAAAGGACCTGGTCCAGTGACAGAAGTGGTAAGTGGAAGGGTTTTCTCATGGCTTGAAATAGAACTCGCTTTTGGACAGAGTGGCAGATTTGGGTTCAAGCCCGAGCTCTGCTCTGTAAAGGGTTTGTGGCCAAGGGCAGTGGCAGAGCCTCTCTGAGCCCTCCCCTTGACCCTGAGGTCAGCTCTGGGCCCCACTCTAGAGTGCTGGGCCATGGGCCTTCAGCCAGCACTGAGTTGGGGTGCTCCCCTGTCCCTAGTCACTGGGTGAGAAGGGGGCAGTTCTCCAGTGGCATTCACCAAAACTTCCCTGGTTTAAAAGAAAAAAATGTTCTTTTTTTTTTTTTTTTTTTTTTTTTGAGACTGAGTCTTGCTCTGTCGCCCAGGCTGGAGTGCAGTGGTACAATCATGGCTCACTGCAACCTCCACCTCCCGGGTGCAAGCAATTCTCCTGCCTCAGCCTCCCAAGTAGCTGGGATTACAGGTACCCACCACCATGCCTGGCTAATTTTTGTATTTTTAGTAGAGACAGAGTTTCACCATGTTGGTCAGGCTGGTCTCGAACTCCTGACCTCAGGTTATCTGCCTGCCTCGGCCTCCTGAAGTGCTGGGATTACAGGTGTGAGCCACCGTGCCCAGCTGGAAAAAAAAAAGAATGTTCCTTATTGATGCCTTTTAAATTCCAAAAATGAAAAACATCCTAGTAGCCAGTGAAACCAACCCAAAATGTACAGAGCCAAAGCCTATCACCTCCATTGAAGTCAATGCCTGACCCGGTCCTCTGCCCTTGGAGGCAGACAACATTGGCAGCCAAGGCTGTAGGACCTTTCTCCTCACTCACCTACATGCTCACTCATCCCACTTGTGGGATGGGGAATGGCTGCTTTAGCCAAAATTGTGTGTACACATATGGGTGTGAGTGGGTGGCATGTACACATATGTGGGCATGTGTGTGTGTATAAAACCGCCCCTTGCCCATGCCACTGCACAATATGTGTCATGGGCCTTGCTACCATTAGTAGATATAAAGTTATATCTTTTTATGTCTCTGAGCATATATTTACTACATAAATAATGTTACACAAATTAAAATATATAATATATGCTTTTGTCTGTCTACTGTGAAGATTTTTTTCCTTTTACCTGCCTGCCTTTTTCCTTTCAAGCCTCTCCTTCCCTCCCAGCTCCCCATTCCCCTTCCTTCTCCCCACCTTCTCTCTTTTGTAATTTTTTCCTTTATTTTTGTTTTTAGTAGAGACACAGTCTTGCTATGTTGCCCAAGCTGGTCTCGAGCTCCTGAGCTCAAGCATCCTCCTGCCTCAGCCTCCCAAAGTGCTGGGATTACAGGCGTGAGCCACTGCCCAGCCCCCATCTTCTCTCTTATGTCCTTCCTCTCTCTTTTCCATTTCTCCACCCCACATTGCCTCACCCCACACATGTAACCTTGCCCATATTCTTTCAGAACCTTCTCCATACTGATATAATCATATGAGGCTTACATGCCCAGGTGTGTGCGTGCACGAGTGTGTGTGTGCACGTGCATGTGTGTGTGTGCACGCGCTTGTGTGTGTACACAGACATGCATAGGAGATTTTGGCCCTTATTTGTTTTACAAAAGTGGAATTCTATTAAACATACATCTTTGCAAATACCTCGTAGAAAGCCTACAAGTTAAAGAGCAGAGCTCCAATTTTTTCATCTCATTGCTTCCTGCCACTCACCTTGAGGACGCATCTTAATCCACCCACCTCCTCATTGATGAGCGCTCCGTCTGTGCTCCGCCTCTATTCACAGTGCTGCCATTGACAACTTTTTTCATGTGTTCTGATGTGGTGGTGTGTCTGTTTCTAGAATTACAATAGTGAAAAGTATGCGTATGTTTTATTTTAGTACAGGTTGCCAAATTGCTGTTTACCAAAACCTGAAGCAGTGCCCTGTAAGGGGAAAACTCCAGCCACAGCTCTCATGGCTGCCCTCCATGATAACAAATGATACAGCATTGTGACTTTAATTTGCATTTATTCAACCACCAATACACTTGAGAATGTTTTTATAGTTGAGTGGCCATTTGGATTGCTCTTCTGTGAATTTTCTGTTTGTGTCGTTTGTCCACTTTTTAAAATTGTGTTATCTTTTCTTGCAAATTTGTAAGAGTTCTTTGTATACTACGCACTGTATTCTAGAGAATGATCCTTTGTCCTTTGGGTTATGAGATAGTATTATTAGATAGTATTTTCCCAATCTGTTTCTTTCTTTCTTTTTTTTTTTTTTTTTTGAGACGGAGTCTCACTCTGTCACCCAGGCTGGAGTGCAGTGGCGCGATCTCGGCTCACTGCAAGCTCCGCCTCCCGGGTTCACGCCATTCTCCTGCCTCAGCCTCCCGAGTAGCTGGGACTACAGGTGCCCACCACCACGCCCGGCTAATTTTTTTTTTGTATTTTTTTAGTAGAGACGGGGTTTCACCGTGTTAGCCAGGATGGTCTCGATCGCCTGACCTTGTGATCCGCCCGCCTCGGCCTCCCAAAGTGCTGGGATTACAGGCTGAGCCACCGCGCCCGGCATCTGTTTCTTTATTAAATTTGCTGATGGTATTCTTCACCATGCAAAGTTTTAAAATTATTATATAAGCAAACATGTCTGTCTTTTATAGCTTCTGAATTTCCTATTTTGGCTAAGAATCAGTCTCCTAGGTTTCTTCAGTTTTGCTTTGGTTTGGTTTTGGCTATTTTAACATTTATAACGTCATCTAGAATTCAGTTTGGGATTGTGGTGTGTGAGAGGGTCCAGTTTATTTCCTTCTGATGGAGAGACAGGTTGGCCAGGGCCATTGAGGGGACACGCTAGCTTTTCCCTCTTACTTGTAACGCTTCCTTTTTAATCCGTTAACCTCGCATATACTGGACTCCCTTCCTGAATTGTCTCACTGTTCCAGGAATCTAGTTGTCTCTTCCCACATAGACACTATATCGGTTGGTTACAAAATGTCCTCATTTGGTTCCGCCGGCTGCTGTTTTTCATGCTTATCTTGCAGACCTTGGTCATTTATTTACCCATGCAAAAATATTCCTATGCAAGAATGTGATATGCCTTCCATCTGTTCAGATTTTCTCTAATGTCCTAAGGCTGGTTTTATAGTTCTCTTCCTAGGGTCCTTCCCTTTCAAACGAAAGTCTCCTGTGTATGATTTATTTCCTTAAATCACTTCAACAAATGTTTATTGAACACAAATAGTCAGACGGAGCCCGAAGCTGCAGGGTCCGCGGTACTAGGAGCCTGCAGGCTGGAGGGGAAGGGGCAGAAGAAGACTGGGGAGGCAGGATGGGACAGGGCGGGAACAGGAAGGAGACCCCTTGAGGGACCTGCGCAGGGTTCCAGCCCCGCGACCCACCGGCAGAGGGCGGTACCAAGGAGGGTCCGTGCGGGCTTCTCGGTCCCTGGCAACCCGCTGGTCACTGTCTTCCAGGACTGGTAGAGGGCGGCCTTGGGCCCCTGCAGGCGGGAGGCAGGAGACGGGGCCTGCCCACCTCGCCCCAGGCTGCTGTGCCGCACCCAGGGTGGCCCAGAGCCGCGGTGCCAGCGGTGCCAGCCTGAGGCAGGGTGCAGTATAGGGACCTGGGCCAGGCCCCAGGGGAAAGCGCTTCCCTCCAGCCGCGGACACCCCAGGGGCCACGGCGGGGTTGGCGGGAGTCCGGCCAGGAATCCGAAATCGGGTTCCAGGAATCTGGGGCCGCGGCCTGGGTCCAAAAGACCCCTCCGCTTGTTCCTGTGGGGCGGGTAAAAGCAGACCCCAGGGAGTACATGGATAGGCAAAATCGTATGATTCAAAAGGAACAAAAAGGGTGCACAGTGCCCCTCGCCCCCATTCCATCAATTCAGGACCTTTGTCAGTCTTATAGATGAAAACGCCTACTAGAGATTTAATTCTCATTTTCTCTTACGAGTGAGTTCTGGCATCATTTCATGTTAAAGCCCTTTGTAATAATCATATGATCCAGCAATTCCACTTCTAAGTATACATACATCCAAAAGAATTGAAAGCAGGGACTCGAACAGGTATTTGTACACTCATGTTCACAGCAGCGTCACTCATAATAGGCCAAATGTGGACATAACCCAAGGGTCTGTCTGCAGATGAGCGGGTAAACAAAACGTGGTACAGTAGTCCCCTTTATCGGCGCATGACAGTTCCATGACCCCCGGTGGATGCCGGAAACCATGGATAGCATTGAACCCTACCTACATATGCCAAGGGTTTTTTTCCCCCTTTTCCGTGTGTGTGTGTGCGTGTGTGTGTGTGTGTGTGTGTGTGAGAGAGAGAGAGAGAGAGAGAGAGAGAGGGTTCTCACTCTATTGCCCAGACTGGTCTTAAACTCCTGGGCTCAAGAGGTCCTCCCACTTCCACCTTCCAAAGTGTTTTTCAGGAGTACAGGCCTGAGCTACAAGGCCCAACCCTGTTTATTTCGTATACATACATCCCTATGATAAAGTTTAATTTATGAATTAGGCACAGTAAGACATTAACAATAACGAATCATAAATAGAACGGTTAAGTAAAATAAAGATTGCTTGTACACAAATGCCGCAATACTGAGATCACCAATATGATAACCAAGCTGGGTACTAAGTGACTAACAGGCAGTGGCATAGATGCGGGAAATTTTGTCACACTACTCACAGCAGTGAGAAATTTAAAACTCATGAATTGTTTATTTCTGGAATCTTCTGTTTAATATTTTCCGACTGCAGTTGACCCCAGGTAACTTAAACCATGGAAGAAGAAACCCCAAAAAGGGGGGAACTGTTGTATATACATACAGTGGTGTATTATTCAGCCTTAAAAAGGAATGAAATTCTGACACGTGGTATAAACATGGACAGACCTCAAAGGCATTATACTAAAAAATAAGCCAGACACAAAAGAACAAATATTGTATGACTTCACGTATATGAAATATCTAGAATAGGCAAATTCACAGAGACAGAATCATGGTTGCTAGGGATTGGGGGTGGGGGGGTATAGGGAATTATTTAACGGGTACAGAGTTTCAGTTTGGGGAGATGAAAAAGTTCTAGAAATGGATAGTGGTTAACCACAATATGAATATATTTGTACTACAATATGAATATATTTAATGCCACTGAATTTTATACTTAGAAATGGTTAAAATGGTAATTTTTACATTATATATATTTTACCACGATAGAAAAGAGAACTAGCCATTTAAATAAAAATATTAACAGGTCGGGCACGGTGGCTCACACCTGTAATCCCAGCACTTTGGGAGGCTGAGACAGGTGGATTGCTTGAGCTCAGGAGCTGGAGACCAGCCTGGGCAACATAGTAAGACCTTGTTTCTACTAAAAATAAAAATTAAAAACTAGCCAGGTATGGTGGCACGCGGCTGTAGTCCTAGCTTTTGGAGCAGGGGTGAATGTGTACATGGTGCCCAGGGCTGCACACCTACAAGGTGCCTGTCTTGCAGCTGGCTGCACCCCAGGGTGCACACACGCAGCAGTGGATCCCACCAAGGGGCCTCAGAGAGGAGGCGGGGGGCTGAGAGTGGCATCAAGACCCTGCTCAGGGAATCAGCTCATTCAATCCACAGGAAGGCTGTTTCTTCCTTAAGAGAGGCCAGGCCGGACGCAGTGGCTCACACCTGTAATTCCAGCACTCTAGGAGGCCAAGGCAGGTGGATCACTTGAGCTCAGGAGTTAGAGACCAGCATGGGCAACATAGCAAAGAGTGTGGTGGCGCTGTGGTCCTAGCTCTTTGGGAGGCTGAAGTGGGAGGATCATCGAGCCCAGGAGGTTGAGGCTGTAGTAAGCCATGATTGTGCCATTGCACTCCAGCCTGGACAACAAAGCGAGACCCTGTCTCAAAAAAAAAAAAAAAAAAAAATACTAACAATGAAAAGAAGCCATTTTTATTGCCTTTTCTGTGTCTTAGTGTCATGAAAGAGATTTTGCATTGCAGGTTAAACGGTTTATTTCTAAAATTTACATAAACTTCTGCAAAAAAGAAATGATTTACTTATTCCTGGAAAGTCTACATTTTATTATACATTGGTTGGGTTAATCATATCAGTCAATGGTGTCATAGTCAGTGGGTTAAATATTATGAACTGTAACAATTATAGTTAACTCCAAAATACAAACAGTCTTCTACAACATGTTAACCTTTACCTTTTCCTCTTATAAACCTACATTATAAACACCTTAAGATAACAGTTTTGGGTTAAGGGTGTCAAAAGGCAAAATTACAACTAACTTAGTTATGGATCTAATTGGCTTTTTGAGATTCATGAATTGCAGCCGCCTCCATTCTACAAACTAGTATGAGAGCTCCCACTGGGTGGGTTTTGTAAGATGGGAATAAAGAAATAGGATTTTAAAAAGCTGATTGGTTATCAGGTTACTTTTTTGTGAGAGTTAAAACAGAGGAGACTCCCTTATTAGCCTGGCTCAGGTAGACTGAAATCTCCTGTTTTCAGAAAAAACTGTTCTGGTTGGTGATCTACCTATCTGCTTCCTTAAAGTTTCAATTAGATTATGTGACATTTAGCATGAGTGACTCCATTTCGGTTAGGTGTGGCCTTTTGGGGCCTAGTGCAGCAGCTCAGTCCAAAACAATAGTTTCCCATAATCTTTGTTTAACAGAGGTTACATCTGATAAGAGATTAACAATAAATATTTCTTATTGACTAATTTATCATTGTTGTCTCATGCAAAGTTCTTCCCTTGTTTTATTTATATTTTAAATTTTGTTTATATATATGTATGTGTGTATATGTATATATATATATATACTTTTTTTTTTTTTTGAGTGGTGCAATCATGGCTCACTGCAGCCTCTGCCTCTTGGATTCCAGCAATCCTCCCACCTCAGCCTCCTGAGGAGCTAGAACTACAGGTGCCCACCACCACACCCAGATAATTTTTGTATTTTTTGTAGAGACAGCATTTTGCCATGTTGCCCAGGCTGGTCTTGAACTCCTGTACTCAAACAATCCATCCTCCTCAGCCTCCAAAGTTTTGGGATTATAGTCATGAGACACCGTGCCTTGCCCTTTGTTAATATATGTATTTGCATTTACCCCAACTCCTTTTCCATTCTCCCCATAGGCAACTGCTCCAGTGTCTTTAATGTGTATCCTTTTGCATGTTTTCTAGCCAGTGTTTTCTGTACATGCATTTTTAATTTATGACAATAACATTGCACTATATAACTCTGCTTCTTTTTTTTTCCTCCAGCAGCATGTTTTCACGATCCATTTATGTTGTTCTGTGCATATCTAATCTGGGGGCTGTCCACTCTCCCCCAGCAATGCCTGGAGATTCCTACATCCCTACAACCCCAACAATAATTTCATGATTCAGCTTTCTAATTTTTGCCAGTTTTTAGATGTAGGGTAATTTCCTCATTGATATTTTAATTTACCCTTTTCTGGCTGGGCGCGGTGGCTCATGCCTGTAATCCCAGCATTTTGGGAGGCCGAGGCAGGCAGATCACCTGAGGTCAGGAGTTCGAGACCAGCCTGGCCAACATGGTGAAGTCCCGTCTCTACTAAAAATACAAAAATGTGCTGGGCCTGGTGGCACATACCTGCAATCCCAGCTACTTG
Organism: Homo sapiens; assembly: GCF_000001405.40. Classification (NCBI taxonomy): domain Eukaryota; kingdom Metazoa; phylum Chordata; class Mammalia; order Primates; family Hominidae; genus Homo; species Homo sapiens. The sequence goes on from NC_000002.12 coordinate 96,474,965, forward strand.
GGAGACTGAGGCAGGAGAATTGCTTGAACCCTGGAGGCGGAGGTTGCAATGAGCCAAGATTGTGCCATTGCACTCCAGCCTGGGCAACAGGAGTGAAACTCTGTCTCAAAAAAAAAAAATGAAGAAGAAGAAGAAGAAGAGGAAGAGGAAGAAAGAAGAAGAGGAAGAGGAAGAAAGAAGAAGAGGAAGAAGAAGAAGAGGAAGAGGAAGAGGAAGAAAGAAGAAGAAGAAGCAGCAGCGAAGGAGGAGGAGGAGGAGGAAGAGGAAGAGGGAGAAGAAGAGGAGGAAGAATTTGCCCTTTTCTGAGCATATCTTTTTATATTTACTAGTCTTTAGGGTTTTCTCTTGGATTGCTGGATATATCCTTTGCCTATCTTTCTGTTGTGATTTCTATCGTGTTCTTGATGATTTGTAAGAGTTCCTTTATGTTCTAGACCTGCACTGTCCAACAGGGTAATCACTAGGCAAATATGGCTATTTATGGTTAAATTAATAAAAATGTAGTTCCTAATTCACAGTAGCCGCATTTCAAGTGCTCAGTAGCTACATGCAGCTGGTGCACCGAGCAGCTATAGAACACTTCCCTCACTGCAGAGAACTCCACCAGACGCACTGGTCTAGACTAATGTTCTAGATGTCAGCCCCTAGAAATTACAAATATTTTCCCCTAGTCTGCACCAGTCTTAAATTTGTCCATAGAGCCCTTGGTTGAACATAAATTTTCATATTTGATGTAACCAAAATTATAATTTTTTCCTTATAACTTCTGCTTTTGAAGGTTTGGTTAAGTCCTTCCATAGCCTTAAGTCTCAAAAGATGTTCTCTTACATTTCTGTCTGTTAGTTTTATAGCTTTAAGTCTTTATTCCATGTGAAGTACAGCATTTTTCTATGGTGTTAGGTAGAGATTTGGCTTTATTTTTTTCTTTTTTTTTTTTTTTCATTTTCTGAGTCACTTTCTCAACACCAAATACTAGACAGTCAGTGCTGAATGCTCGTGAATATAGACGTCTGCCTCCAGTGTCTCTATTCTGGTCCATGCCCTGGTTGACTGTTCTTGTTCCAGCACGGCACTCTTCTTAGCTGTATATTTGGTAGCGTGTTTTAGATACTTGTGGATCTTTCATCTCCTAGATAAATTTCAGAGGGAGTGCCCTAGTGCTGCTGGAATGAGCTACCACAAACGTGGTGGCTCAAACCAATGGAAAGTATTCTCTGCATTCCAGAGGCCGGAATTCTGAAATCAAGGTGTTGGCAGGGCCATGCTCCCTCCAGCCCCAGGAAGAACAGTTCCCCACCTCCTCCTGGCTTCTGGGGACCTTGGCATTCCTTGGCATTTTTTAGGTTGCAGCTGTATTGCTTCCATCTCTGCCTCGGTCTTCACACAGCTTTCTTAGAAGGATACCAGCAGCAGTATGACCTCATCTTAACTAATTACATCTGCAAAGACCCTATTTCTTAAAAAGGTCACATTCTCATGTTTTGGGTGGGCATGAATTTCAGGGGGAAACTACTTAACCTAATACAGCAAGTTTATCAACTTAAAAAAAATTCAAATTTGCTTTGGAATTGTATTGAATTTACAGATTGAAATTTGTAAGAATTGATATCTTGTCATATTAAACCATCCCATTCAAGGGTATGTCTGTCTCTTCATTCATTGAGATCATCCTTATTACAGTCTCCGACTTACAATGGTTTGACTCATAATTTCTCAACTTTATGATGGCGGAAAAGCTATATGCACCCAGTATAACCTATACTTTGAATTTTGAGTTTTGATCTTTCCCTGGGCTAGCAAATTACAGCGCGATACTCTCTTGTGACGCTGGGCAGCAGTGGTGGGCACAGCTCCCAGTCAGCCTCTCAATCACAAGGGTGAACACCGATGCTGTGCTCTCCAGTGTACATATTCAGTGAATTATACAAGATATTCAACACTTTATTATAAATAGGCTTAGTTGTTTTGTGTTACACGATTTTGTCCAACTATAGGCTAATGTAAGTGTTCTGAGCACATTTAAGGTAGACTAGGCTAAGTTATGACAGCCTAGTCCATCTTGTGATAGATTTATGATAGCCTAGATGATGATATTCAGTAGGTTGGGTGTATTAAATGCATATTTTCAACTTATGATGGGTTTATAAGAACATAATCCCCGCATAAGTCAGGGAGCATGTGCAAATGTCTTTTATTAAAGTTTTAAAGTATTTTTCATACACATCTCATATATTCTTAGTTAATTCTTTGATACTTCATGGTTTTGTAAATGTTAAAAATTGTATCTTGTTTTTTATTAAAACTTTTAATTGACTGTTGCCAGCACTGGTTGATCTTGAATCCAGCAAACTTAATAGTTGCTAAAGATTCTTCCTGATCTGAAAGTTTGTCTGTTGATTTTTTTTCCCTAGGGAGATGTCATATCATTTACAAATAATGATAGTTTATTCTCTTTCCCTTCAATTCTTATCAATTTTATTTATTTTACTTTTCTTATTAATGCTGTTGGTCAAAATTGTTTCTGATCTTTATGAAAATCCATGTAAAATTTCTCTACTAAGTATATTAATCTATGTCTTGTTATTTCTACCTTTCTTCCTATATTTTATTTGTATCTTCTGTTTTTCTTGATCAGTCTTGCCAAAAACATTATTAGTCTTTCTAAAGACTAATACATTATTAATTATTAATTCTAACGACTAATTAATTCTAAAGACTAATACATTATAGACTAAAGACTAATAATGTTTTAAATTTGTATTAACCTTCCCTATTTCATTGTTTTCAGCCCCTATTTTTATTATTTCCATCATTTTTCTTTCTTTGGTATGCTTTGATGTTCTTTTCCAATTTATTGAATTGAACATTTAGCTCACTTTTTTTTAACCTTTCCTACTTCCTAATGAACATATTTTAAAGTTACAATTGCCTTCTGTGCACAGCTTTAGCTGTGTCCCATAAACTTTGAAACGCAGTGTATGATTTCTTTCTGTTCTTTTCATTCAGTTCTAATACTTCTTTTATAATTTCCTTTCTAACCTAAAGGTTATTTAGAAATATGTTGTTTAGTTTCTAAATAGAGAGATCCCACCATAACTATTTTGAACATCTTCAAACATGCAGAAAAGTTGAAACAATGGGACAATGAATGCTTATACAGCTTACACTTCATTTCAAAAATTGTCCATATTTTCCCACTTTTACTTTATCACTATTCCTATCTCTCTCTTCATTTCCCTTCCCTTTCCTTCCTCTCTTATATTATCTCCCTCCCACTTTCTATCCTTTGTAAGTGAGCCTTTAAAGGTTAGTTGCAGACATGATGACATTTCACCTCAAAATATACTGGCATGAATCTTCTAAGAATAAGGATATTCATTTAGGAATTTTTAAAGCTAACCTTTCCCCCCAATTACATTGCAGTCTAGCTGGGTGCTGTCCTCTAAATCAGGTATCCTTCTATCTGATGGAAATGTCTGCAATGATGAAAATGCTCTTCACTGCCTAATATGGTAGCTGGTGGGCACAAATAGTAATTGAGCATGTAAAATTCAACTAGTGTCACCCAGGAACTGGATTGTGATTTGTAATTAATTTTAATTTAATTTAGACAACAACATGCAGCTAATGGCTACTATAGTGGATGGCACAGTTCTGAAGGGTATTGATCTTTTGGAATTTATTGAACCTTCGTTTATGGCCTAACACAGTCTATTCTTGTAAATGTTCAACAAATGCTTGAAAGAATGTAAATTTTCTTAGTGGCTGTTGAATAGTAAGAGTTACCTACATATGATAGCTTGAGCTTATTAGTAAAATTGTTTCAATCTTGTATTCCTTGATTTTTGTTTTTTTGCTCTGCCAGTTTCTAAGAGGAGTGTGTTAAAATCTCTAATCATAGATACTGATCTCCTTCCTATGGTTCTTTCACTTGTCGCTTGGTATATTTTAAGAGCATATTCTTAGGTGTATTTAGGTTTATAATGGTTTGGCTTCTTGTTCTATTGCTTTTATTTTCTACCATTATATAATTTCCTTATTTGCCTCAAATTCTATTTTATTATATATTAAGTTTGCTACCTCAGATTCTTACTTATCTGGTGTATATTTTTCTACCATTTTACTTTAAAATGTTTCATGTCTTTTTGTTTTAATTGTGTTGTTTGTAGTTCATCCTTCCTTTTTCTGGATGAATTATCTTCCATTGTTATACTATACCACATCTTCTCGATCCATTCATCAGTTGACCGACATTTGTGCTGTTTCCATCTTTTGGCTGCTGTGGGTGGTGCTGCTATGAACATTCATCTACAAGTATTAGTTTGAGTACCTGTTTCCAATTCCTTGGAGTACCTATCTAGGAGTAGAATTGCCAGGTCATAGGGTAATTTTTCATTTTTGAGGAGCCACCATACTGTTTTCCACAATGGCTGTACCATTTTACATTTCCACCAGTAATGCACAAGGGTGGAAACATTTCCAGTTTCTCCGCATCCTCACCAACACTTGTTATTTCATTTTTGTTTTGTTTTGTTATGGCCAAGCTAGTGTATATAAAATGATATCTCATTGTGGCTTTGATTTTCTCTAATGACTAACAAGGTTGAGCATCTTTTCATGTCCTTTGCCCATTTGTGTGTGTGTGTGTGTGTGTGTGTGTGTGTAGTTTCACTCTTTGTTGCCCAGGCTGGAGTGCAGTGGCGCAATCTCGGCTCACTGCAACCTCCGCCTCCCAGGTTTAAGCAATTCTCCTTTCTCAGCCTCCTGAGTAGCTGGGATTACAGGCGCCCGCCACCACATCCAGCTAATTTTTGTATTTTTAGTAAAGACAGGGTTTCACCATGTTGGCCAGGCTGGTCTTGAACTCCTAACCTCAGGTGATCCACCCGCCTCGGCCTCCCAAAGTGCTGGGATTACAAGCGTGAGCCACTGCGCCCTGCACCCGTTTTTTGTTTTTTTTTTTAAGAGACAGTGTCTTGCTCTGTCACCCAGGCTGGTGTACAGTGATGTCATAATAGCTCACTGCAGCCTCGAATTCCTGGACTCAAGCAGTCGTCCCCCACAGTCTTGTCAGTAGCTAGGACTGCAGAGACACAACATCAAGACCAGCTTCCTTTGCCCATTTTAAAACTGGGTTGTTTGGCTTTTTTTAAAAAATTGAGTTATAGGAGTTCTTAATATATTATTGACACTAGACCCTTACCAGATATATAATTTGCAAATATTTTCCCTCATTTTGTGGGTTTATCTCTTCACTATATGGGTAGTGTATTTTGGTGATCAAAAATGTTTAATTTTGATGGAATCCAGTTTATCTTGTCTTTTTTTTTCTGTTGCTTGTGCTTTTGTTGTTTTATATATATATATGTGTATATATATATTTTTTAAATCCTGAGACAGGGTCTCGCTCTGTCTCCCCAGGCTGGAGTGCAGTGGTGCAATCTCAGGCTCGCTGCAACCTCCGCCTCCTGGGTTCAAACCATTCTCCTGCCTCAGCCTCCCAAGTAGCTGAGACTACAGGCATGGGCCACCACACCCAGCTAATTTTGTGTCATATCTAAGAAACCATTCTCTAATCCAAGTCATGAAGATTTAACCCATGCTTTTTCTAAGAGTTTCATAGTTTTAGCTCTTACATTGAAGTCTTTGATTTATTTTGAGTTAATTTTTAAATGTGTTTTTGCATATGTAGGGCTCCAACTTCATTCTTTTGTATGTGGCTATCCAGCTGTCCCAGCACCATTTGAAGAGACCATTCTTTTCTCTATTGAATTGTTTTGGCACCCTTGTAAAAAATCAATTAATCATAAATGTAACAGTTTATTTCTGGATTCTCAATTTTATTCCATCAAACAATATGACTATCCTTGTGCCATTACCACACAGTTTTGATTACTGTAGCTTTATAATAAGTTTTGAAATCAAGAAGTGTGAGTACTCTAACTTAGTTTTTTCTTCTCAAGATTATTTCAGCTAGTTTGGATCACTTGAATTTCTATTTGAATTTTAGAATCAACTTCTCGATTTCTGCAAAATAGACAGGTGGGAAATTTGGTGAATCTGTAGATCAATTTTGGGGAATATTGCCATCATAGCAATATTAGGTTTTCCAATTCATAAACATAGATGTCTCTCCACTTACTTAGCTTTTCTTTAATTTATTTTAGTGATTTTTTGGGTAGTTTTTAGAGTACAATTCTTGCACTTTTTTGGTTAAATTTATTCCTAAATATTTTATTCTTTGATGCAATTGTAAATGGAATTTTTTAAAATATAATTTTCAGATAGTTCACTGCTAGTGTATATAAATACTAATGATTTTTATTACAACCAATTTTTTATATTGAGCATATATCTTGTGACTTTGCTGAATTCCCATATTAGTTTTTAAGAGCTTTTTTGGTAAATTCCTTAGGATTTTATACATAATCAGGTTGTCTGAGGAAAAAAGACAGTTTTGTTATTTCTTTCGAATATCTCTGCTTTTCCTTTGTTTTCTCTTTCTTTTTTCTTTTTCTATTTTTCCTTTGCTGGGGGGACCTTCTGGCATAAGTTAGGACTCTCCCAGCACAATGTTGAACAGAAGTGATCTTTTAATCTTTAACTATTCACTGGGATGTTAGCTATAGATTTTTTTCAGAGATATCCTTATCCAATTGAAGTTTCTCTTTCTAATATTCTGAGAGATTTTTTTTTTTTAATTATGAATGCAGCCGGGAATGGTGGCTCATGCCTGTAATCCTAGCACTTTGGGAGGCTGAGGCAGGCGGATCACTTGAGGTCAGGAGTTTGAGACCAGCCTGGTTAACATGGTGAAACTCTGACTCTACAAAAGATACAAAAAGTAGCTGGGCGTGAGGGTGCATACCTGTAATCCCAGCTACTCGGGAGGCTGAGGCAGGAGAATTGCTTGAACCTGGGAGGCGGAGTCTGCAGTGAGCCGAGATTGTGCCACTGCACTCCAGTCTGGGCAACAGAGCGAGACTCTGTCTGGAAAGAAAGAAAGAAAGAAAGAAAGAAAGAAAGAAAGAAAGAAAGAAAGAAAGAAAGAAAGAAAGAAAGAAAGAAAGAAAGAAAGAAAGAAAGAAAGAAAGAAAGAAAGAAGGAAGGAAGGAAGGAAGGAAGGAAGGAAGGAAGGAAGGAAGGAAGGAAGGAAGGAAGGAAGGAAGGAAGGAAGGGAAGGAAGGAAAACAAAGAGAAAGAAAGAAAAGAGAGAGAGAGAGAAAGAGAAAGAGAAAGACAGAAGGAAGGAGAGAAGGAAGGGAGGGAAAGAGAAAGAATGAAAGAGAAGAAAGAAAGAAGAAAAAGAAAGAAAGAAAAAGAAAAGAAAGAAAGAAGAAAGAAAGAAAGGAAGGAAGGAAGGAACGAAGGAAGGAAGGAAAGAAAGAAAGGAAACAAAGAAAGAGAAAGAAAGAAAAGAAAGAGAGAGAGAGAGACAGAAGGAAGGAGAGAAGGAAGGGAGGGAAAGAGAAAGAATGAAAGAGAAGAAAGAAAGAAGAAAAAGAAAGAAAGAGAAAGAAGAAAGAAAGGAAGGAAGGAAGGAACGAAGGAAGGAAGGAAAGAAAGAAAGGAAACAAAGAAAGAGAAAGAAAGAAAGAAAAGAAAGAGAGAGAGAAAGAGAGAAAGACAGAAGGAAGGAGAGAAGGAAGGGAGGGAAAGAGAAAGAATGAAAGAGAAGAAAGAAAGAAGAAAAAGAAAGAAAGAAAAAGAAAAGAAAGAAAGAAGAAAAAGAAAGAAAGAAAGAAAGAAAGAAAGAAAGAAAGAAAGAAACCCATCTCTACTAAACATACAAAAATTAGCTGGGCATGGTGGCATGCATCTGTAGTCCCACCTACTCAGGAGGCGGCTAAGGCACAAGAATCGCTTGAACCCGGGAGGCAGAGGTTGCAGTGAGCCAAGATCGCACCACTGCACTCTAGTCTGGGCGACAGAGCCAGACTCAGTCTCAAAGAAAAAACTTTTCACCTAGAGCCAGATGGACCTGAGTTCCATGGTGGCTCCTCCTCTTCCAGTAACCTCGGTTTTCCTCCAGAAAAGGGGACAGTTGTGAGGATGAAACGAGAGCTTGAATGGAAAGGGCCCAGCACACAGTAGGTGCTGCATTGCCATTTCTCCCTGTTGGCTCCCAGCCTCGCGGATAGGCACAGGTGGTCCTCAGCCCACCTGGCAGCCTCGCCTCCTGGCCCTGGGCAGCCCCTTCATTCCCCACCCAGAAAGCACACAAACAAGCCCTCCTGGCCACTGTGAGGCCTGGTGCCTCTGATGTAATTCAGCTAAAGAATTCATGACTAGGTCATGCCCCTCCCAGACACTCCATCTCTTCCCACGACCCTTTCCCAGCTTTTGTTGGCATGAAGGACCTTAAAGCCAGAGAAAACCATGAGCAAGATATGGACACTACAACAATAGCAATTAAATATCTAAGGAAGATGTGGCCTTCCAGACAGGAAAACAGAATTAATCAGGAAATACAAATGACGGCGACGAAAGAAGCTAGCGATACAGCAGGAGCAACACTCAATGTTTTGCGCTTGTTTAATGCTCACAGTATCATGTGATGAAGGAGGCATTATTGTCATCCCCATCTTACAGATGAGGAAATCAAGGCACAGTGAGGTGATTTACCTAGATATTTTCATCTGCAAAGTGGGGATGATGCTGAGTGTTGGTGTGAGCATCAAATGCGTAACTACGCGTGAAGTGCTTAGAGCAGCTGGTGGGTTGGGAGCAGGGATCTATCTGAAGCCCCCTTCTGCGATGTGGTTTTTCCAGTTAAACATGATATTTTTGAGATTTGTCTATGTGACACTCATAGCTCTAGCTCATTCACTGCATGACCACACGGCAGTTCATCCATTCTTTTGTTGGACACTGTAGAAGTTGGGTCTTCCCAGAAGCAGATACCAAGACGAAGTTGGACATATGAGACACTGACTGGGGGAAATGCCTATGAAGGAGACAGGGGGGTGAGCTGGAGAATGTTGCACTCAGATGCCTGGGAAAGGAGAGGGGAAGGAAAGAGGGTGGACAGGAAGAGTCTAGGGCTGCAGGGCCATTCTGGGAATTGTTGGGCCAGGCTGATAAGGAGTCCTCTAAACAATGTCACCATTACAGGCATCCCACATCCCCCAGGAAAGGGGATGCCCAGATACCGCCTCCCTGTACTTCTATCTGGTGCTCCCACATCAAAGATTGGAGAAGCATGGCGTCAGGAAGGATGAGGCGGAGGGAAGCTCACGACAGGCTGGGTCTGTCAACTGTGCTCCTCACAGCAGGAGTCTGAGCAGGGCCTTTCTACAGCTGCCATGGGCATGTGGGCTGTTTCACACTTCTCTCGGCTTTACCCCAAGGAGTAGGGGTGACAGCTGCTCCCACTGCGTGCTGACAGCATCGAATTTCTGGGCCTCATACATTCACTGGGGGTGAAAAAGCCAGCCTTGGGCCTCTCAGAGGCCAGCCCCCAGTCTATCCCCCAAGAGGACACACACTTCCTGACATCTCCTTGTGACTGGGAGAACACACATTTGCTACACAGGTATGGGACCCTCTCTCCTCACAAATATTTTAAAAGGGTTCTACCTTAGGGTAACCCAAGGGCCTGCCTCCCCCCATTTTAGCCAATGGTCATATCCTCTTAGTCTCAATTTAGGGAAAGGACAGGCAGTCTATTCCCTCCAATATAATACTTGGTGCTGTGGTTGAATGTCCCCTCCAAAACTCATGTTGAAATTTAATTACCATTGTGAAGACCTTAAGAGATGGGTGATTAGGCCATGAAGCCTCTGCCCTCATGAGTGAAACAATATTGTTATTGCAGGAGTGAGCTAGTCACTGAGGGAATGGGTTCCTGATAAAAGGGTGAAGTTCAGTCCCCATCTTCCCTCCTACCCTCCACCTTCCACCTTGGGATAACTCAATATGAAGGCCCTCGCTAGATGCCAGAGCCATGCCCTTGGACTTCCCAGAGCTATGAACCAAATAAACCCTTTTCTTTATAAATTGCCCAGTCTGTGGTGTTCTAACAGTAAAAAACAAACAAACAAACAAAAAAAGGAATAAGACACTTGGGCTTCTCCTTCCAAGTCCCTGTCAGCCCCAGGACTGCACATACTCCTGGGGGGAGACAGGCAAGGAGCCAAAATGTATTTGATCCTTTAAGTCAGCGGAATCCAAGAGCATTTGAGGGAGTCAGGAGGGGTCCTGAACAGAAAGCCAGGAAGATGTTTAGGGCCAGAAACGGGGATTAGGAAGTGCCCTCCTCTCGTGGTCAGTCTCCATCTCAATCACTGTGTCCAAGTTGGCCCTTTTTTTGTTGAGAACTTTGTGGGGAATGGGGACTGTTCAGGTGATCCGCCTCCATGTCAAGCCATAAATGGCTCAGCTTGAGGCAGAAGGGAGTCTTGGCTGGGATTCAGCGATTCCAGATCTGGTCCCAACCATACCATGGGCTGCTGTGTGGCTGCAGGCAAGTCACACAAAGCCTCTGCGCCTCAGTTTCCTGGCTATAAAATGAGAATGTCACCCCCTGCTGTGCCCCTCGCACTTCACACAGATCTGAGAGAAACAAGCTGGCTGCGCCAGAAAACCACAGAGGCACCACCTCTAGATTCCTGTGGAGATCCTACCACCCATTCCTTCAAAGGAAGGGACTGGGGAGCAGGGCAGCTGGCAGCAGAGGCTAATCTGCTGTGCAGGTCTGTGGAGGAAGGGACCGTGCGCGGTTCTCTTCCCTCTGCCTCCAGGCTTAGGAGTCATCCCCCACACGCGGGACCCCCAGTCCCCACTGTAGACTTCTTCCAAGTGGAATTTCTTCAACAGTTGATCAGCAGGGGGGTCAGGGCGTGCAGTGCAGGGGTGGGGGTGGGGGTTGCGAGAGGAGTGCCATCAGGGAGTAATGCTGGCGAGGCCTCATGAGGACAGCACGCTGGGGCCCTGTGTGCGATGGGCGCCAGGGGCAGGTGACATGGTGGACCCGGTCTCCCCCTTCCCTCTCCAATTGATCTAACAGAAAGCCTGATGTGAAAGTCTGGACGAGGGAATTTTCCCATATCTGCAGGAAAGCCCCGTAGCAGGTCCCTGGAGCCAGCCCGGGCAGGCCTCCGCTTACAGGACGCTAAAGATCCCTGGTTGCAGTTCTACTTTCTTTTTACTGCGTGTATTCTGCCCCTGTGATAATGATTCATTACACGCTTCCTCCATTGTTTTACTCCAGTGACCTCACGTCAAGGGAACCTGTGATCTCAGGCTTCTAGGAAAGCGAAACTTAGCCGCAGCCTGCCTCTCTCCCAGCCTGCCTTACAAGCACTGTGAGTTGCTGGCTGGCCGAGGCCCTGGCAGATCAGACCTCCTGCAGCCCCAGGGATGGCACGGGCACCGCCACTCACGCAGCCGGTAGAGCGCTCCTAGGGCAGGCCCATCTCGCTTCCCTCTCGCCTCTCCCCCCCGCTTTTGCTTGGGCCAATCCGACCTCCTCACCTCCTCGTAGCTCCCCCAGCACACCTTGCCTTTGCCATCTCTGCATGTGCCGCGCCTGCTGTCTGGAAGACCGGCATCCATTCCCCTCTGCCTTCCAAACTCTCCCTGTAGGACCAGCTCAAAAGGCATCTCCTCTTCAGCTGTTCCTGCTGCCAGGGCTAATATCGTCTTCCTCTTTTTTCCCCACTAGCGCTTCTTTGTCTATTTTGGAGAGGTTTTGTTTTGGATAACTTTTTAATTGAGATGTAACTCACATTATCATAATATTCGTCTTTTTTAAATGCACAGTTCAATGGTTTTTAGTATTCTATTCACAAAGTTGTGCAACTATCAGCATAATTAATTTCAGGATATTTTCCTCACCCTAAAAAGAAACTCCGTACCCTTTAGTTGTCACTCCTCATTTCTGCCTCTCCCCAGCCTCTGAAACCCACTAATCTACTTTCTGTTTCTGGATTTGCCTATTGTAGACATTTCATATGGATGGAATCGTGCATATATGGCCTTTGGTGACTAGTTTCCTTCTCTTAGCATAACATTTTCAAGGCTCATCATGATGTAGCCTGAATCAGTATTTCATTCCTTTTTAAGGATCAAATAATATTCATTTCTACCTTGGGGCCATTATGAATAATTCTTCCATCAACATTTGTGTACAAATTGTGTGTGGAAGTGTTTCCAATTCCCTTGGGTATATATGTAGGAGTGGAATCGCTGGCTCATACAGTCCTTCTGTGTTTAAGTTTTTGAGGAGCCACCACTGTTTCCCAAAGCAACTGTTTTTGGCTTTTTAACCAATATGTAAGCTCATTCTCATTGTTAAAAAAAAAAAAAAAAAAGTCCCCACATGCCAGTGAAATGTTCAAGTCCTCCCAATCACATCCCCATCCCAGTCCTTTCCCAGGGTCACTTCTCTTACCCTCCTGGACCCTTTGCCATTCATATACCAACACACACACACATTATTTTATGCATTTTTATATTCATGACATTTACTGTATGCTACATCCTGTATGTCAGAAACATAATGAAAACGTATTCCTTGGGCTGGATGCAGTGGCTCACACCTGTCATCCCAACCTTTGGGAGGCTGAAGTAGGAGGATTGCTTGAGCCCAAGGAGTTCAGGACCAGCCTGAGCAACACAGCAAGATCCTGTCTCTACAAAAAATTTAAAAAATTAGCCAGATGTGGTGGTGCCCACCTGTTGTCCCAGCTACTTGGGAGGCTGAGGTGGGAGGATTGCATGAGCCCAGGAGGCGGAGGCTGTAGTGAGCTATAATCACGCCACTGCACTCCAGTCTGGGTGACAGAGTGAGACCCTAGTTCCAAACAAAATAAAGTAAAAAAATCAAAAAATAAAAACTTATTCCTTGGAACCACAGCACAATGTTCTATAATATGGATAAACCATGGTTGATATAACCACTTTCCTATTGGTAAATATATAAAGTTTGTTTCCAAGTGCTTTCCTGTCATGAGAATTGCTGCCAGGTCATTCTTGCAAGCAGTGAGTGACTTTCTGGAGTAGACACTGGTGGGCGATAGTGTATGAATAGTTTAAATTTTAGTAGATAATGCCTCCAATGTTTTTGTGTAATTGATTTCTTTTTTGTTTGTTTTTGATTTTGTTTTGAACAGGGTCTCACTCTGCCATCCAGGCTGGAGTGCAGTGGCATGATCATAGCTCTCTGCAGCCTCAATCTCCTGGGCTCAGGCAATCCTCCCACCTCAGCCTCCCAAGTAGCTGGGACCACAGGCACAGGCCACCACACCTGGCCAATTTTTTAATTTTTTTGTAGAGATAAGGTCCCCCTATGTTGCCCAGATTGGACTTGAACTCCTGGGCTTAAGTGATCCTCCTGTCTCAGCCTCCCAAAGTGCTGGGATTACAGGCCTGTGCCACCTTGCCCGGCAGTGTAAAAGTTTTCTAACTGAAATGTTGTACCCTTTCACCATTTCACCATCCAACCAAGTTCTATTTTGTTGGTGTCTTGCTGCTGTCTTAATTTGCACTTCCCAGGCTCTTGCAAAGTTTATTCTCATGTTTATTGACCCCATAAGTGATTGGATTGATTTCTCCGTATGTGATCTTGGACACTCACTGTGAGCTATCTGTGCTTTTCTTATTGATTGTAGGAGTAAGTGTTTTGTAAGTTTCAACATCATTCCATTCTGTTATATGTGTTGAAAGTCTCTACTTCCCATCTATTATCTTGCTTCTTAGTTTTATTCATGGTATCTTTTGTCACACATAAGCTTTTAAAAAAATCCTGCGTAATCAAATTTATCAATCTCTCCTTTATGGCTTTAAAAAATACATGTGGCCAGGCGTGGTGACTCACACCTGTAATCCTAGGACTTCGGGAGGCCGAGGCAGGAGGATCACCTGAGGTCAGGAGTTCGAGACCAGCCTGGCCAACATGGTGAAACCCTGTCTCTACTAAAAATACAAAAATTAGCTGGATGTGGTGGCGGGCGCCTGCAATCCCAGCTACTCAGGAGGCTGAGGCAGGAGAATCGCTTGAACCCAGAAGACAGAGGTTGCAGTGAGCCAAGATCATGCCACTGCACTCCAGCCTGACCAACAGAGCAAGACTCTGACTCAAAAAAAAAAATATATATATATATATATGTGTGTGTGTGTATATATATATGTGTGTGTGTATATATATGTGTGTGTGTGTGTCTCTTTACTTCATTCTGCTCTGTTAAGCTATGATTGACAGATAAAATTGTATATACTTAAGGTATACGATATAATGTTTTGATAAATGTATATATGATATATGTATATATTGTGAAGTGATTACCATAATCAAGCTAATTAACATATCCATCATCTCATATAGTTACCATTTTGGAGGTGTGGTGAGAACATTTAAGATCCACTAGCCTAGCAAATTTCAAGTATACAATACCTTATTATTATTAACTATAGTGGCCATGTTATACATTTAGGTCTTCAGAACTTACTCATCTTATAACTGAAAGTTTGTGCCCTTTGATCAACATCTCCCCATTTTCCCCACCACCATCTCCTAGTAACCACCCTTCTACTCTGTTTCTATGAGTTCAGCTTTTTCGTGTCTGGCTTATTTCATTTGGCATAATGTCCTCCGGGTTCAACCATGTTGTTGTAAATGACGGGATTTCCTTTTTTTAAGGCTGAAAAATAAATACATAGATATAACATTTTCTTTATCCATTCACCTATCAATGGACACTTAGGTTGTTTCCATATCTTGACTATTGTGAATAATGCTGGAGTGAACATAGCAGGGCAGCCATCTCTTCAAGATCCTGCTTCTATTTCCTTCAGATACATACTCAGAAGTGAGACTGTTAGATCATATGATAGTTCTATTCTTAATTTTTTGAGGAACCTGCATACTGTGTTCCTATTTTTTAAGCCATGCAATTGGAAACGCACTGTTTTTCATAATGACTGTAGCAGTCTGTATCCCCACCAGCAGTATATAAGGGTTCCTGTTTCTTCATATCCTCACAACCACTTGTTATCTTTTGACTTTCTGACATTAGACATTCTAACAGGTGTGAGGTGATATCTCATTGTGGATTTTATTTGCAGTTTTCTTGATGATTAGTGATATTGAACACCTTTTAATATACGTATTGGCCATTGTTATGTCTTCTTTGGAGAAATGTCTATTCAGGTCTTTTGCCCAGTTTTAAATCAGGTTATTTGTTTTTCTAATATTGAGTCATATGAGTCCCTTATATATTTTGGATATTAACCCCTTATTGTATACAAAATATTGCAAATATTTTCTACTGTGGCCTTTTCAGTTTGTTGATTGTTTCCTTTGCTATGCAGAAGCTTTTTAGTTTGATGCAGTCCCACTTGTTTTTGCTTTTGTTACTCATGCTTTAGATGTCATATCCAAAAAATCATTCTTCTAGGAGTTTTACGGTTTCAGGTCTTACATTTAAGTCTAATCCATTTTCAGTAGACTTTTGTGCATAGTGTAAGATAGGGTCCAATTTTATCCTTTTTCATGTGGCTATCCAGTTTTCTCCATACCATTGATTGAAGAGACTGTCGCTTCCCTATTCTGTATTCTTGGTGCTTTGTTGAAGATAAGTTGATCATATATGCATGGGTTTATTTCTAGGATCCTTATTCTGTTTTATGGATCTATTTTTCTGTTTTTATGCCAGTACCATACTGTATTGATTACTATAGCTTTGTAGTATAATTCAAAATCAGAAAGTGTGTTGTCTCAGCAGGTGCAGTGGCTTGCACCTGCAATCCCAGCTATTCAGAAGGCTGAAGTCAGAGGATCACTTGAGGTTAAGAGTTTGAGACCAGCCTAGGCAACATATTGAGACTCAGTCTCTACAAATAAAAATAAAAAATAAAACAAAATAAGAAGCCAGGCATGGTAGCACATGCCTGGAGTACCAGCTGCTTGGGAGGCTGAGGCAAGAGGATAGCTGGAGCCCAGGAATTTGAGGCTGCAGTGAGCTACGATTGTGCCAGCCTGGATGACAGGGCTAGACTATATACATTTTTAAAAATCCTTTTATCCAATTTCCTGACTTTTGTTGGGATGCAGGAATTGAAGTTCTATTATTTTCACATGATTTGGAATTTATATATTTTATTTGTAGTTCTACATTTTGTTTGTATGTTCTTTACCATACAAATTAAACTTATTTTTTTCTCATTTATATTGTTAAAAATAACTTCTTCCTAGCCAGGTGTGGTAGCTCACACCTGTAATCCCAGCACTTTGGGAGGCCAAGGCGGGCAAATCACCTGAGGTCAAGAGTTCAAGACCAGCCTGGCCAACATGGTGAAACCTTGTCTACTAAAGATACAAAAATTAGCCAGGCATGGTGGCAGGCACCTATAATCCTAGCTACTCGGGAGGCTGAGGCAGGAGAATTGCTTGAACCCAGGAGGCAGAGGTTGCAGTGAGCCAAGATCATAATGTTACACTCCAGCCTGGGCAACAAGAGCAAGACTCTGTCTCAAAAAAACTAAAAAAATTTTAAAAACCCTCTTCTTGATAAGAAAAGAACCTTAGCATGCTTTTTATTTTTGCCATTCCACCCATGTTGATATCATCTGTGGTTTTCATTTCAAATTATTATTAATTTTTTACAATTAACATTTACTTAGATTCAACTTTTTTTGCTTTTAATGGTTACAATCATACTAATTTTTCTTGTTTTTTCTTTTTTCTGAAGTGATTCTTCTAATAATTTGCCTATAAAGTATCTGTTAAATGATAAACTTTGAGTCTTTTTATATCTGAATATTTCTTCATTTTACGCTCACCTTTGAATGAGAGAGTCGCTGTCTGCAGAATTTTAGATTTCAAAATTATTTCCTCATCAAAATGGGGACTTAAGATCTGTGCATAGGCCAGGCACAGTGGCTCATGCCTATAATCTCAGTACTTTGGGAAACCAACACAAGTGGATCACTTGGGCCCAGGAGTTCAAGACCAGCCTGGGCAATATTGCAAGATCTCATCTGTACTAAATATTAAAAAATTAGTCAGGTGTGGCAGCATGTGCCTGTAGTCCCAGCTTACTCTGAAGGCTGAGGTGGGAGGATCACCTGAGGCCAGGGAGGCGGAGGCTGCAGTGAGCCATGATTGTGCCACTGCACTCCAGCCTGGATGACAGAGTGAGACCTTGTCTCAAAAAGAAAAAAAAAAGATATGTGCATATTATTATAGTAAATATGCTTCAATTAAAGAAAATCCCCCTGAACTTTGAAGATATTGTTCTATTGTCATTCTGTACCAAGTATTGCTGAGAAAAAGCCTACTGATAATGTGATTCTAATACTTTTGTGTGTGATCTGTTTTGGGGTGTTTTTTTTTTCTTCTTGGGTTTTCTGTTTATCCCTGGTACTCTGAAATGTCACCAGTATGTGTCAAAATGAAAGTCTTTTCTTCACTTATTCTGTTTGGCAACTGGGGGGCTTTTTCAATCTGAAAAGCTATGTCTTTCTTCAATTCTGAGAAATTGTTCTTTTATTTTTATTTCTGGTAGAGATGGGAGTCTTATATGTTGGCCAGGCTGGTCTTGAACTCCTGGCCACAAGCGATCCTCCCACCTTGGCCTCCCAAAGTGCTGGGATTATAGGCATGAGCCACCATGCCCAGCTCTAATCTTTCTTTGAGTTTCTCTTTTGTCCATTTTCTCTATTTTTTTCTTCTGGAATTCACATTGGATGGTTATTTGAACTTCATCTATTCTGTTTATTCTCTTTTTATATATTTCATCTCTTGTTAATTTTGGAATGCATTCTGGTTGATTCCAGATCATTAATACATTTTTCAGCTACATACTTTCTGCTACTCACTCTATCAAATAAGTTATTTTAAATTTTAATAGTCAAGCTTCTAATTCCAAAGGTATCTAGATTTTTCAATGCAATATCCTTTCATATGTGATTATAGTTATCCTAAAGCCCAGGTTTGTATGCTTTATTAACCCTATTTTTTCAGGTATGAACTCCTTTTGCTGTCAGTCCTTTCCATCATGATATTCACTTTTTTCAAATATTTGGCTTTTCTTGGCTGTGAGTTCACCTTTGGATCTGAAATTCCTTGTTAGCCTAAGTGGCCTGCTTGCAGACAGGTGCAGGACATGCAGCTATGACTTGGTGTACCTGTGTAAAGTGGAATGAAGGGATGGGATGTGCTGCTGGGCAGCATGAGCCAATGGTGAAACTTCCAGATGTGGAAGCTTCCTGCTATCCTTGGGAGCTGTTAATCTCTGGGGCTTTGTCTTGCCTCACACCCAATTGTTCACCTCTCACTGATCCTGCCCATGGGAAGACACCTCTGTGACTCACTGTGTGGCCTGAGGTGAACATTCCTGGCTGTCTATTCTGTGAGCCTCTACCAGTCACGGTCAGTCGATCATGGACCACCTGCGGTTCCCAGTTCACAAGTCCTGAGTTTGAAGCATTCCTAGAGCTGCTCTCACCTTTTGCGGCAGTCCTCTCCTCTGGCACGGTTTCCATATTTAATCTGATCCCACCTGTTTTCCACCTTTTATTGTGGTTTTAGTTCACCAGATTTTCCCTATATTGTTTTATAGGGAAGAAATATATTTGTTTAAATCATTCTGAGCAATGTATAGAGACTTGGAATAAAAGGAAACAACTACATGTGCTCAGTCTATCATCTTGAAATGGAAGTTGAAAAGCTCTTAGTATAGGCTTTTTTTTTTTTTGACAGAGTCTCACTCTGTCGCCCAGGCTGGAGTGCAGTGGCATGATCTTGGCTCACTGCAACCTCTGCCTCTCAGGTTCAAGCGAGTCTTCTGCCTCAGCTTCCTGAGTAGCTGGGACTACAGGCGTGCGCCACCACGCCTGGCTAATTTTTGTATTTTTAGTAGAGACAGGGTTTCACCATATTGGCCAAGCTGGTCTCACACTCCTGACCTTGTGATCTGCCTGCCTCAGCCTCCCAAAGTGCTGGGATTACAGGCGTCAGCCACCGCACCCAGCCAGTATAAGCTATTCTAACACTTACCACATTGAATATAATTATTTATTCCCCAGTATTGCTCCCAAGGACATAGGCAAGTCTGTGCTCATACTAAGATGGCTTCTAGAGTCAGATGTTTCAATATTCTTGGAATTAATTTGATGAATGAAGAAATGATTGCATCAGTGTGGTTATAACAAGGATCTAATTCTTATCCCATCATTTATAAGATGATTCCTTCTACCTGCCCCTCAGTTTTCCTATCTATAAAATTAGAGAAATGTTAGAGATCATTCCTTTCATTTCAGTCTTAAAGAAATATGGGAAAGAAATATGGGAATATTTCTTGTAGAGCACATGTACTGGTAATGAATTTTCTGTTCTTGTTTATCTGGGAATATCTTAATTTCTTCTTCACTTTTGAAGGACAGTTTTGCTGGATACAGAATTTTTGGTTCACAGTCCTTTTCCTCCAGTACTTACATCATTCCACTGTCTTCTGGTCCCCATGATTTCTGATGAGAAGTTAGTTGTTATTGAGGATAACTTGTATGCAATTAAGTGGTTTTTTTTTTTTTGAGGCTTTAAAGATTCCATTGTCTTTGGTTTTTGACAATTTGACTACGATATACCTTGGTGTGGATCTCTTTCAGTTTATCCTTCTTAGGGTGGAGGCAGAGTAGCACATTAGAGTGAGGACCAGCCTTTAAGTAATCCAACTTGGAGTTCATTGAGCTTCTTGGATGTATAGATTAATATTTTCAGAAAATTGGCCAGGCGTGGTGGCTCACGCCTGTAATTCCAACACTTTGGGAGGCTGAGGTAGGTGAATTACCTGAGGTCAGGAGTTCAAGACCAGGTGGGCCAACATGGTAAAACCCTGTCTCTACTAAAAATACAAAAATTAGCTGGGCCTCGTGGTGCACACCTGTAATCCCAGCTACTTGGGAGGCTGAGGCAGGAGAATTGCTTGAACCCGGGAGGCAGAGGATGCAGTAAGCTGAGCTCTCACCACCGCACTCCCACTTGGGTGACAGAGTGAGATTCTGTCTCAAATATGTACATATAGATATATATATAGATTTTTTTTCCCCTAGAAAATTTGAAAACTCTTTGGACTTTACTTATACAATTTCTTTCTTCCCCCTTATCTTCCTGTTCTCTTTCTGGTACTCCCTTTACATGTATGTTGGTGCATTTGACTGTGTCTCATAGGTCTCTGGGGCTTGTTCATTCTTCTTTTTTTCCTTCTATACCTCAGACTAAATCATAATCATCTCTATTAACCTGTCTTCAAGTTCATTGATCCTTTCTCCTGCCAGCCTAAATCTGCTATTGGACCCCGCTGGTATTAGTGAATTTTTCTTCAAGTATTGTACTTTCCAACTCCAGAATTTCTATTTGGTTGGTTTTTTATCTTTCTGATAGATTGATATTCTGTATTTGGTGAGACATGATTGACATACTTAAAAAAATTTTTTTAGACATGGCTTCCTTTAGCTCACGGAACATATTCATAACAGCTGATTTAAAGGTTTTGTCTAGTAAATCTAACATCAAGGCTGTCTCAGGGACAGTTTCTAGTGACTGATTTTTTCCTGTGCATAGGCAATACTTTCTTATTTCTTTGCAGATCTCATAATTTTTCTTTAAAAACTAGAGCTCTTTAGGTAATATAATTTGGAAGCCCTGATAATCAGACACTCACTCTTCCAGGGCTTGTTGTCGTTGCCAGTTTGTTGCTGCTGTTTCTGTGGGGCTTTTGTTGTTGTTGTTTTTCTGTTGTTTTTTGCTCACTTTCCTGGACTAATTCCGTAAAGTCTACACTCCTCGTAATGTGTAGCCAACTGAAGTCTCTGCCCAGTTAGATTAGTGGTCAGCTAATGATCAGACAGAGATTTCCTTAAATGCCTTGAGCTAGTAAATCTTCCACCTTTTGACAAGGAGCTCTGTTTGTGGGTTGGGGCACACCTTCAATGCTCAGGAAGTTTCTAACTCTGCCTTACCCTTCGCTTCCTACTTTCACAGGGCCTCAAGGTCAGCCAAAGTGAGAGATTGGGGTCCTCTTAGTCTTTCCTGAGTGTGTACACAGTCTTGTAGATACCCAGGAGTATATCATAACTTTTCAAAGTTCTCTACGGACGTCTCGTTTCACAGATCTTCCTTTTAAATCTCTGGCCAGGCTCTTGTTTGCCTCAGCTAGTATCACAGACTTAGGCAGCTGTAATGTTAAACAATTGAAACTGATTATGCTTGGCAAATGTCCCAGGGATAGGGGTTTCCCATGGAGAGGGCCCCAAGTAGGGTTAAAGAATGACAACGCCCTGTAAATGAAACTTTTCCAGAGAACGAAGATGTAGTTCAGATAGTGACAATAGTCTAGGGATGGAGCTTCCCGAGGAGCTCCCAACTGAGTCTGTCCATCCACCCTGAGTGGCTTCAAGGCTGCTGGTTTTCAGGACTACTGTGGAGCTAGAGGCAGAGGGATGGGAGGAGTTAACCACACAAACCCCACTGTTCTTACCAAAGTACAGCAGTTTATCTCAGATAAGCATCCTTCAGATTATTGTTAGCCTCTGGTTAATTTCTAGAGTTCTGAAAAAGTTGATTTTGGTAATTTTGCCAGTATTTTTGTTGTTTTTATGGAACAATGGGTTTACAGAAGTCCTTCCTTACTCCACCATTCCAGAAGGTCCACCTCTGGTTAGAGATGTTTTCTAAAATCAGGCTTTCTAGATGTTACCTAATAAGGTAGTGTTCACTGGAATTAGGATTAAAGTACTGCCCTCACCTTGAAGCTGTCTGGGCATAGGGGGGAAAAATAAGACATTTAAAGGATGAAAATACTTGCTTTAGGATCCATAGAAATCATTCCAAAGTATTGGGGTGATTGGAGGCCCTTGGTAAAAGTCAGTGGGCTACCGGGACTCACACAAGGCCCCTGACAACCATTCCAGTGCACTCTTGGGAACTTCCCCTGGGAGATGCCTTTTCCAGGGAAAGGGAGCTGCCAGTTTTGAGTCCTTCTTCTAAGTTAGAAGTTGAATGTTCATGCTCCTCACAACTTACCAGCAAGAAAATTATCCTACTTCCATTTTACAGATGATGAAACTGAGGCTCACGGAGGTCAACTCACATGCCCCAGGTCAGAGCACTTGTGGGTGGTAGTGAGGGGATCCCACTCCAGAGTGAAAGATACTCAGGTGTCATCAAATCCAGCATCCTGACCTTCTGTTTGGCTATGCGATGGGCAGAAAGGCAGTGTGTGGAGGTGCCCATACTTTCCATTTGGGGCACAATAGGTTCGGATTCCCTTCACATAGCCCTCTCCCCCAGGAGTGGCCTCCACAGCAGCCACAGAGCAGGGGACAACAGCAAAGTCACAGGCACAGCCTGCCACTGCCAGACACCTGCTGAGGTGGGCTCCCAGGCCGGCCAACTCCTGCCTTCAGTCGGGGGTCAGAGCCTCCAGGCAGTGCCCCAAAATCAAGGGTGGCAAGGGCAAAAAGTCTGGTTGGGACTTAAGGACTGGGATTATAAGACTACCCCCTTCATGTGCTCAGTCCATGGGCCCGAGCGCCCAGAGGCCCACCCAGGCCACCTACAAGCCCAGATTGTGGGGAAGACAGAATGGCATGTCTCCAAATGCTGCATCATCCCGAACAGCCCACAGCTCCTACCCCACTCCCAGACTGCAAGCAAGAGGATACAGGCACTACAAAATCATTCAGGAAACACAAACTTTATTTTGATATCTCAGAAACTGGCAAGGAAATTACCACAGTGACAACAATACACTTTCATGTTTTAAATCATCTTCAGATGCATGGTCTCTCTGGGACCTCATGACCACCCTGAAAGGGAGGCAGGGCGGGTAACTACAGATCCACTCTACTGGGGACTTGTGGGAGGCAACCCAGCTTCCATGTGGAACTTTATACATTCCTTGCAGATACCTCCTGCTTCAAGTCCAGGTTCTTCAATACCCAGGAGGTACAGGGCTTCACCAGTCACAACAGATACCTGAACTCCCTCAGATGTAAAACTGATTGGGGATTGGGCCACCCCATCTCTAAACAAAGCACCCCATCAGAAGGATAGTTCTGGCATGGACAGAAAGAGGGGTTTTTCCTTGCTATCCTGTTGGGGAACAGGTGGAGGCAGCAGACAGCACCTCCCTGCCTTCCTCTCTCTGCCGCACCTCTTGCTAATCAGCCTTTCTGACTCTTCCCCAGAAAGAAGGTAGGGCTGCGCCTCCTTCCTCTCTGCAGGGGCCAGACTCAGATCTAGGCCCGGGCTGCCACTCATACTGGGAAGCCTCCTTTCATGAGCCTTCCTCAACCCTCAGAGCAGGAGGGCCCTGCGCAGGGGCTACCGCCTCTATCTGCCAGCGGCACACAGGGCACTTGGCCGTATCGCTGAAGACCCGCCAGGCACAGTATCTGCAGAAGTATGTGTGGCCGCAGGGCACAAGGCGGGTGTTGGCAGCGTGATAGAAGCAGATGGCACACTCCTCTCCTGGTGTGGCTGGAAGAGGGAGCAACACAGGTCAGGGCACATGGGGGAAGGGGTGGGCAACCCGCTCACAATGTGACCACAGAGAATGACAGAGAAACATGTAGCTATATTTTGAAGAATGTTACCTAGTGAGGAAATGCTTACAGTGTAATCAAGTGAAAAAAAGGGGGAAGAAAACCATTTTTTATATACATATATTCCAATTCCAATTTAGAGAGAAGGAAAACGCAGCACAGACAAGTCCCTATATACACACGTCTATATCGATGACCGAAAATACTGGGAGGAAATCCACCCAAGAGGTAATGGGTGCTTTTTTTTTAACTTTCCTCTTTATCCTTTAATCTTTTTTATTTTTTAGAGACAGTCTCACTCTGTCATCCAGGCTGGAGTGCAGTGGTGTGATCACAGCTCACTGCAGCCTCAGCCAGCTGGGCTCAAGCCATCCTTCCACCTCAGCCTCCCGAGTAGCTGGGGCCACAGACATGCACCACCACACTCAGCTAATTTTTGTACTTTTTGTAGAGACAGGGTTTCGCCATGTTGCCCAGGCTGGTCTCAAACTCCTGGGCCCAAGCGATCCTCCTGCCTCGGCCTCCCAAAGTATAGGGATTACAGGTGTGAGCCACTGCACCCCACCTATCCTTTCATCTTTATTTCCATTGGCAAAGCATTTACAATGAATGTGGATGATTTTTTAAAGCAAGAACAAAATAACACTGTCTGTTCATAAAAGTGCTCTTATAACTCACAGAGTAGGCAAATGCTCTCGAAGGCAGAGATGCCAGGTTGCTTTTAGGTTTCCAGTAGGCAGAGCCAAATCTTTTGGCCCAAAGCCTGTGAGAGACTTGAATGAACAACCAGTAGGACGTGGGGCTTCTCCCTCCACTCCCAGGTGCTGGATTCCCGGGGAGTCCCTGATTCTTGGGAAGGCACTCACCTTTGGGCTCAGGCACAGCCTTGTTGCTGAGGTCCCATGGCATGGGTGTTGGGAGCCGGCTGGCTGTGGGATCTGAGGCAGAGAGAGAAACTCAGGTCCAGGACGGCAAGCCCAGGTGCCCCCCCATCCCCGCCCCTGGCCCCGCAGCAAAGTGTCCGGTCTCCTTTCTTTCCTGGGTTGCAATGCTGAGCCCCCATCCCCAAATTTTAAGACCCTGTCCTGGCCATCCCTTCCCCAGCTTGACCCAGCTGAGAATCCGAGAATCCTTGGGGCTGGAGATTCCTCCTCCTGAGCCACCTTCCTTCAGGCCCCTCTTCTTTGCCCTCCAGCCGCTGCCTGAGTGGAGACCCTCGGCCGAGCCACATTCCCAACCCAGATGGGCATCAACATCTCCCAAGAGCCTGGACAAACACAGGTTCAGGGCTCCACTCCAGACCCAGCAAATCAGGTGCTTCAGGTGTGAGGCGCTGGCAGCTGTGACAAATGGTTTTAACAAATTTGCTGGCAGGAGGCGGGGAGTGGACCACCACCCGGCCCAGGAATGCCAATATTTCTTGTTATGGGTATTACTGCCTCTCTGTGCTCTCCTGAAATCCACCTTCTTCTGGGGTGGCTAAAGGGATGGCTCTCTTTTCCCCCCCACTGACTGAGAGGCTCAGCTTTCTCCCTGCAGGCACTCTCCATGCGCACCTCTAGCCTCACCTGTGTGTTCCCTTTGCTTGCCACCTTTGTATCTAGTGAACTCCTATTTAGGCTGCAAAGCCAGCCCAAATGTTTCTTCCTTTGTAAAAGGAGATGGACACTCTAACAGGTGTTTGAGTAACAGATGGTGTGAGTGCTGGTCCTATCTGCTTATCATTCTTTAGGGACAAGACTGCCCTCCCTACGACTGAGCCTTGTCTATCTGGCGTCTCCAGTGCCCATCTTCACAGCTAACACTGGGCAGGGGCTGATGGAATAACTGAATGTGAACGTTCTTCCTGTGGCTCTGGATCGGTGTGGGGTGCCACTGGAGCCCCCATCTCCCCACCTCCCCTGCGGGGTCCCCATGGTCGCCTCACCCAGCAGCTCGATGGCCTTAGTGGTCCCATACACGTCCATCACGGCCCAGAGCGGGGCGCCGACGGGCACGCCCTCACGCAGCAGGAGCCGGCAGCCGGCGTTGACCTTGGCGAAGAGGCAGCCGCGGCGGTCCACCCAGAAGCGGACCAAGTCCCCAGTGAGCGCGCAGCCCTCAGGCAGCACGGCCGCCCACGTCGGGCTCTGCTCCTCCAGGTCGGGGCACAGGAAGGGCGGCAGGCTGGGCACGGACACGCACGCGGGGTCCAGGCGCGTGAAGCCCACGCGGAGGCCGCCGCACCAGCCGCTCTCCTCCCGCAGCACTCGCAGCGCCACACGCTCGCCCAGGCGCACCGGCCGCTGGCTGAACACGATGCCGTCGTGGAACGTGGTGCGCCTGTGCGCGATGCAGCCACGCGTGTCCAGACGCACCTGTGCGCCCTTGGCCTCGGCATGGAAGCGAAGTGCCTCTCGGGGCGCCTTGGCGTCTGTGGGTTGAGGATGGGGAGTGTCAGTGCTAACCGGGTCTGGACCCACCAGCTCCCCAGAGAGCCCCCAGTATCCCAGAGTCCCTCACACCTGGGAGCACCTTGACCTTCCCCTAGGGACCATTTCCACCTCTCTCGGTTCCTGCAGGGTTGTTATGAAAACTATAGGAACTGATGTCTCTTTGTACTCTTCCTGCGACCAATCTAGTAATGGTTATTATTGTTCAAGAGAAAGAGTAGGGTTAGTCAGGCATAAATATCTATATGTTTGTTATACACGGTTTTTTTGTTTGTTTTGTTTTGTTTTGTTTTCAGAGATGAGTTCTTGCTGTGTTGCCCAGGCTGGTCTTGAACTCTTGGCCTCAAGTGATCCTCCTGCCTCTGCCTCCCAAAGCGCTAGGATTACAGGCATGAGCCACTGCGCCCAGCCCATACATTTATTCCATATGCACCTAAAAATGACGGAAGAGGAGACAGACAGATTTGCTGACTGTGGTCTGCTCCAGGAGGCTGTCTGCTATTCCCTCTCTGCTTGTCTCTCTTGTTTTCCCATGGGGAACTGCATCACTTGTGAAGACCATGGCCCCCAGCAATGGTGACATCCTTGTCCTGGGAGAGAAAGGGGCTTGGCTGCTCCCCACAGAGTATGGGTGCAGGCTGGAGAGGAAGTCCCAGGTTAGCCCCTCAGAATCCTGGGTGGGGTCCAGCCTGGCTCTGGCATGGGCTCTGAAACCAGGGGACTTCCCACAGGACTCTGCCTGGCAGTCAGAAGGGGAAAGCACCTCACTGAGCAGCCCTTCCTCTCCACTCAGCCTGCAGGAAGCTGGTGGGGCTTCCTACCCCAGAACTGCCTTAGCCGGCCTTGCCCCTCCCCTCCTGGTCCTGCTCTTTCTGGGCTGGGGGAGGGAGGCTGGCTGGCTGTTTGCTGTTGAAAATAAAAGGCGAATTCAATCAGAACTTAAGCCAGACCCCATCCTAAGGAGCAAGGCCACTCCCCTCCCAGATCAGGTCACACTCCCCTGGCAAGGCAGGCACTCTGACTACACACAGGTTTACACCCTCTAGCAGAGCCCAGGGCCAGGAGGCTCCATCTGGTCAGGCACCAGGACACGTTTGCGGTGACAGTGACTCTGTCCCTGACTTCCACAGGCCAAAGGTAAGCCTACCTGCAGTGACCTTTCCCCAGCATTAAAGACCAGTGCTCACCGTGGCCTTGGGACTCTCACAGAGCCCTGTGTATCCGCATTCACCCCTCGCCTGCGCCCCGCCCGTGCCTTCCCATGATGCACTCATCCCTTCCTGCGAATCCCAGCAGGCCTGCCCAGCTCCCTGTGCCTCAAGGCTGCACCTAGGCAAGGAGAAGTCCCAGAGCCAGCACACATGGAGAGCCGGAGCCATGCTGGGGTCCCTGACATCAGTGAACCTGACCTTGTGCCCATGGTTGAGGCTGCTCCATGGAGGGCAGTGGGATACCAGCTGGGCCATGGCTAACACCCCCATTCCAGGCCTGCCCTGCTGCTGGCCCAGGCAGGTCACTGTCCTCCAGGGCCCAGCCTCCTCACCTACAAACGGCAGTGAAGTGCATGTCCAGCAAGGCCAGGAGTCTCAGGACACCTGTCTGGAGTCTTGTTCACTGCCTACCTGGCCAGGCATGGGGCTGGGGGTGACAGGGCAAGTGGGGCCTCTTGGCACAACCAGCCACAATCTAGGAGGGCAGAGGCCAGCCCTTTGGCTGGGTCACTGCCCATCCCTGAGGTGGGAACTGGAGAGAAGCCCTGGAGTGGGCTTGGCAAGAGGCTGGAGCAATGGCCCTGGACGAGGGGCGGTGCCGGAGATGGTGGCCGGCATCCGAGCCCTCTCTACAAACTGCCACACCCAATCCTGCTGCCATCCTAAGAGGCAGACAGTGGGCAAGTGGCTAGCCCCACCCCACAGCAATCAGGGGCAGAACTAGGGTTGATGAGGAGTTCTCCCAGCCTCACCCAGTGCAGCCCCTACAGAGAAAGGGGAACCCCTGGGGTCAGGGGAGCTGGAGCCCTGTCATGCTCAGCACCATGGGCCTAGACGGGAACCAGCAGAGATGAGCCCGTGCTCATTGGGGATGGAGTTTCCACCCTACCCTCTAGGCAGGTGCCCGGGACAGAGGCTGGCTCCATGCAGGACTGGCTCTGGGGGCAAGGAGGGGTGGAGGACGGCAGGTGACCTCACTCCTCCATCCACTTCCTGGAGGGAGTAGGGAACTGGCTGGCTGGAGGCAGTCCAGGGAGGAGGGGAACTCCCCCGGAATGGCCTTGAGGGTGCATGAGGCCCTGGGAGCCCTTGAGAAGCAGGCCTTGCCCTGGAGGATAATTTGACAGTTTGCAAAGCTCCCCGATCCCTGCTTCAGGAGCCTTCTCAGCAGCCCTGTATGGAGCTAAGTCCTCATGTCACCAGGGCTGGTGGGTGCCGAGGGGACGTGGTGGCTGCACAGGTCATTCCGCAGCCGGGGCATCTAAGCAGCCTCCTCTGTGCTGCTCACTCAGGCTCCACCCCCTACCTCGGGCAGCCCCCTGGGACCTGGCAGGGCAGCAAAAGGTCCCTTAGGGCACAGCCTCTCATCTATGAAGACTCTTGGTCTGTCTGCATGGTCATGTCAGCTATTCACTGTGCACCACCAAGGCTGAGTGGGGCCGAAACCCACCCCCGACCCACCAGCCTGGCAAGGGCCCACAGGACCGTGTCCACCGACTTCATACAGGGCTCTGTGCCTGGGTCTGGAGCAGGGTCGGGGTGGCCTGACGGGTGTGATCACCACCTCCACTCCACCTGCCTCCTCCCACGAGGCCTGCAGGGGTCCTCCCACACTTTGACCCAGGCAGCCCGGGACACCCCACTCCCAGGGTGGGGAGTGGCAGAGGTGGGCATAGGCCACATGTGGCTCTCCAAGCAGACCTGTCCCCAGTGGCTGGGCTGGCACAGGGTTCAGATCATCCTGGTGCCCAAGCACCCTCACACCTAGAGGCAGCCGCTCTTTCTATGGGTCCTGTTTGCAGGCAGGACCCTGAGCTCAGAGAAGCTGAGTGCCCTGCCCATGGGCGATCGCTCCAATTACTCCACCTGCCCCGGGGTCCCCACTGCTGAGGGGGTGGACTGCCTGCGGGCTAAGCAGGGCCTCTGGGGTGTCTCTACTCCAGGACAGGTAGAGTCAGATTCCAGATTCTCTAAGATCTTGGAATCTGAGTGGGGCAGGGGCGGCCCCTTGCTCAGCAAGAGCCTCTAGGGATCTCCATCCTCACCACTCCTCCAGGTGTCAAGCCTTTCAGGGTGTCAGGCACCCATAAGCACTTTGCAGCCTCTTTTTCTCCTCATCCCGCCTCGGGGAAGCCCTCAGAGCTTGAGAAGGCTGTGCTAGTCATCTGTGTTTTTGCAGCCAGAAAGTGGGGGATCCCAGCGCTGCTCCTGGCTGCTTCACTCTCATGCCACCTCCTTTAAGGCCCATCATTTCCCTGCCAAACACCATTACTGTGACAGCAGCAGTGGCTCTTGGCACAGCCAACTACTAGTCTGTGAGCCCATGGTGCCCACCAGGGGACAGAGGACCCTGAGCCCAGGCTCCCAGCTCTTTACCTGGGAGGGTAGGTCCAGAGATGCACAACCCCAATAGCTGGTGCTGAAAGACCAGGTCCTCAAGGCCGGGTGCGGTGGCTCACGCCTGTAATCCCAGCACTTTGGGAGGCCGAGGCGGGTGGATCACGAGGTCAGGAGATCGCGACCAACCTGGCTAACATGGTGAAACCCCTTCTGTACTAAAAATACAAAACAAAATTAGCCGGGTGTGGTGGCGGGCGCCTGTAGTCCCAGCTACTCGGGAGGCTGAGGCAGGAGAATGGCGTGAACCCAGGAGGCAGAGCTTGCAGTGAGCTGAGATCACGCCACTGCACTCCAGCCTGGGCAACAGAGCGAGACTCCGTCTCAAAAAAAAAAAAAAAAAAAAAAAGACCAGGTCCTCTATCTCCCCCACATATGGCTCTTCCACTACGGGACACCTGTGGCCTCAGGTGAGGCTTGCAGAGAACCTTTGTGCCTATCACTCTTTTGATTTGTGCGTTTGATTTTATAAAGATCCCTGTAAGCCAGCAGGCATCGTCCCTGGCCTGGAGATGTAGAAACTGAGGCCCAGGGACAAAGTGACTTACCCAAGGTCCCATAGCTCAACTTGGCAGAACTGGGACCCCACCAGCCCCCTAAACTTTACACTGACCACATCTCTACTCCAGCAATGACACAGAGCACCCTCTGCTACCTGTACCCCCAGTCCAGAGACCAAGCTCCAGGCTTGCAGGAGGTCTACTTACTGGCCTCGAAGCAGAGCTGGGCACCCATCAGTCTAAGGTCCTCGGGCACAGGTCCCCAGGTCTAGAAGGAACTGCCTGGAGAAGGCCAGTGGACAGGTTACCAAAGATTCAGCAGGTCTGCTTTTTATGGGCCAGAGATCACGTTACAAAGTTGATGATTAATTCAATGGTGCTGTCATGTGTTACTATATCCAGGGGATTTCCCAGTGATTTCTCCTGACTCGCAGACTGACCTGCTGGAGCTGGCCGGCCTAAGAGAAGGAAACAGGAATGGGGGTCTGGCCTGGGTAGGTCTTACGGTAGCCTTCTTTCTCACTTCTGACCAATCTCAAGCTGGCTGTGCATTGTAATGGTCCAAGCATGTTAATAAATACCTATGTCCAGCCCCGCCCCCAAAGACTCCGGTTCCACTGGCCTAGGGTGGAACCCAGGCATCAGGAGTTTACAGAGCAACGCAGATGATTCTAATGTACAGCCAGGATGGAGATTCACTGCAGCAGACCCTGGCACACAGAAGGAACTCAATCTGTGTTGCTGAAGCAGATTGAATTGCATTTGCTGTATCCCAGGACCTGGGAAATTGTGCACCTCCAACAGAAAGGAGGGGTAAAGCAGACAGAAGAGGAGAGGAGCTGATGGTCCCTCCAGCCTTTCTCACTGGAATTTCTGGGAATTCCACTTTCCCAGAACTGCCACAAAATGCAAATAGCCCTACAGACAGTCACTGCAAAGGTCTAGCTCCCAATGTGTTAGCACTGGAAAAGAAGCCAAAGGTATTCTAGCCCGTCAATATTTATTTCGGTTAGGAAAACTGAGGATCATGGAGGGAAGGTGGCTTACTCTAACCTAGTGCTCCTCACTCACATTGCAACATACTCTCAAATCTCCTGGGGATCTTGTTAAAATGCAGATTGACTCAGAAAGCCTGAGGCCCTACCTGAGATAAGTGGACCCGACTTTTTTTTTTGAGACAGGGTCTCACTGTCATTCAGGCTAGAGTGCAGTGGTGTGATCATGGCTCACTACAACCTCAAACTCCCAAGCTCAATTGATCCTCCCACCTCAGCCTCCTGAGTAGCTGGGACCACAGGTGCATTCCACCATGCTCAGCTAATATTTCTGATATTGTGAAGACAGGTCTAGCTATGTGGCCCAGGCTGGTCTCAAACTTCTGGCCTCAAGCAGTCCCCCCATCTTGGCATCCCCAGGTGCTGAGATTACAGGCATGAGCCACCGCACCTGGCCAAGTGGACCCCACTTTCGGGGGCAAGGGCCTGGTGGGTTTGGAGCCTTGTGAGTGCCCTGACCCTCAACCTGTGGGCTAAGCCCCTCCCAAGACCCCAGATCAAGGCCACAATCAGTGACTGCTCGGCTAAGGGATGGCTAGTGCCAGGTACGTCTCCACCTTAGTGCAGGCTGCCTTGGGTGGTTCCCCAGAGCGCTGCAGCCATGCATCTTGTTAATAAATCACACTCTCATGAGAGGTATGTATGGCATCTTATTAGGGAAGTCAACTCTGAGCCTCAGACTGTCTGGAAAATTACCTGGCAAGCTATGGCCCTCAGGCCACCCAAAGCCAGCAGGCTGGGGTGGTATAGTTGCATCAGTGGGACCTTGGGCCATGAGGCAGCTGGGGGGCAGAGGAGGTCATTCTGAGGAGCTAAAAAACCTGCCTAAAGCCTCCCGTCCAGGGTACAGGCATACCCGCCACACACTCT
This sequence comes from Homo sapiens, assembly GCF_000001405.40. NCBI lineage: Eukaryota > Metazoa > Chordata > Mammalia > Primates > Hominidae > Homo > Homo sapiens. Next base: position 96,506,977 of record NC_000002.12, read on the forward strand.
GTGTTTGTTTATTGAACAAACTGCCAGGGTTCAGGACATGCCACCCCAAAATATGGCACTTTGGCATTTAAGAAAACAGCAGAAGCAGGAAGGCCTCGCTCACCTTCCCTTTGCCCGAATCCCCTGAAGTAGGGCCATGAGGCCATAAGACCCATCCTTACCTCTGAAGACACAGGGACAGAGAGAAGAATCTGAACAGGCTGGCCGACTCTCCCCGGTTTATTACCCCTTCCCCCTTTAGCCAATCACTTCTCCACGATGCCCACTCTTCATGAAACCAACGCATAAAAATACATGTCCCCATTTCTTTGGGTCTTCATTTCCAAAGGCCCCTGTGTCATGTAAAATTTACATGAAATAAATTTGTGTGCTTTTCTCTTGTTGACCTGTCTTTTGTTATAGGTGTCCTAGCCATGAACCGAGCAATGGGTGGGGAAAGATTTTACTTTTGTACTTTTCCTCCCCTGCAGAATGCTACCGTTTTTGTTGTTGTTGTTGTTGTTTTTGAGAGGGAGTCTCGCTCTGTGGCCCAGACTGGAGTGCAGTGGCACGATCTCGGCTCACTGCAACCTCTGCCTCCCAGGTTCAAGCAACTCTCCTGCCTCAGCCTCCCAAGTAGCTGGGACTGTGGCGCTCTCCATGATGCCCAGTTAATTTTTGTATTTTTAGTAGAGATGAGGTTTCACCATGTTGGCCAGGATGGTCTCGATCTACTGACCTCGTGATCCACCCGCCTCGGCCTCCCAAAGTGCTGGGATTACAGGCGTGAGCCACCGCTCCTGGCCCGGAATGCTACCGTTCTAAGTCCAGAACTTACCTGACAGTCCTCATGGCAACTCCTCAAAAAGGTCCTGTTTATTGTAATCATTTCCATTATACACGTGGGGAAACTGAGGCACACGACAGTTACGCAGCTTGTTCAGCTCACTAGGCATGACGTGACAGGCTGGGATTGGCCCAGGTATCGTGGCTGGAGACCGTCTGCCTTGCGCCCCTCCACGGCCACTCGCCGCGGAGACTCCGCCCCTTGGAAGTGCCCCCTAATTAGGAATATCTCCTCCACTGGACTGCGCGGGCACAGAGCAGGAGATTTGTAGATAGGCCTAACTTGCTGCTGAGTGTCAGGTTGAGGCTGCCCCGCAGTAGATGTCACCCGCCAGCCCCGCTGCAAACCTTTGCTCTGAGAGGGGCGGGCCCGTGCCCTCAAGCGCGGGGCGGTCTCCGCTGTGCAGAGACTGAGGCGGCCCCTGCTGGCGGCGGTCAGTACTGCAGGAGGCGCCGAGGGCCCGGGAGCCCCCAAAGCCGGGAGGGGCGCCCCAGAGGGAGGTGAGCGGCGCCGAGGCTCACTATACCGCAGCTCCCACACACCCGTCTCCCAGGGTGGGTGGTAGCCTCACTGGGACCCCTCTGTTGCAGTCGGCCTCTCTTGCCCAGAGCCCCATCACTACACATGTCTTCACGCAGGTTATCTCTCAAGACTCAACCCGCGCTCCGGGAAGAGCCTGGCACACGAGGAAGCCACTGCTGCCCCGCGCCCACTCCAGCGTGCGGCCCAGCGGGACCGGGAGCCCAGCCCAACCTGGGGCACTGTCAGGCAGCCCGGTCCCTCGTGGGCCCTGCCATTAAGGCCCAGGGACGCCTACCTATGACACTTGCCAGCCCTCATCCGTTCCCCGCCGGGCCAAAATCTCAGAGGGCAGGGGCTGCCCTGCCTAGAAACCAGCCCCAGAACATCAGGGCCGCGGGCGCTGTGGGCGGTCGGCCAGGGCGCGCAGGGGCCAAACAGGGCAGCGTTGGGAGCTTTTGCACAAGGCACCCCTCTGCCAGCCTCATGGCCCAGCCATGCCACCCCCGTGAACCAAGTGTGCTGGCCCACAGCAGCGCTCTGCACAACAGCCCCAGCCTGGAAACAAGCGAATGTCCACTGCTGTCCACCTCACACTCAGCTGGGGGAGCTGAACTGCTCAGATCCCCGGGAATGCAGGGCCCATTCCCCGGAGGCCAAGGCCAGTGTCCCACCCACACCCAGTCCAGGCCTATGCTTCCCCGGGTCTGCCGCCTAAGCAGCCCTGTCCCTGATCTCTGTCTCAGAGGCTGCTCCCGGCCCAGCTTCCCACAACCATCAGCAGGACCTAAACTGCCACATATGCGCGCCATGGAATACTGTGCCAATGACAACAAATTACTGCTACCTGCAACGACGAGGATAAACCTCACAGCCGTGAGGCTGATGTAAGGGAAGACCCAAAGAGCACCGCGTGCTGCCATTCATAGGAAGTTCAGGCAAAACCCATCCGTGGTGTTCGAAGCAGGACAAGGCTGCCTTTGGGAGGTAGTGATCGGCAGGGACACGGGAAGCCTCTGGGGAGCTGGAAACGTCCTGCACCTTGATCGTGGTCACACAGGTGTGTAGATGTACAAAAAAACCCTTCCAATCGGACCCTCAAATCATACATAAATTGCGTCTTCGTGTTATGTTGGCTAAGCCCTTCCAGCCCTAACAATGTCGTTCTGGCGGAGCTGGTGAGTCAGGGAGCATCCACGCCGCCTGGGAAGACCGGCTCTGGAGGCTGGAGGGCTTGACCAGCACTGCCACCCGGTGGCCGGCAGCGGAACTGACCACAGGCCTGGTGCCCTGGAGGGAATGGGCCACAAACGCTCCGCCAGGACTGCACCTGTGTCCTAGGCGCCGCCCTCAGCCACCAAGTCGGCCTGCCTCTCGAGCACCCAACAACTCCAACAAGCCCTCTGGACCAATAGCTGCAGCCCCCACGGGGCCTTGGGGGTGGGAGGGAGGAGAGGGAGGCCAGCCTGTAGCACAGTACCAGCCCAGAGTTATTAACAGGTCTGTGCTGTCACTTCCGCTCTGCTGCGGTCCTCCTGGGTCCTGATTCTGCCGAGCGCCTCCACAGCCTTCCTCCCTCCTGGTTCTCCCCGCCAGCAGCCAGCACGGGAGCGCCCACTGGGCATGAATGGGGAGCCTGCCAGAGAGGGGAGCTGGGGGAGAGAGGCACAGCTTCCAGGCCTGGCGTGGCTGCTCATGCCTGTGCGTGAGGGAAGGGTCAAGGGAAAGGTGTGCCCTCTCTTCTTTTGGTTTCTTGTTTTCCTTTTTCCCGTGCCCCCTCACCCCATACACAACTGTCAGGGTGTCTGTCCTGGAAAGACACCTGGTACCTGCCCTGGTGGTGCCTGCCCTGTGTGGGGTGTGTGTATGCGTGTGCATGCGTGTGCATGTGTGCATGCATGTGTGTTCAACAGGAATTGATTTAGTGCCTGCTATGTGCCAAGCACTGTCCCAGTTCTGGGTAACCAGAGATTGAAGGAAACCCAATCCTCATCCTTCAGCCACTTTGTGCATGCCCTGGAATTTAGGTAAGTGCTACAAGAGGGCCAAACTGAGGGCTGGGAAAACCAGCGGTGTCGAGGGGTTGTTATGCCCAGGGAATGGGTGAAGGTTTTGTGGAAGAAGAGTTATTAAAATTGTGCCCTGAAAGGTAAATAGGATTTCAACAGCCAAGAAAGGAATGAAAGGCATTTCAGGGAGAAGGAATACACACACAAAAGCATAGGAAAGGAGACATGATCTGTGCTGTATGGTTGTATCAGGTAGGATTAGGATTGCTTGCATGCAAGAGAATGTCCAAAAGGACAGTGGCTTGAGCAAGGCATGTTCATTTCTTTTTCACATAAAATAAGCTGAAGACAGGCAGTCCAGCTAGTCATGACACCTCTGCAGCCATAGGGGACCCAGGCTTTCTCCGCTGTTCAGCTCCACCATTCTAGCACTGGCCTCAAGGTCACGTCATGTACCAAAAGTGCTGCTGGAACTCCAGCCAGTACATCAGAGCTCCAAGCATCAGGGAAGAGAAAGACTCAAATGGGCACTCCTCTAAGCTAAGCCAAGCCAGCTTGCAATTAAGCTGATTTACTGGAGGGCCTATGTAACGTTTTCATTTATAGCTCATTGGCCAGAACCTTGTCACATGGCCACAGCTAGCTGCAAGGGAAACTGAGAAATGTGGTCTTTATCGGGAAGAGCAGCTAAAAATTGGGGTCTGTCACTAAGGAAGAAGGAGAAACTGGATGTTGGTGGGAAGCCAGCACTGCCTAGCCCAGGGTAGAGTGGAGCAGTGGTCCTTCAACTTGTGGGGAGGGGGGCAGGAAGGCAGCCTGATCACAGGGGCCGTGCCGTGGAGGGGCTGGACTCTTCCATAGCAAATAGGGGATTGCTGAAAGATTCTCAGCAGGAGCCAAGGGTTGAGGAACCTGGAACTGTCTGCTTGGGGGAAAGAACCATTGGGCAGAAAATGGAAGCATGCAAGGAGGGGAAGGGAACTGTGAGAAGTTAATAAGGGCACGAGGCAGGGAAGGGCACCCCAGGAGAGCCAAGGCTAAGCCTGGCAACAGTGGGAGGTGATGCCAGGGCCCCGGGGAGGGACACAGATCTACTGAGGGTAGTCTGGGAGGAACACAGTACTAGCAGATAGCTGTGTCTGAGGCAGCTGTTAACCATCAAGTCAGGTGGCTCAAAGGCAACTGAGAATCCAAGTGGAAGCTCAGGTGAGATGACAGCACTGGGAACATAGATGAAGCGATCAGTCATACAGTGGTGGATGGGATCAGCCAGGCAGGGATCCAGTCGTTCAGCTGGAGGACTCTGATGGATCTTTCGGAGTTACTGGGGAAGGAGAACAATGGAGTGACCAACTGCATAAATTTTGAAGCCAGAGCTGGGTTCAAATCCAGACTTTAACAGCCATAAGCCTGTGGGCTGGCTAACAACACTTTCTAAGCCTTAATTTTCTCATGTGCAAAATGGAAATAAAGAGGCCTTCTGTGCGGGCTGATAGGAGGGCTGAATGAGTAATGAGTAGCACATTCCCACACAGGGAACTGCACTAACCAGTAAATACCTGCTCTTACCAGTAAACCACCCCCCCGCCCCCCACTTACTGAAGAGGACATCAGTGCCTTTCTTGGGGCCATTCACTGTGCCCGACAGTCCTCTCACTGCAAGGTGGGGCCCGTGGAGCCCTGTGTGGGATCGCTCAGGTGAGGTCACAAGCACTGTGCCTCTCCAGGACCCTGAGACCTCCAACCCAGCATGGCTAGGGCAGCCCCTGGCTCTGCCAAACCTCCTGGACAGGGGCATCTGCAGCCCCAGACAGGTGGGTCAAGAGAAGTGTTATGCCTCCTGCCAGCAGGGAAAAGGGGCCAGAGTAGGCCATGGCATGCCCCTTTCCTTAAAGGGCACAGCCAGAAAGAGCACACATGGCCCAAACTTCAGCTTGAATCCCATTGACCAAAGCTTAGTTGTGTGGCCACATCCAGCTGCAAGGAACTGGGAAGTGTAGGCTTCATTCTGGGCAATCATGTGCCCAGCTAGACAGAAATTGGAGTGTTCCAATATTACAATAGAGAAGGAGAGAATGGATATTGAGGGAAAACAGCAGCCATAGGGTGCAGGGAAAGAGAGAGGGCATGGCACCCTGGGTGCAGGGTGGTGGGAGGCTCTGAGCGCTGGGAGACCCCATGCCCCTGGGACTCACATGTGCTGCATGCACATCGCCTGGCACCCAGCCCGCAGGAACTCAGCTGTGGGGGCACTGTGGGTGGGTGGGCAGGGGAGCTGTTGTAGCTGAGAACCACCTCTACTGGCCAGAAGGACAAATCACCAACTTCTCCAGTAGAATTTTTCCAGATCCCTGGAGTTCCTTCTGGTCCCTCACCAAAGCCAAAATAGCGCAGAGAGGAAGAAAATATCTTCCTTCCACTCCTCTGAGTTTTTGCCCATTGTCAAAGCTCATTGCAGCCATTGTCATTGTCTCTACTGCCCAGGCCTTGGGCACAGTCCATCCTCCACAGGCAGGGATTGACCATTCCCTAGGTCTCCTGACACCCCCTCCACCCTGGCAGAGCTAGGGCCAAATGTTCCCTGCCAGAGTGGAGTGGACTCCAGCCCATTCTGTCTTAAGGAGCCTCTCCTCTCCCAACTTGAGCTTTTTTTTTTTTTTTTTTTTTTTGACGAGGTCTAGCTCTGTCAAGAGGGTGGAGTACAGTGGCACGATCTCGGCTCACTGCAGCCTCTGCCTCCCGGGTTCAAGCAATCCTCCCACCTCAGCCTCCCGAGTAGCTGGGATTACAGGGGCATGCCGCCATGCCAGGCTAATTTTTGCAATTTTAGTAGAGATGGGGTTTCACCACGTTGGCCAGGCTGGTCTCGAACTCCTGACCTCAGGTTATCTGCCTGCCTTGGCCTCCCAAAGTGCTGATATTACAGGCGTGAGCCACCATGCCCAGCCCCCGACTTGAGCTTTGAGAAGCAAGCTAAGAGTCAACCCTTCCCTCTGAAGCGAAGCACTACCTCTGCCCTGACTGGGCTGCTGCTGCCTCTCTCTGCTCCTCCTTGTGTGTGAAGATATTCGGTGGAGGGAAGAAAGACAGGGTCCTCAAATCCTGTCAGTGTATCTGAGTTGTCTTGGCTTGGGTTAGGCTCTGTGTCTTCCAGTAGCTAACCTGGAGCATGGGTCCCCGGCGCCACACGTGCATGCACACCGTCCTTATGCTTTCATTCCTTTCATTGTGACTGGACGAGTACTTACCTTCTGGTTTGTGCCTTCATGGGGGACTTTAGTGTCTCATCAATCCTTTCAGCCATACAGTCAGCACACACTGGGGGCCCATGATGTGCTGAGCCTTTGCAAGTGCCATGAAATAGCCTAGCACAGTCAGCAGCACAGAGTGGGGACTCTACCACCCACTGGCTGTGGGACTGGGGTGTATTACAGATGGGGACTGGGGCTCAGAAAGACTGAGTGACTCGTATAGGTCAAACCAGGACTGACCCCAAAGTTCTCCACCGTTTTGTTAATTCTAAAACAAAGATGAGGCCGAGCATAGTGGCTCATGCCTGTAATCCCAGCACTTTGGGAGGCGCCAGGTGGGTGGATTGCTTGAGGCCAGGAATTTGAGACCAGCCTGGACAACAGGGCAAAACCCTGTCTCTACAAAAAAATACAAAGATTAGCTGGGTGTGATGGTGGCACACGCCTGTAACGCCAGCTACTCGGGAGGCTGAGACACGAGAATCGCTAGAACCCAGGAGGCAGAGGCTACAGGGAGCCAAGTTCATGCGGCTGCACTCCAGCTTGGGTGACAGAGCAAGACTCCATTTCAAAAATAAAATAAAAAATAAGGCCAGGCACAGTGGCTCAGGCCTGCAATCCCAGCACTTTGGGAGGCTGAGGCAGGCGGATCACCTGAGGTCGGGAGTTTGAGACCAGACTGGCCAACATGGCAAAAACCCATCTCTACTAAAAACATAAAAATTAGCCTGGCTTGATGGTGCACACCTGTAATCCCAGCTACTCAGGAGGCTGAGCAGGAGAATCACTTGAAACCTGGGAGGCAGAAGTTGCAGTGAGCCAAGATCAGGCCACTGCACTCCAGCCTGGGTGACAGAGACTCCATCTCAAAAAAAATAAAAATAAAAATAAAAATAAAAATAAAATAAAGATCAGGGTCCTGAGTGAAATCTCACATGTCCTTTGAAAATGTGCAAAAGTACAGTACATGTACTGGGCGACATGTATCATTTTTAAGCCACACTTCTTTGTTCTCAGGTTTGTTCTGGATCATCCAGGTGGCTAAGTCAGAGGCTACTGGGTGGGTGTGGGGCTGCAGGCTTTGGATGGAACTGCAGACATAGCATGCATGTTTGCATGAGTCACTCCGCGTGGAGGCTGCAGGTGAGTGCATTAGCTGAGGGTAGTGTGCTATTTATTTGAGCCGAAGTAAGGAGACTGCCTGGATCCTCTGGATCCTCTTTCTCCATTCAGAGAGAAGCCCACTGCCTCCTGCTCAAGGGCTCCAGGGACTCCAGGGTGGATGGGGTAAGCAAGGCTCCATTTTCATGCTGCCGATAAAGACATACCCGAGACTGGACAATTTCCAAAAGAAAGAGGTTTATTGGACTTACGGTTCCACATGGCTGGGGAGGCCTCACAATCATGGTGGAAGGCAAGGAGGAGCAAGTCACATCTTGCATGGATGGCACCAGGCAAAGGAGAAAGCTTGTGCAGAGACACTCCCGTTTTAAAAACCATTACATCTTGTGAGACCCATTCACTATCACAAGAACAGCACGGGAAAGATCCCCCACGCCATGATTCAATCATCTCCCACTAGGTCCCTCCTTCTCCTTGTCTCCTTTCCTGCGGATGTTTTCTTCCCTGCAGCCCAGTGCACCCAGGTAGCCTCTTTCCCCTTGATTTTACTCAGGTAGCACTGACACAGACATTTGTGAGCAACAACTTTTACTGAAGGTTTAGGGTCACACAAAGTGTGAGCAGGGAGGCAAGGCTTACAGTGCAGCTCACAGCACAGAGAACCAAGTTAAACTGAATCTCAGGCAACCATTATTTATTTTCTCTCTCTCTTTCTTTCTTTTAGAGACCCGGTCTTTCTCTATCACCCAGGCTGGAGAGCAGTGGTGCAATCATAGCTCACTGCAGCCTCGAACTCCTGGGCTCAAGTGATCCTCCTGCCTCAGCCTTCTGAGTAGCTGGGGCTACAGACACCTGCCACCATGCCTGATAAGTTTTTTAAAAAACTTTTGTGGAGATGGGGTCTCACCATATTGCCCAAGCTGGTCTTGAACTTCTGGGCTCAAGCAATCCTCCTGCCTCAGCCTCCCAAAGTCCTGGGATTCCAGCTGTGAGCCACCATGCACCCCCAACCCCTATTTTCAAGGGCCCTGCAATATTTGTGTCAACATGACATCACACTGTTCATTCTTCATAAGCCAGAGCCTTCCTCCACCCCCAGCCCCCTCATTCTCCCTCTCTTGGAGCCAATTCAAATCTCCTCACCCCCAAATCTATTTCTCATGCAGAGCAGTACAGCTCCCCCTCTGAACTAATATTATCCCCAGGCCTAACTTTGCGTGCCCCCAAATCTCCCTGAGGTGCTCTGCTAAACATCAAGACCACTGACTTCAGATTCTGGCAACACCATGGACTCAGCTAATGCTGATGCCACCTCCCCTGCCAACACTGAGAAACTCAGTACCAAATATAAGTGAAAGATGTTAGAACAACAGTGGAACTTGAAAAAGGAGTGGAGAAGCATTGAGGTGTCGAGTGTACAGAGAGAACTTAGAGCCAGATTTGGGCTTTAACCCAGGGGGCCCAGTGAGAAACTGGACATGGACGGGGGCCCCACCAACGGGAGCTGAGGGTTCAACACCCACTAGGATCCAGAGGTGTGGCCTTGTGGAGAACTGGAACTGAGACCTCTGTATAAAGCAAGAACCCTGGAAGGATGGCCCCTCAGAAAAGAATTACCCACAAAACTAGGAGGTGACACATGAATTTTGTCTTTGCCCAGGCCTCTGGGTGGAAGAAAAGTTTCCTGGGAAAAATCAAAACTGAAAACCAAAACTATTCATGAAGGTGGCAGCCAAATTTATGATATCCATATGGCAAAGAATTCCCAAGATGAAAAATTACACAAAAATGCTCCCCCATGAGCCCTTGGGAGCAGTTGTCAGAAACAAATACAAAACATCTCTGAGGCCATTTTCACAATCCAGAATATATAGGACTCCCATGGAACAAAACAACTCCACTGCAGATGAGTTCACAAACAACAGCTACAAATCACATGAAGAAACCATCTGCCATGAAGGAGAGCCAGCAGGCACAACACACAAGAAAATCATTAACTCCAGCTGGGCGTGGTGGCTCACGCCTGTAATCCCAGCACTTTGGGAGGCTGAGGCAGATGGATCACGAGGTCAGGAGATCGAGACCATCCTGGCTAACACGGTGAAACCCTGTCTCTACTAAAAATACAAAAAAATTAGCCAGGCGTGGTGGCGGGCACCTGTAGTCCCAGCTACGGGAGTCTGAGGCAGGAGAATGGCGTGATCCCGGGAGGCGGAGCTTACAGTGAGCCGAGATTGCACCACTGCACTCCAGCCTGGACTACAGAGTGAGACTCCATCTCAAAAAAAAAAAAAAGGAAAAAGAAAATCATTACCTCTAAGAACCTGAAATAATAGGACAAGCCAAAAGAGATATAAAATTAGCATATTAAAATGATTAAAAATACAAAGGAAGGAATAAAAATGATAAAGAACAGGATACTGTGTAAAACAACAGATTTGGAAAAGAACCACAGAGACAAAAGAATATGGTTATTGAATTTGTAAACACAATATACTGGCAAGCCAGCAGATTAGACACAGTTGAATTGAGAATAGGTGTACTGGAAGGCAGATCTGCAGAAATTCACCAGAACTCTGGCAAAGAGAATATTTGAAAGAAAAGCTAAAAGACATGGATAATAAAACGAGAAAGTCCAATATACCACTAATAGGAGTTCCAGAAGAAAAAGTCAAAATGAATCAGAAAGTGATAATATTTGCCACATTCAAACAAATAATGCATGAAGTTTTTCTAGAACAAGAAATAGCCATAAATCTTCAGATTGAAGAGGCCCATTGATTACTGAGCATGATAAAAATAAATATACAAATAGACATTGCAGAACACCAAAGGTAGATCTTAAAAGCAACTAGGGAGAAAATACAGCTTAATTTAAAAGGATCAATAATTAGATTGGAGACAAATTTTCTTAATAATATCTGCCAAAAACAATAAACATAAATATATTCAATGTGCTGAGGGAAGACAACCATGAACTTCAAGTTCCAGACCCATGAAAATTATTATTTAAGAGTAAGGGGGAAAAGATATTTGCAGACAAAAACAAGTTTTATCACTCAAGATCCTCACTGAAATAATTACTATAGGAACTGTAGGATATATATTGGTAAGATGGAAATGGAACCCACAGGAAATATATGCAATCGAAGTGTCCCAGTTATTTTTTGGGGGTATAACAAGCCACCCCAAATTTAGTGAAGTAAAAGAACAGCCATTTTATTATGCTCACAGGTTTTGTGGGTTAGGAACTCAAACAGATACAGCAAGGATGGCTCGACTTTTTTTTTTTTTTTTTGAGATGGTGTTTCGCTCTTGTTGCCCAGGCTGGAGTGCAATGGCACAATCTCAGTTCACTGAAACCTCCACCTCCCAGGTTCAAGCGATTCTTCTGCCTCAGCCTCCCAAGTAGCTGGGATTACAGGCGTGCACAACCACGACCGGCTAATTCTTGTATTTTTAGTAGAGACGGGGTTTCACCATGTTGGCCAGGCTGGTATTGAGCCCCTGAGCTCAAGTGATCCACCCACCTCGGCCTCCCAAAGTGCTGGGATTACAGGCATGAGCCACCAAGCCCAGCCAGCTCAACTTTTTAAATGATGTCTGGGGCTCCAGCTGGAAAGTCCTGAATGGCTCATGTGGCTGAGGGCTGGAAGCACCTGGAGGCCCCTTCACTCACATATCTAGGATCTGAGCTAAGATTATTCAAAGACCATGCTGAGTGAAGACTGTTGACTGTAACATCTACAAATGGCCTCTACATGGGAGTGTCCAGAGAGCAAGTGCTCCAAAGAACTAGGAAAGATGGGTGACCTTTTCTAATCTGGTCTCAGAAATCACACACCACATTCTACTGACTAAAACAAGTCACTAAGGTCATCCCAAATTCAAAAGCAGACGAAATAGATTCCATCTCTTGATGGGGGGTGTCGAGTTCATATTGCAGAAGAGCATATGAGATGGGAGCTATGGTTGCTTCTATCTTTAAAAAAATACAAACTGCCACAGTAAACAAAAATGTTATCCATTATAAACCTAAGTAGTCGTTGAGCTGGGCCTGGTGACTTGAACCTGTAATCTCAGCTACTCAGCAGGCTGATGCTGGGAATTACTTGAGGGCAGGAGTTTGAGACCAGCCTGGGCAACATAACAAGACCCTGGATCTCTACAAAAACATTAAAAAAACAAAAACAAAAACAAAAAAGCTGGGCATGATGGCACATGCCTGCAGTCCTAGGAGGCTGAGGTGGGAGGATCACTTGAGCCCAGGAGTTGGAAGCTGCAGTGAACTATCATTGTGCCACTGCACTCCAGCCTGGGCAACAGAGAGAGACCCCCATCTCTAAAAAGAAAAAAAAAGTCATTGATTTATACCAACAACAACAAAAATGAATAATTTGGGATGTTAAAAATAAGATGAAAATAAAACATTAGATAATAATACATGGAAAATGGAAGGTGTGTAATTGGAGTTGAAGCTTTTAAGATCTTTGCTTGGGAGGGGCATAAAGATATAAGCCAGGTAGAGAGGCTCATGTTTGTAATCCAGCACTTGGAAGGCTGAGACAGGAGAATCTCTTGAGATTAAGAGTTCCAGACCAGACTGGGCAACATAGCAAGATTCTGCCTCTACAACCAAAAGTTTTCTAAACTTAGCCAGGCATGGTGGTATGCACCTATAGTCCTAGCTACTTGGGAGGCTGAGGTGGGAGGATCCCTTGAGCCCAAGAGTTTGAAGCTACAGTGAGCTATGATCATGCCACTGTACTCCAGCCTGAGTGACAGAGCAAGATCCCATCTCTTAAAAAATAAAATTATATGAATTAAATATACTGATTAATTTATCCCTTGTTAAATCAAATACACATGATAGAAATATAAGTTAACTACTAAAAGAATCAAAATACAATGTATAATTTTCAAACCAGTATAAGGAAAGGGGGTGGAGATAAAGAAAATTTGATTAATATAGTAGACACTGGCAGGCCGGGCATGGTGGCTCACCCTGCAATCCCAGCACTTTGGGAGGCCAAGGTGGGTGGATCATCTGAGGTCAGGAGTTCAAGACCAGCCTGGCCAAAATGGTGAAACCCCATCTCTACTAAAAATACAAAAATTAATTGGGCATGGTGGTGTGCACCTGTCGTCCCAGCTACTCTGGAGGCTGAGGCATGAGAATTGCTTGAACCCGGGAGGAGGAGACTGCAGTGAGCCAAGACTGCATGACTGCACTCCAGTCTGGATGACAGAGCAAGACTCCGTCTCAAAAAAAAAAAAAAAAGATACTAGCAAAGGGAGGAAAGAAGCAAAGCAAAATCATGGTAAATATAGGCCAGGCACAGTGGCTCACACCTGTAATCCCAGCACTTTGGGAGGCCAAGGCAGGCAGATCACTTGAGGCCAGAAGTTCGAGACTGGCCTGTCCAACATGGTGAAACCCTATCTCTACCAAAAAAAAAAAAAAAAAATTAGCCAGGTGTGGTGGCACATGCCTGTAGTCCCAGCTACTCAGGAGGCTGAGGCAGGTGAATCACTTGAATCCAGGAGGCAGAAGTTGCAGTGAGCCGAGATTGCGCTGCTGCATTCCAGCCTGGGCAACAGAGCGAGACTCCATCTCAAAAAAAAAAAAAAGAAAACATGGTAAATATAAAATAAGTAAAATTGCAGAATTAAATCCAAATATATAATAATAATAAATGTAAATGGACTCGATTTTTCATTCAAATAACAGAGAATCTCAGATTATATTTTTAAAATTCTAGCTATATGCTATTTATAAGAGATACACCTAAAACATAATGACACAGAAATATTGGGAATATTTCTATACTAAGCAGATGCTAACCAAAAGAAAGATGGTGTAGCAATATTAGTATTAGGCAAAATAGACTTTAAGGCAAAAGCCATCACTAAGAAAAAGGTGTCATTATATAATGATAAAAGGAATAATTCATCAATAGGATAAAACAATGTTGAACCTGCTTGCAACTAATAACTCTAAAATATATACAGCAAACAGTTACAGAATTACAAGAAAAAACTGTCAAAGTCACCATCATACTGAGAGATTTTAAACAAAGGGTTATCAACTCCAGGCCTACGTGTTAGAATCACAGATGCTTTAAGATTACAATCATTCCTTTAACGTGGTCTAATTCTAGACATGATTTCTTCACCCGCCAGTCTGTGTAAACTGAAGGAGGCAGTACAGAGGTTTGTCCTCATGCTGGCTGAATAACTGCACACTTGTCAGGCAGCAGAAATGTGCACAGCCAGATGTTTTTTACTAAAATAATCATTTTTTTTTCTACCACAAATACATGAGCCTCAAAGAGTGGCAGCTGTCCTAAATTGATTTATTTTAAATCTACTGGAGCACCTACTTTACACTGAGGGTGGCTGTGCTCCTTAAGACATTAGGTTATAGTAATCTGAGTTTTTGTCAATTAAATCATATTTCTCAACCCATTCACAGACGCTTGTATGTGTATTATATGTTCACATATTATAAATTAGCAAAGTAGAATGCTTAAAAATGTTTTTATCTCATTCAGCCTCTGGTTTACAGATAAGGAAACAGATCCAGAGACAGTAATGAGTTTCCAAGAGCCTTAAACTCCTGTTTAAGCACCTGCCGCCTGATTCCACCTCAGCCTCGCTCCACCTTCCCAGAAGAAGAAAAAAAGGAAGTGACAACAAGGAAGGGGTGAGGCTTACACCAGGAAAGTCTACCTCCCAGAAATCCCCAGCTAACTTCTACTTACATCTCATTGGCCAGTACTGGATCCTAAGCCTACCCCTAGCTGCAAGGGATGATGGGAAGTATAATTTGTTTGCCAATCCCATCAAAATCAGGGTTCTGCCACATACTTAATTAACAACAAATTAACCTACATTTGCTAATTGGCTACTGTTTTAAGGACGTGGCTCAAGTCTTTATCTCCAGATACCTCCAGATTAGGGATACTTCCCCCTAATGTTGGCCTTGCTGCACTGTATCATAGTTATTCACAACTTTCTCCAGTAACTAAATTATAAGCTTTTTGAAGTCAGGGACTATTGTGGCGAGGATGAAAAGCTAGTGTAGGAAAGCGCTTGTGAAATTTTCTGTGCTGTGCATACACAGAGTGATATTTTCATTATCGATAGCAGGAATGCTTTTTGCGCAATCTCACCCACCCCAGCTGCTATGGTTTGAATGTGTTCCCCCAAAATTCATGTGTTAGAAGCTTGTCCTCATTCTGATGGTATTAAGAGGTGAAACCTTTAAGAGATGATTAGGTCATGAGGGCTCTGCCCTCATGAATGGATTAATGCTATTATGCAAGAGTGAGTGAAGCGTTATCGCCGAGGGGTGGGCTCCTGATAAAAAGGATTAATTCAGTCGATTTCCTCTCTCTGTCTCTCCTGCCCTTGCTTTCGCCTTCTGCGTGGCCCTTACCAGATGCTGGCACCATGCTCTTGAACTTCCCAGCCTCCAAAAGAGTAAGCCGAATAGATTTCCATTCATTGTAAGTTACCCAGTCTGTGGTATTCTGTTACGGCAGCAGAAAATGAACTAAGAGGCCAGTGGCACTGTCTTTGCACACAGTATATGCTCAGCATGTGTGCACTCTATCATTCAATACAACGTTTATACATCCTCCTCCCCCGCT
This sequence comes from Homo sapiens, assembly GCF_000001405.40. Lineage (NCBI taxonomy): Eukaryota > Metazoa > Chordata > Mammalia > Primates > Hominidae > Homo > Homo sapiens. Next base: position 96,522,359 of record NC_000002.12, read on the forward strand.
CCCACCCTCCAGCTTCTGCTGGGTGTGCAGGAGCTCAGGCACCATGGTGGGCCTCTATGTGCCCCAGGATGCTGTCTCCAGGTGGACAAAAGTGAGTCTAAGGGGAGTGGGACATCAAAGCAAGCACTTCCTCATCCTATTGCAGGCCCTGTGCCAGCGTGGCAGGTCTCCGTATGAAGGCTGGGGGCCTGGGGCAGGCTATGGGGAAGAAGAGAGAGAAGTGAGAGGCAGGGACAGACTGAGCTGGAGCGAGAACGAGGAGGGACTGCATACAGATGTGGTCTAGAGATAGCCTTTGCCCCCATCCCAGAAACCAAAGCCTACAATGCTCTACCCTCAGTCTACAAGGCTCTGTCCAGCCCAGCACCAGGTGCTCCTCTCAGCAGCCCTGAGCAAAGGGCAGGAGGCAGGTTGTAAGCCTAGGGACTGCACCAGGCTGACTTTTCACACACTAGTCTCATTGCATCTTCATATCATCACCCAAAGGTAAGTATTTCCATTTTACAGGTAAGGAGAGTGAGGCCCAGAGATCTAAGTGGGCTGCCCAAGGCCATCCAGTAAGGGACAGGGCTGGGGTTGATCTGACTCTGAACTCCATGCCCTTTCACAGGACTGTACCTCTGACACAGGGCACCAGCAGGCACCCAGGCCTCATCCCTGGGCGGATAGTGCTACACCTGTGGGGGCAAGGCAGCGGCCCTGCAGGGGTAGGTGCCTGGTTGCCACCCTCCCCATCTGTGGCTGCTTCCTCCCCCTCCACAGCCAGCAGGAGCAGTTTCATGGAGCTGGGAGTCCCGTGGGCTCCCCACTTCCAGGCAGCTCCTCAACTCTTCAATCTGGATCTATCTGGGGGTGGGTCAGAAAAGGCTGCCTCTTGGACCAGGCGCAGTGGCTCACAGCTGTAATCCCAGCACTTTGGGAGGCCAAGGTGGGCCGATCACTTGAGGTCAGGAGTTTGAGACCAGCCTGGCCAACATGGTAAAACCCCATCTCTACTAAAAATATACCAAAAAAAAAAAAAAAGAAATTAGCTGAGTGTGGTGGCGCATGCTTCTGCAGTGGCAGCTACTCAGGAGGCTGAGGCACGAGGATCGCTTGAACCCAGGAGGCAGAGGCTGCAGCGAGCCAAGATAGCACCACTGCACTCCAGCCTGGACAACAGAGTGAGACTCCATCAAAAAAAAAAAAAAAGGAAGGAAGGAATGAAAGGGAAGGAAGGAAAGGGAGGGAGGGAGGGAGGGAGGGATGGAGGGAAGGAAGGAAGGAAGGCAGGCAGGCAGGCAGGCAGGCAGGCAGGAAGGAAGGAAGGAAGGGAAGGAAGAAAGGGTTTCCTAGAATGCACCAGGCCAAGACTAAGACCCAGACCCCTCCCCAGCTATCCCAATCTCCCTGTAGTTGCTGGGGATCCAGAGCCTGTCCTGCTCTCCCCCAGCCCAGGGTGCCCTTCCTGCCTTCTCAGTGGCCGGGGTGCCCCTTTCCCTGTCTTTTTCCTGGCGTGCCCTCTGGCAAGGGAGTGGGTCCTGAGCTGTGTGCAGGGTGCATGCGTGACACAGAGTGGGGTGGAACAGAATCCCAGGAAGGCTGAGCCCAGGCCCTGCCCTTCATCCCCTGGCCCTTTCCCAGAGGAGGCACAACAAACTCAAAGAGAACGTATGGGCTCCAGACCAAAGGTCCTTGGTTCATTGCATGCAGCTCCCACGGCTGCAGCGGCTTTTATGAGAAAGCAGCAAATCATAAGAAAACTATCTCCTTGGGAGGACTTAATTGGGACAGAAACTGCAGATGGATGCCAGATGTGCAACGGCATCCAAACCCGAGTCCCAAATCCCCACAAAGATCCTCAGTCGACTCTCCCGATCCTTTGACCAGGTAATAAGAGTCCTAATAGCAGTAGCAATGGCTCCATTTCTAAAGCACACACGGTATGCTATGCACTGCTTTTATTTCTAGTTCCTTTCATTACCTAGAGAGGCATTGCTCTGCACATTTTACAGATAAGGAAACTGAGGTTACTGAGGTTAGGTAACTCAACCAAGGTCACATATTTAGAAAGTGGTGGAACTTTTCAAAATACTAAGTTGGGGAAATGCTCATCATTTGTAGAAAAATTTTCAATAAGGCATAAGAACACAGGTTTCCAGTTAACCCTCAGTTACCCAGAAAAGTAAATTCCCCAGAACGTCCTGCACATCGTGTATGCCTGTGTATGTGCATGCACTTGAATATTCTGATTAGCAGAGCTCGTGATAAACAGGCCAGACTACAGGGGAAAAAAATGTGCAGAAACCAGCAACCATATTCTCCGAATTCATCGCATGCTTGGAGATCCCCAGGTAAAAAGTTAGCAAAACATACCTTGTTCAAAACAACTGGCCAAGGACGGGATGTGAAGCAGCCACTGCTGCTAGGGGCACAGCATCCATTGGAGTTCCCTCCCCACCCCTAACTGCCCGAGGGCAGCAGATCCAGGGTTGCCCGGCCACCTCCCTCTCCTGACTGCAGTGTGGGAAGAAACGCAGGACGCTGGCAGGCACCAGACCGTGCCCCGCCCCTGATCCACAGTGTGGCTTTGAGCACACCACTTTCCCTCTCTGGGCCTTGGTTTTCCCATCTGTAAAATCAGGGCACAGTGAACTGTAAAGGGCTCGGAGGGAAATTTCATGGACTGGTTGATGATCCCAGGCTGCCGCCCTTTAGGAGAGGTCCTCCCTCCAGAGGGCTCTTGGACCTTGGGGATCCCAGGTGGGAGCCTTCATGGGAAGCGGAAGTGAGCCCTGAGACCTCTGCAGGCTTCTCTCCTACCTCTGAAAGACTGAGCAGGCAGCCTGGTGTCTCAGACACTCCTCATTTCCCTACTTCCCTTCAACAGGGTTAGAGTTCCTACGAAAGCTTTGCTGCCATGCAAGAAGGCAGAATGCTCTCCCACATGGAGACGCACCCAGACAGTCCACGGGACACATGTGTGCATAAGCCCGAGTGTGCTCAAGCCCCTCCATACCACTGGCATGGCACTATGGCACTCTAAGCAGGAGCTCAGAGGACTTCTGGGCCAGACCTAGGGCAGCCCTTGCCACTCCTGAGTGACAGACCTAAGTCTGGGTACCAGGGCAGTGAGGACTTCCAGAATGTACACAATATAGCAGGACCCACTCTGCTTCTTGTCCTTCCTCCAAGTGCCCACTCAGCATCTTAAAATGGAGATGTAGCCTGGTGCAGTGGCTCACGCCTATAATCCCAGCACTTTGGGAGGCCAAAGTGGGTGGATCACTTGAGCCCAGGAGTTCAAGACCAGTCTGGGCAACATAGCAAGATCCCACCTCCATAAAATTTTTTAAAAGATTAGACAGGCATGGTGGTGCATGCCTATGGTCGTGGCTGCCTGGGAGGCTGAAGTGCGAGAATCACCTAAGCCTAGGAGTCCAAGGCTGCAGTGAGCTGAGATTGCACCACTGCACTTCAGACTGACCCTGTCTCAAAAAAAAAAAAAAAAAAAAAACAGAGAGATGCTCCCAGCTTTCTTCCAGGAGCGAGGTATTCCCTTCATCCCTTGGGATTAACAGTCAATGCCACCCCCTCTAAGCCACTTATTGTGATATTGACATACTTCAGTGTCAGTACTAGGGACTGCTCCAAGTCCCAGCATGGCTGGGACCACCCTGGTGCCTTCCCCCTCTTCAGACTCCCCAGCAATGTGACAACTGAGTGGGGGGTGACACTAGGTCCTCTGGTAGGTCAGGAGCTGTAATGACCCAGTCCTGCCGGGCCACCCTGTAGCATCACGCTGTGGCAGGGAGGCAGGGATTGCAGGCACCTGAGTCCTCCTCACACGCTCAGCTGACCCCGCAGGTCCCTGACCTAGGCTGTGTTTGGTGCCTGTCCTTGCATATGGCGGGCAGCAGCCAGGCTTTGTGTGCAGCACTGTGTCACAGCCGTCTCGCTGTCTGCAGGACTGTTACCGGTGACAGCAGCTATGTGCCTGGCCCTTCTGGGAGCTCAGGAGGGTCCTGCTTACAGGGCGAATTTTGTGCTGAGACAGCTGAGAGGCCAGGTGTTCTGGGCGGCCCAGGAAAACCAGCCGTCAGCATCTCCTGCCCACACCTGTCCTGAGGTCAGAATGAACTTGAGTCCAGCAGGCTCCCAGAGCCAGAGAGCTTCTGCACCTGCAAAGCCCGGCTCCCTGCTTCAGACTGAAGGTGGGGACCTGAAGAGAATGCATACAGGCACCTCAGACTGGACACAGGGGTTGCGGGGGGAGCGGAGGGGAGCCCCTGGGCCCACCCCACCCACTCCACCCTGGCAATTCAGCTTGAAACAAATGATTAGCCTCTCTGTATAGATCCATGTTTCTCTCCTGGGCATGTCGGTTCGGTAAAACCCCGTTCATTTGGGCCTCACTGTGACCTCTAGGACGCTGGCCAAAGGGCAAGCGCCGCCAGGCCAAGGGGCCTGGGAGTGAAATCGTGGGTGAGGATAGGTGACAGGGGTGTTGAATCGGCCCGAGCGGTTCTTTCTTTTCGAGTTAATTTCGCATTGGTCTCTAGGATGCAAGCTTGTCCAACGCGTGGCCCAAGGGCGGCATGTGACTGAGGAAGGTTTTGAATGCGGCCCAAATTCATAAAGCTTTCTTAGAACACTGAGGTATTTTCGCGATTTTTTCTTTTAGCTCACCGGCTGTCGGTAGTGTTAGTGTATTTTACGTATGGTCCAAGACAATTCTTCAACTTCAAAAGACGGAACGCCCCTGCAATGGGACGCCAGACACCTCTAAGAGTGGGTGTAGGCCTCCAAAAGTGTCCACATGATACTTCCAGAAAAACTTCACATGCGGAGGTGTGCAGGAATGTGCGTGCTGCTAGAAAAGAGGCCTAAGGGGTCTGCCCAACGTCCTGAGAACCCGAGAGAGCAGGGCCCGCTGGGACAGGCAGGGGAAGGCCTCGGGAGGGACACGACGGTCCGGCAGCAGAGCCTGCGGGGCTGGAGGAGGCGCCCTCCTCTCAGCTGCTCTTCCTGCCCCTTTCGGTGGCGAAGATGGATGGGGCCCGGGGCTTTCGGCGGGGCCCGAGGGGCCGGCGAGGCTGCGGCCCTGGAGCCCCCTGCCTGGCAGCCATTTGGGCCCCAGGGAAATATCGGCGCTTTGGCTAACCGAATTATTCTTTCGGTTTGAGCCAGCTCCCCTTTTTGAGTCAGATCCGGCGGCAGGGCCAGAAAAGCGCTTTCTGAAACCCCAGCGCGGTCCTCGGTGGGGGTGGAATGGGGTGGGGTGGGGGGCGCGGCCGCGCCGCTGGGCGCCCTCCCCGCCCTCCCCCCTCCCCACCCCCAGTCCTCCCTCCGCTGCCCGCCCCCCAAGCCCGGTGTCGCCCCCTCCGCCCCCTGCCGCATCCCCGGAGCCAGTGCCCACAGGGGCCAGGCAGCCCGCAGGGGTCGCTCACGGCTGGTGTAGGGGCTTGGTCCACCACGCTAGTACTTCGGGCACCAAAATAGAAAAAGAATAACGCTTGGAAAGAATCTGATGTTTCCGAAGGAGCATCGAAAATCGCCGTTACGGGAAAAGTAAAACTCTTGAGGGACTTCCTTACACTAATTTAACTGTCCCGGGTTGTTTTTATTTCTAATTGTGCTGGGGGGATGGGCATCATGATCTGTTTTCAGGGCTTAATGCCCCCTCCACGGTCCCTGGGGGACCTCTGGCCTTGGTGCCTCTCCAGGACATCCTGATGTCTCCGAGGTCCCATTTCAACTCCCTGGGGTCCCGGGCTGCCCAGCTGTTATTTTGCAGAATTTCTCTCCCACAGTGTCACCAGTAGTTCTGCTTATCGCTCCTGCCACTGAGTCACAAGGGGAGGAGGGGATTTCTGAGCTGTTTCAACACTTACCCAGAATATTAGGGGTTTCATGCAGCCCTTGTTTATTTAAAAAAAAAAAGAAAAGAAAGAAAGAAAAGAAAGCCCCAAAGCCAACAAAATATGACACACACGTACAGAAGGAGGGAAGGCAAGGGGGTGGGGGCCTTGCAGAACCAAATGGCCTATCTGCTGAGCTGGGGCTGGAGCTGGAAGTCAGGTTTCCTGTCCCCACTCCCCCAGCCTGGGCCCACCCCGTGCCTTCTGTTTCACCCAGGGCTGTGGAAACCAGCTAATGTTTATGGAGCACTTCCTCCCGCCAGCGGGCACAGTTCTAAGCCCTTTATAAGAAATAGCTCATCCAATGCCCGTAACTGCACCCGGAGGCGTGAGGGCTGTTATTGTGCCTGCCAGCCGGTTTCATAGATAGGAGACAGCACGGAGAGTTCAACTGCACTGGGGTACTTGGGTTTCCTGTGGAGAAAAATTTGCCCATCGCTTTGGCACAGAATCTGTGCCAAGACAGATTCTCAGCCAAGGCAGGCCTCAGAGTCCCCAGAGTCCAGCTACAGGATGCCCAGAACCTCCCTCCAGCTGAGACAAGCTGGCCAGGGGCTTGGGACCTCTGAGCTCCTTGGGGAGCTGAGGGGGCGCTGTCCTGGAGTCCAAGACCTGGGCTGTGTTCACTACCCCTGGCCAGGATTCAGCAGCAACACAGATAACCAGGAAAGGGGCTGTGGCCTGAGCAGCCAGCCTGCAGCCATAGGGAGGGTGTGACTCCAGCGAAACTCCAGCAAGAAGGGCCGCATGTGAGGTCAAGTCCCCAGCATCTAGAATGTGCTGCCCTTGACAACTAGGAAGCGCTAACCCCTGGGGAAGAAAGGGCAGATGTTGCCTGGTGATGGAGGGAGATGTGGGATAGGGGTGGAGGTGGGTGCATGGCCTCTTCCTCCTCCCTCTCCTCCGTGCCCTTCATTCTCCTTCTGTGGATCTTCATTGAGCACCTACTGTGCACCTGCCCTCAGTGGCCTCTCACTTCCTCCTCTTCCTTCCCAATTCCTTTACCAACTGTGAGATCTTTTGAAGCGACTGTGAGACCTTGGATAAGTCCCTTCCCACTTAGACCCTCAGTTTCCTCTTCTGGAGGAGCAGTGGCCGGGGTTCTGCGGCCCTTTCAGCAGCGTAGTGTGGGCAGATAGTAAAGACCACTCCTAGCTGGAGACGAGAGGCTCGGGAGCTGCTGGCCAGTCACACAATGGCATGGGGCTGACCACAGGAGCACGATGTGGCACATGCCCTGCTGGAGGTGTGTGTTGAGACCCCTGGGTATCTGCCTCAGGTGGGCCCTTGAAGGATGAGCAGAAGCTCACTAGGTAAATACAGTGGGAACTGCCAAGCCCGGGAAGGTTCCTCCAGGCCAGAGGGTATAGCCCATGCACACACACAGCTCCAGAAACAGCACCAGGCACTGGGGCAAAGCCCTCCCAGTGTGGCTATATTGCCGTATGTGCCAGAGAGGGGGGATGCCAACCTACCTCCATGTCCAGAGCTGTCTTTACCCAGGCCCAAGGCCCAGCCCTCTGCCTTCAGCCTCCACGCAGCCCTCTGTCTTCAGCCGTGGCCACTACCACTCAGGAAGGTCTGGAAGAGCCTGCTGAGGCCAAGGCAGAGAGAGCGAAGGCAGTTTTAACAGAGCAGAATCCCTCAGGCAGGCCCCATGGCTGAAGACACCATGGCATAGGTGGGCAGCTGGGGTGAGGGAGGGGGGCTGGACAACCCTGTGTCCTCTTCTAGGAGTCCAGGGCAGGCCAGGGTGCCCCAGATGTGGGGAAGAAAAAGCTTCAGGGGCTTCTTGTAGGCTCTCTGGTGAGTTAGTGTATACATATGTTTGTGTGATCCTATGTGTGAGCTGTGGGCTCCTGGCAGGCAAGACCCATGCATAGATGCACAGGCGTGTGTACACAGCTTTGCACACTCACATCTGGGCGTGCAGCAGCAGAAAGGATGCACAGCAGGTGCGGGGAGAATGAGAGAGCTCTTGGGGTGTAGACAGAACCACGTATACCTGGGTTCACCTTGGGTTCTCCCTGCCAGGTACTGTTTCCAACAAAGGTAGTTGGGATGTCAGGCAGGGAGGGTAGCCCTGCCTGTGGCAGGTGCCTGGTGGATGATACCACGATGATGAAAGCAGGGGCCTGGGCTTCAGGTCGGGGCTGCAGTGTGGGGGAGCCACAGCAAGAGTATGAAACCTCTGGGGGATCTGGGTTCTTGGAGCCAGCTGACCCCAGGCCATTGCAAGGCTGAAAGCTTTAGTTTTCATATTCGCAAAGTCCCATGAGTTCATCTGGGGAGGAGGAATTAGAGCAGTCCCTCCCCCAAAAGCCTGGGCTTCCAGTATTGAAGGGGTTAGTGGGGCCTACTCAGATTGGAGATGAGTCACTGACTTCCCCCATAATTCCTCCCTTCATGCCCGCATCCTGGCCAGAGCCTAGGACCCCACCAGGAACCTCGGGAGGGCTTTGCAGCTGCTACCCAAAGACCTGGAAAGCCCGATCGGGAGTGGGGTCTCAGGGCCCAGCCCCAGGTCATCAGGGCAAGGCCTGAAGAGTGCAGAATCCACCCTGCAGAAGTTCTGATGCCACCGGCGAAGGAGGCTGTTCTCAGGTAGCTGCCACAATAGAATGACCAGTTGTTGAAGGCTTATGTTATTTCTCACCCTCACAGTAATCTTGCAAGCTAGGTATTGCTAACGCCATTTCACACGGGAAAACTAAGGGTTGGAGACAGTGAATAACCCATCCCAGGTCATACTACCTGCAAGGGAGGGTACCCGGATTGCAAACCAGTCCACCTGACTCCAGAGCCGGGGAGGTTTCTGTTCTCTGGACTGGCTGAGAAGCTCCCAGGGAGGCATGGACCTCTCCTAGCCTGTCGCTGCAGGAGTCAGCATGTGGTGAGAGCCTGCCTCAAGTGTTTGGGGCCCGCCACCATAAACCTGAGTGATTCCACACGGCCTAGGAATGGCTGGGAGGCCATTAGGAAGTCTCCGGGCCTCTTTAGGGCTACAGAGGGTGAGATGACGTCTGTGTCCTGCTCACAGCTGAGACCCAATTCACATTGTGGGTCCTGGCTCAGAGGGTAGGCATTATAATGAGCCTGAGGGCATCTTTTTTTTTTTTAAGTTGGGGTCTCGCTCTGTCGCCCAGGCTACAGTGCCCTGGTGCGATCATAGCTCACTGTAGCCTTGAACTCCTGGCTCAAGAGATCCCCCTCCCACCTCAGCTCCGGAGTCACTGGGACCACAGACTTGCACCACTGCCTCCCACAAGGGTCAGCTTCATGATCAGCAGCTCTCCCCAGGTCACCATAATCCTGCCCCCAGGATGCGGAAAGTGGCGCTGGCAGTCACCACCGCCTCCATAAGTCTGGCAGATTCCCAGCCCTGCGTTCTCCAAATACAGGGCAACTAAAGGGAAAAGGGGGAAATAGGAATTAAGGCATCACCCCTCACCACTTTCCAGTTAGTCTAGGGGGAAATCGGCACCTCTCCAGAGGTTTGGGGACCCCTCTTTCCATTCCCTGTGTCCCCAGGCCGATCCCCAGCCCTTTACTCCAACGGTAGACCTGAAGCTGTCGAGATATCAACTCAACATCTTAGGAGGGAGGGGAGACACTGAAGAAAAAAAAAACAAAACAGCTGCCCCCAGGAGGGACAACGATTCTCCCAAGAGCAGGCAGTCCCGAACTTCTCCCAGCACCCTGAACAATGAGGTAAACGGAGGTGTGGCGGGCCGCTCCCCCTACCCCTGCTAGCTGGATGCCAGCCCCCACCGCAAGCCCAGGGCTCAGCTGGCAGGGCCCCGCATGCAGCCCCCGCCGGGGGCAGGGCTGAGTGGCAGAGCGCAACAGCCGTGCCCCCTTCCTGGCCGTGCTCCTGCCTGGGCCTCTGGAGCCTGCCTCTCCCCCTCTGATGTAAGCTGATATTTTAATTCTCTTACAAGGAATGGTGTTTAGAGAAATGACTTAACCAGATTACTCATCGTCTCTAATGACTTGGCCCGACTCCAGCGCTATTCCTAGACGTGACGCTTGAGGCTTCGATTCTTTCTCTCTTTCCTTTTGCTCCTTTTTTTTTTTTTTTAAATACCAAGAAATTACAGCCCTGCCTACGCGGAGGCCCAGCCCCTACACGCCCCCTTTGCATGGTATCCTGGGAGATGGAGTTCTGTCCTGGCCCCAGTCATGCCCCCATCCCCAGCCCAACTCCTCGCCCCTCTCCCGCCTCATCTTGGTGGGAGATGGGCAGGGTGTGGCTGGGCAGAGGTCATTTAATCTCTACATGCCTTGGTTTACTCTTCTGTCAAATGGAAGGGTCACCTGACATACAACAGAGAGTGGAAGTGTCAGTTGAGACCTTATTTTAAGTAAAAGTGTCACAGAGACCCAATGGTTTTAAGAGATTTCTTGTCCAGTGCATTTTGTGCTAAGCACCAGTCAAGACTCACACAGAGCTTTAGTTACCCTGACCCTGGGACTTACCAGGGCCTGGCCCTCACCCAGCCCAAACTTACTCCTTCCTGTCTGTGGACGAGTCTGTGGGCTTGTCCAGCACTTACTCTCTGGTTCTCAATTGTAATAAGGGGATAGATATAGATACAGCGCCCACTTCAGAGGGCTAGAGTGACATTGAAAGAAATACTCCATGCAAGATGGTGCAGTGTGTGTTAGGGTCCGCCCTGGTCCAAGGCATTTTCACCCCTTTCAGCACAAGGCCTTGGCTGAGTAGCTGGAGCGGGGACTGATTCTTAGTAGCCTGTGAGGTTGGCAAGGGCCACATCTTCTGCTCCACAAGGATACGGACTTCTTTCTGGTTGTGGCTACATCCCAGGTCTAGCTCAGTGCTGGCACATAGTAGGACCACACAACACATGTTGGATGAGTGGATGACTGAATAAGTGGAGCATTATCCTGCTTTCCACGGGAGGGGCCTGAGGCCCTGACAGGTTAAGTGTCCAAGGCCACACAGCTGGGCTGTGTCTGAGTGGGAATGAAACCCCCAATTTTCTCTCCTTGCCCTCCGTTCCCCTCCCCCAGGGGAATTCAGCTTCCACCCTTCAGGCTCAGGAAGTTCAGAACCATGGGTTTCTACCCTGCTGGGACACACTGGGGAGATGTGGGGTGGAGAGGGGAAACCAGCCCAGCCCTGGCCCAACACAGGAAATCTTTCCAGATTGGCTGGAGGTTGGAGGGAACCTAGAGCCAGGTGCAGATGCAGCTTCCAGTGTGGACAAAGCTTGGGAAGCTGGTTTACACGCGCCCTGGGGTACAGTGGCCAAAGCTCTTTCAGGCAGGAAGTTGGCCCTTGGTGATCTGGGACTCACAACCACCTCCCCACTCCTTCACCCCCAGCAGTTCCCCAAAGGCCAAAAGCTATTCTTGTCTTTTTCTAAAAGAGGCATTTGAACCATGAGCCAATTTTTTCCATTCCTGAGCTTGGGTATCATCTATTTCGGGCATTTGTTGTTTTCCATGAGTTGCAAATGCTGCTGTGAAGCTGGCCTTTCCTGGACAGCTAGCACGGGGAACGAGGAGTTAGGCAAGCAGGGCGGGGCCGCGTTAAAAATACTTCCCCACTTCATTTCTCCTTTGAAAACAAACCCCCAGGGGCCTTTGGCAACTGCTGAGCCTGGGAACTGAGCTTCCCAGGATAGAAGACTGGCTGTGCATTCTGTTTCCTGAGGGCACTGGATGGGTTTGCAGGTCCCAGAAGAAACAAAAGCACTGATTTTGCTGTGTGACTTTGGACAGTTTGCTTAACCTCTCTGGCCTGGTGACCTCCTTTCTAAAATGAGACCAGGTGGACAGATGATCTTGAATGGTCCCTATATCTCTGAGAGCTCCAGGATGAGAACCACCCCCAGGGCCAGATTTTCTTCCTAGAAATGGGCTAACAAGAGGTGCTAGGACATGGAGGTGGGAGTTAGAAAGCAGCTTTTAGCTCAGTCTCTGGGAACACTTTGTGAGCTCCTTAGCCCTGGAACTGTTCTAAGGGGGTCTATAATGTTCTCAGCAGGATTCATGTAATTGCAAAAAGATTAAACGCTATCAAGAGGAGATTAAATACACTGTGCTGGGCACACAGCCCAGCAGTTCCCAAAGAAGCAGATCTGTGTTCCAACAAGGAAAGTCTGTAAGATCTAGCGGTGATCGAAAAAGCAAGTTTCAGAATGGAGCAATGAGAATTGTATCGTTTCTTTAAACACACACATAAAACAAAGCTATCTATTTTTCTATACCATGGATACATATATAGTTTTGAAAATACACATAGGGAAAGTTCTGGAAGACTTCACCCAATCTGATGGGTCTTTACCTCTGGGGCAGGGAGGGAACTGGATTTGGTGTAGCATCAGAGAGGGCTGATTTACTTGCATGTTTTTACAGGACGAATGTGTTTATTTATAAGTGATGGTTTGTTTTTCTTATTATTAAGACACACAGAGAGACACCAGGACACTGAGGGGCTAGCTGACCCCCTCTGTAGGCACAGAGGCGTCCTGGCCTGGGATCCTGTGGTTGGAGGGTGCAGAGGAGGGTGGCTTTGGGCCGGAGTGGAGGTGTGTGAGATGGAGGCTTGAGCAATGGAAGTGTTTATGCTTTTAGCCAGATGAATGGAGATGTCTGTTTTCTGCAGGATTTACTGGCCATTGTAAATTACTTTCTATTGCAAACAGTTGCCTCAGGAAGCAATTAAATTTAGATCCTATCGTTCCCAGGCTGGCACAGGCAGGTGTTGACTTGCTGAGGCTTTGCACAACAGCCCTTGTCTGTCAGAATGTGCCCAGCTGCCCGGATGGCAGAATAACCCTAACTCTTGGTGGGATGAGCTGCTGTCTTATAAGATAGTGAGTTCCTTGTCATTAGGGGTATCCAACCCACAAGTGAGGGGTTGGCCTAGATTGTGACCCCGGGGGCTGCATCCAGAGCTCCATCCCCAACCTTGGGCATAGTGCCTGCCAATCAATGCTTCCAGAATGTACAAAGGTGCTTCCTGATGGCATCCCATCATAGTGTCTTCCACCACAGCCTTAGCTTTCCTGGAGGGGAAAGTGGCTTGTAAACTTGCCAAAGTGGGATGCATTGTTATAATTACCATTATGATTGTTCTGGGTGTCTATTACCAATTCTACAGGTGCTGGCTCTTACAAGCCAACCCATTATGAGGTAGACAGGGGATTTATCCTGCAGAGCCCACAGGGTCGTCTGCTCTAGACTGAGCCTGCAGACATCTTCCATCCCAGGGCCAAAGGGTAAGGGCCAGGGTTTCAGGTTCACCAAACTGCAGCCCTGGTCCCTTCGTTTAGTGTGAGGAGGGGCACCAGTATGATGAGTGGTTAGTAATGGGTGCAAAGCGGGTGGGGGGATGCCTGGGTATGAGGGCTCCTCTTCCTGGGTCTAGCTCTGGCTCCAACACCTACCAGCTGTGCTACTTGAGCTAATCTCTCAGACCTCAGTTTTACGCTATAAAATGAGGACAATGATGGTGTCAAGTGCATAGAGCTATTATGAGTATTAAAATTCATCAACAAAGATTTTTGTGTAGCTTCTATGTGCTAGGAACAGGGTTCCCATCCTAGCTAGCCACCTGCTGAGACTGAAACCCTGAGCCTCCATTTCTTCCTCTTTGGCCTGCACAGGTCCAGGTTGCTGCTATGGCTGGCTGGGCACCTCCTCCTGCCTCCATTCGCCCTAGGCCTCATTCCCACCTCCCACAGCCTGAACTCATGCCCCTTCTTTGGACTACTCAGCTTGTAGCTGCCACACTCTGTCTGCATTATGTGTGTGGACATTGACTATTACTGGCAGGCCTGGCCACAGAGCCTAGGCCAAGGATTTACTAGTTTGGTCCTTGTCTAGCTCACACTAACCACCTCTCCTTTTTTTTTTTTTTTTTTTTTTTTTTTTTTTTTTTGAGGCAGGGTCTCCGTCTATTGCCCAGGATCCAGGATAGAGTGCAGTGGTGTGATCAAAACACACTGCAGCCTCGACCTTCTGGGCTCAAGTGATCCTCCCGCCTCCGCCTCCCAAAGCAGGGATTCCAGGCGTGAGCCGCCGCTCCCGGCCTCACCTGGCCTTCTTTGTTGGGCTAGGTGGGGACTGGGAAATGCACAGGGCCACTTTCAAATCAAAGTCAGAAGCACTTTGCTCGCTCCACAGAGTCCTCAGTGCTCTGCTGAAAGCAAGGAGGCTTTTTCCAAGGCTCTAGTTTTGCCTCCAGGGAAACTGAGGCACAAGGCAGCAATGATTACTGAGGGTCCTGCCTCCGCTCCTCTAGGTGAGGAGCCTATTCCAGGGGCTCCAGTCTGAAAGCCTAGAGGCGAGGGGCGCGCACTACAATTCCCAGAGGTCCCCGGACTCAAGGGCGGTCCCCGCCCCCCGCCTTCTCCGCGCGACGAAGCCGGGCTTACCAATGGGAGCCCGGAGTGGGGCGAGCAGGGGCGGGACGGGGCGGGACTGCGGGGAGGTGGCCGGCGGGCCGCGCCGCGAGCCAGTATCTCAGAGAGCGCGGGGTCCGGACAGCCGCGCGCTGAGGGTCTCGGGGCGGGCGCCGCGGGACCTCTCCGGGCCATGGGTAAGCGGCTCTGCGGCGCGGCCCGGACAGGGGCTCGGCGGCCCTGCAGGGAGGTTCAAGGTGCCGGCGCCGGGTCCCCTCCAGCCCTCGTGGCAGTCGGTGCGCTGTGTGGGGCGGAGAGGGGCCCGGGGTGGGTTTCGGGGCGCGGGCCAAGGGGAGCGAGCCCGGCCCGCGGCTTCAGCGCTCCCCGGCCGGCGCGGAAGGGGTGAGGCTGGGCGTCCGCGCGAGCTTCGAGAAAAGGAAAGACAAAAAGTTTTGGCGGCCAGGGGCTTCCCGGGCGTTTATCTCGAAACTCTTTTCGCCGTCTCTTGCCTGAAATATGCCGAGCCCGGTACGGCTCTGTCGTCCCACTTCCTGCTGCGGTTTCCACCTCGAGCTGGGCTCAGCTAATTTGTTGTGACAGCTGTCGGCAGCCGCCCCTCCGCCCCGTGACATCCCGCAGGTTTCAGAACCGCGGCGCCGCCGGGCACAGACTCCGGGTCCAGAGCGCGCGGCCCTTTCCTCTGCGGCCGCCGTTTCCTGAAAGGGGCTGCGCGGGTGTGAAGAACTTGCTCAATGCGCTTTGTAGGATCCACTGTTCCTCTTTCGGCCGCGGGCTGCGCCGATGGTCCGGGGAGCCCGGCTTCTCGCCCCCTGCCCCTTCCTTCTCTTCCCTTTTCTCTTTTCCTCTCCTGTCTCTCCGCCCACCCGCCGCAGCCCCACAGGAGAGGGGTCGCTTCCCTGGTTGCTCTCCTCTCCTGTCCCTTGTGTGTCCCCTTGTCTTCCCTCGGTCTGCAGAAGGGACGGGGTGGCGGCTGGGGAGCGTCAGGGGAAGAGGGCAAGAGCGTGGGCTACGAGCTTGCAGGCGATGCCCGGCTTCGCGCTCGGCGGGAGCTGCGGGCCAACCCGGGCCCGCGCTCCGTCCCTCCGCGGTGTCTAGGGGTCGCCCGGGCTGGGGTCGCGTCACCCTCCGCCCAGCGCCGGCGTGGTGGGGCTTGCGCGGTGCAGGACCCCCGAGGGCCCAGGGGGTCCCAAGGCGCTGCGGGTCCAGTGTCCCTTTGTTTGCAGAGTCTTGGGCCAGTAAGGAGTGCTCCGCGGGCCCCAGGGGAGGACAACAGGTGCCTCTTGCCCCACCCGGGCTCCTCTGGTGGGAGCCCACACGCACGGTGGCGTCACTGCGCCTACAGGCAACGCTAGAGCACAGGAGGGGTGGGAGGTCGGGGCTCGAGGGCTTCACCCCGCAGCAGAGCTCAGAGCCCAATCCAGGCCTTAGGGACCCGCCTGGGGCCTAGAACTTGGTGTGGCAGAGGTAGAAAGGGCCTCCGATAATCTGCTTCTACAGTTGAGAGACGTCAACTGGCACCTCTGAGCCTCTGCCCCGTAGGTGAAATGGGAACACACGAAACCATCTGAGGAGCTCTCACTGTCCGTCACCACCAAATGTGGCCCAGACTCCGTGGGGAGGGACAGTCCCATCCTGGAACTGGGGCTTTTAGGACATCCCAGAGCCCGGTAAGAGGGACAGGGAGAATGGGGCTTGGAAGTTGGTAGCCTCACATTCAGTGTCCCCCGCACCTCCTTCCCTTTCTGTACCCTCTGGTGGCTCTTGTGGCCTCAGCTGCCCCCAGACCCTGTCTCTCTCGCCCTCCCCCAAGCTGAGGTACTGAGGTTGGGCTGTGGCTTGAGCTGCACCTGTGCCCTGTTAGGGAGTGGGGGTCCCAGGCCCATCGCGTTTCTTCTCACTGCTGGCTCCAGCTCAACACTTGGCAGGCCCCCCTCCCCAAACTGCTGGAGCAAGCTCGCGTAGACTCGGCCTGGCCGCCGCTCCCGGGCTGCCGAGTGGACCGGCCGTTTCGCCGCTTCAAAGGCTGTCTTTGTTTTGCTCCAGCTCAAGCTTAGAGAAACTTAAGCCAACAACCTCAGCCGAGGGGGCGGGGCGGCGTCTGCTGGTTGTTATTGAGGCTGCTGTTACCATTATTGTGGTAATTGACGCAGTGTTCCCAGTCGGTGACTTTTCATGAAAGGAAGTGTCACTTCCTTCCCATCACACCCAGGGTGAGTGGGGCGGGCAGCAGAAAGATGGGGAGGGAGAGAAGGAAAGGGGTGTGTGCCTCCAGCAGACCCTTAAACTTGAGAGCTGTGTGGCCTTGTACTAGTCACTGCCCCTCTCTGGGCAACAGGGGTCTGTAAGTCCATTGCGCTCATCCTGCACCCAGGAGGCTGATGTTTCCGGAGCACCTGCTGGGCAGCGAGGTGCCTTGGGGAGGGAGCAGGACAGGCAGGCCTCTGATCTTCTCACTGAGCCTGGCTGTGGTTTGTGGGGGAAGCCTCCTTTCTCTTCTCACTTTTTTCTGCTGAGAACATTGGGCACATTGAGTCTAGCACGCCCATCTTGTAGATGGGGAAAGGGAGATACAGAACCAGTGACCAACTTGGTAAGAGGTGCAGCCATGCAGTGCTGGAACCCCTTGCCCCATCTGTCCTCTTGGCCCACTTTCATCTGCTTCCAGCTTGATGTCTGGCAGGGCAGGGGCCCACTGACTTCCCCGCATCCACCCACTGCCTGGCCCCATAGCTACCTTCTAGTCCTGGCTAAGCCCCGTGAGACATCTTAAGTTTGTCTTCAGTGACTCTCAACCACCGCCCGACTGCCTTCACCTTCCTGCCTTTGCATACCTGCCTTTGCTTCGCCAGGTTGGTTGGGCCCTGGCCAGAGCTGGCCCCCTACTCTCTCAGGTAACAGGTAGCAGTTTTTTAAATGGAATCTCAGTAGGTATCAACAGGTCTTTCCTCCTTCCTCAAGATTATGGAGATAACACCCCTTATTCAAAGATGGTGGGTCCTCTGGGCCCTCCCCGACCCAGGCCAGGGAAGTTGATTCATAGAGTGTGGGGGCCATGCCCCTTCCCGGCCCTCCCCCTCTCCCCGCTGCTGCCCAGCTCTCTGACCAGCCCCCTCCCATCCCTGAGCCTGGATGCCTTAGCAGTCAACACAGACCTGCTCTTGTTAGCAGAGTGACAGGAGCGATGTGCTGGGAAACTGCACATCTACTTGGGGAAAGGGGACAAGTTTGCATCCTCTGAGCACAGATAAGGAACTTGAGGTCTCCCTGCTCCCATTAGAAAGAAAAAAATCTCTAGCTCTCAGGGATCAGCGTCTCTCAGGAGTCAGACTACCCTGGTTCTGAATCCCAGCTCTGCCATGGATAAGCTCTGTGGCCCCAGGCAAGTTACTGAACCTCTCTGAGCCTCAGACATTATATCTGTTATATCTGGATGGCTGGGAAGATTCAGCAATGCAATGTTGTATGAGATGCCTAGCCCACACCAGCCAGGGCACTGATTTGAGTCGGTGGAGCATGTAACTTGAGAACAAGTAGACCTATGGGAGCATCCTCTACTGGAGGCAGTGACAGACTAACATCTTCAGTGCTGGAGTTTTAGGATCTGGGAGTTGAGCTTGACTCAGACAGGAGCTATGGAGTTGGAAAGAAATCAGACTCATAGCACAGGAAGAGCCTCAGGCAATCCTCCTGCCCAGCACCCTGCCGCACCCCCTCTCTGCTTAGTAAGGGACTGGGTCACTAGGAGCCCAGGCTCATCTTCTGGCGCAGCCACCTAGCCTGCCTCGGCCCTCTTCCCAGCAGTGAAATGAGGAAATCGCAGGGGGGCTTTTGTGGAGTGAACTACTGTTATCAGGGTTTTTCTAACACCATTTTCTAGCTGCACAAAACTCAAGGAACAAACTAGGAATAAACCTCCCCAAGAAAGCACAGGGGCTTTTTAAGAAGGAACTTCTGAGGACTGCAGAGGGAAACCTGAATTATGGAGACACATGGTCCTGAAAAGAAAGATGCAATACTGTAAAGGTATTATTTCTCCTCAAAGTAGTTTCTAAATTTAAATGCAATCAAAGCCCCAGTAGTGGGGGTTTTTTGTTTGTTTGTTTGTTTGTTTTGGAGACGGAGTCTCTGTCACCCAGGCTGGAGTGCAGTGGCCTAATCTCAGCTCACTGCAACCTCCACCTCCTGGGTTCAAGCAATTCTCCTGCCTCAGCCTCCCGAGTAGCTGGGATTATTGGCGTGTGCCACCACGCCCACTAATTTTTGTATTTGTAGTGGAGATGGGGTTTCACCATGTTGGCCAGGCTGGTCTCGAGCTCCTTACCTCAAGTGATCTGCCTGCCTTGGCCTCCCAAAGTGCCAGGATTACAGGCGTGAGCCACCGCACCTGGCCTTTTTTTTTTTTGAGAAGGAATCTCGCTCTGTCGCCAGGCTGGAATGCAGTGGCGCGAGCTCAGCTCACTGCAACCTCCACCTCCTGGGTTCAAGCGATTCTCCTGCCTCAGCCTCCTGAGTAGCTGGGACTACAGGCATGCGCCACCACCCCCAGCTAATTTTTGTATTTTTAGTAGAGACGAGGTTTCACCATGTTGGCCAGGATGGTCTCGATCTCTTGACCTCATGATCTGCCCGCCTCGGCCTCCCAAAGTGTTTTTGTTTTTGTTTTTTTTTAAAGGGAATGTAACAGAATTATCCCAAAGTTCAAATGGAATATTTTTAAAAGATGAGTAATATTGGGCAACTTGCCCTCTGGATAGTAAGTTGTTTTATAAAGCTACAAAAATTAAAACAGTGTGCACAGGTCCTAGCATCCCACTGTGGATGAGACAGAATAGAAAGTCCAGAAATAGTCCCAGATGTGTTCCTTATAAGCACTGACATTATGGGGAAAGTAGCATTTTACACCATTGGAGGAGGAGGCTACTCACTGGGGCCCCCAACCAATGAGGGGAAAGTATGGCTAGGATCCCTATTTCATCCTGTATACTGGAATAGATTCCAGATGTGTTACAAGTGAGTAATGAGACAATAATCACCATCATCATCATTATTGCTTGCTGGATGGAGAAAGGTGAAGTCTGGATGACATTCTTATGGAGAGCAGTTTTCTTTTTTGCATTTGATCCCCCACTTCTGTTACAAATAAAACATGTAAGGCATTGTGCCAGAAAAGAATCTGCACACACAGGCTGGGAACAAGGCAGTAGTGCGGTGGCTCACAGCAGCAGCAGCAGCTATCAGGGGCAAGTGGGTTTCTCCTGCCTCTGTGGGCTGAGTGGGGCTGGGAGACGGGGCCTCCAGCTCCATAAGCCTTTTCCCTCCTCCACAGAGCCAGGAGAGGGCCCACCCCACCATGCAGGTCCTGCCTGCCTGGCTCCCAGCTCTCTACCTCCCAACGCTGGACCTGCATGGCCCAACATCTATGGCAGCGGGTTTCAAGCTTATTTTTTATAGCAGAACCCCTTTTACAAATATAACCCTGATCTGTGAATGATCAGGGAAAGGGAGGGATTAGGGCAGCCAGGGACAAGACAGAGGGCACCCTGGAGACCAAGGGGGAGAGGACTCTCCCTTCTTGCTCATCTAATGCTGCAGAAGAGGGGGCCCAAAGGCCTGCAACCCAGAGGGCCCTGGCAGGACAGAGCACTAACCCTGAGAATGGAGACCGAGTTCATCTGGGGACTCAGCTGGACACAGAGATAGAATGTTTCCCTTTGTGGCTTAAGGCGAACAGCTCTAATCCCTTTCCCATCTGGGGTTAAACAGCTCGGATTGGTGACCTCCTTTCCAGGTAACACGAGCACCCAACTCCAGGAGATTTTCCCCTGGTGTGGTCCAGGCAGAGCTTGCAAACTCTGAACCATGCAGAAGGGACTAGGGCCCCTCTCGCCCTGTGGCTCACAACCTGGCTGCCCACTGGGATGCCCTGGGGAGCTTTAAACCCTGCTGCCCCACCTTGGACCTTAAATCAGACTCTGAGGATGGGGCCGGAGCATTATGCTCCTCCAGGTGATTCTGATGGGCCCTGTCTAACCACTGTATTTTTCTGAAGCCCAAGGTGCAGCGACTTGCCAAGGGTCACATAGCAAGTCTGTGACTTAAGAAGCCCCAGTCACACCAAGGAAGACATGGAGAGGGTCTGTCGATGCTGAGGCTCTGGGGCAGCAGGAATGAGGGGAGGGGATGTGTGAGCTGAGGGTAGCAGGCAGTGGGAGAAGAGCCAGTGGAGGAGGTGCTTCTGGACCTGGAAGACTTCAGGAATTCACGGATAGCTAGCAAAGAACTCAAGGATCTTCCTCTCCCATTTCATAGCAGGGAAGACTGAAGCACAGAGTCACAGAGGACTTGGTTGGAAAGGCATCAGTCTGCTGGGTCACTTGTTAGTACCCAGGATTTCTGGAGACTGGTGGGTCAGAGGCTAGCCCAAGAGGGTGGCCCTGGTCTCTTTCTCTTTGACAAGCCTTAGGACTGGTTTCTCTCCAGGCTTACTTGGACTCTTCATGAAGGCCTTGCAAATGTTGATAACCACAGCAGCCACTGGACCAGAATCAGACTTTGTTTTGAATCCTGGTCCCCCAGGGAGGCAAGCAACTTACCCATAACCATTCTGGCTTCAGATTCCCCCTCTTTAAAATGGAATTCCTCCGGGACTGAGGGAGAGAATGTACAGGCACACCTTGCTCTATCATGCTTTGCTTTATTGTACTTCACAAATACAGCATTTTTTACTCATTGAAGGTTTGTGGCAACCCAGCATCGAGCAAGTCTATCGATGCCATTTTTTAACAGCACGTGCTCACTTTGTGTCTCGGTGTCACATTTTGGTGATTCTTACAACATTTCAAACTTTTTCATTATTATATCTGTTATGGTGATCTGTGATCAGTGATCTTTGATGTTCCTATTGTCATTGTTTTGGGGTACCATGAACCCCACCCACAAAGACAGTGAACTAAATCGATAAATGTTGTGTGTGCTCCTCCTCCACCTGCTCCATCGACCAGCATTCCCCATCTCTCTTCCTCTCTTTCTCTTCTTTGGCCTCCCTGTTGCCTAAGGCACAACAATATTGAAACTGGGCCAATTAACAGTCCTACAATGGTCTTTAAGTGTTCAAGTGAAAGGAGGAGTTACAGGTCTTTACTTTTAAATAAAAAAACTAGAAATAATTAAACTTAGTGAGGAAGGCAGGTCGAAAGCCCAGATAGGCCGAAAGCTAGGCCTCTTGCACCAGTTTGTCAAGTTGTGAATGCCAAGGAAAAGTTATTGAAGGAAATCAGAAGTGCTATTCCAGTGAACACGCATGGTAAAGCAAAACAGCCTTATTGCTGATAATGGAGAAAGTTTGAGAAGTCTGGATAGAAGATCCAACAAGCCATAACATTCCCTTAAGACAAAGCCTAATCCAGACCAAGGCTCTAAATCTCCAATGCTGTGAAGGCTGAGAGAGGTGAGGAAGCTGCAGAAGAAAAGTTGGAAGCTAGCAGAGGTTGCTTCATGAGGTTTAAGGAAAGACGCCATCACCATCACATAAAAGTGCAAGGCGAATCAACCAGGGCTGGTGTAGAAGCTGCAGCAATTTATCCAGAAGATCCAGCTAAGATCACTGATGAAGGTGGCCACACTACCACAGATTTTCCATGTAGATGAAACAGCTTTGTATCAGAAGAAGATGTCATCTAGGACTTTCATAGCTAAGGAGAAGTCAATGCATGGCTTCAAAAGACAGGCTGACTCTCTTGTTAGGGGCTAATGCAGCTGGTACTGGTGACTTTAAGTTGAAGCCTGTGCTCATTTATCATTCCAAAAAACCTAGAACCTTTAAGAATTATGCTAAATCTACTCACTCTGTGTTCTAAAAATGAAATAACAAAGCCTGGATGACAGCACATCTGTTTATAACATGGTTTACTGAGTATTTTAAGCCAACTGTTGAGACCTACTGCTCAGAAAAAAGGATTCCTTTCAAAATATTATTGTTCATTGACAAGGCAACCGGTCATGCAAGAGCGCTGATGAAAATGTACCAGGAGCTGCATGTTGTTTTCATGCCTACTAGCACAACATTTATTCTAGAGCCAAGGATCAAGGAGTAATTTTAAGTTTCAAGTCTTATTATTTAAGAAATACATTTTGTAAGACTGTAGCTGCCATAGATAGTGATTCCTCTGATGGGCAAAATACATTGAAAACCTCCGGAGAGCATTTCAGGTACATTTGTGGTTCGTGGGAGGAGGTCAAAATATCCAAGCATTTGGGAGAATTTGATTCCAACCTTCCTGGATGACTTTGAGGGCTTCAAGACTTCAGTGGAGAAGACACTGCAGATGCAGTGGAACCAGCAAGAGAACTAGAGTTAGAAAGCAGAGCTTGAGGATGAGACTGAATTGCTGCAATCTCATGATCAAACTTGAGTGGATGAGGAGTTGCTTTTTATGGGTGGGCAAAGAAAGTGACTTTTTTTCTTCTTTTTTTTTCTTTCCTTTTCTTTTCTTTTTCTTTTTCTTTTTTTTTTTTTTTTTTGAGACAGAGTCTTGTTCCATCGCCCAGACTGGAGTACAGTGGAGTAATCTCAGCTCACTGCAGCCTCCGCCTCCTAGGTTCAAAGGATTCTCCTGCCTCAGCCTCCTGAGTTGCTGGGACTACTGGGACCTGCCACCACACCCAGCTGACTTTTGTGTTTTTAGTAGAGACAGGGTTTCGCCACGTTGGCCAGGCTGGTCTCAAACTTCTGACCTCAGGTGATCCACCCACCTTGGCCCCCAAAGTGCTGGGATTACAGGCGTGAGCCACCGCGCCCATCCTAAAGTGGCTTCTTGAGGTGGAATCTACTGGCGAAGATGCTGTGAACATTGTCAAAATGACAACAAAGGATTTAGAATGTTACAGAAACTTAGTTGATAAAGCAGCAGCAGGGTTTGAGAGGAGGGACATCAGTTTTGAAAGTTTTGCTGTGGATAAAATGCTGTCAAAAATAGCATCACATGCATGCCATGGAGAAGTCTTTCATGAAAGGAAGAGTTGCCAGGTGCAGTGGCTCATGCCTGTAATCCCAGCACTTTGGGAGGCCGAGGTGGGTGGATCATGAGGTCAGGAGTTTGAGACCAGTCTGGCCAATATGGTGAAACCCCGTCTCTACTAAAAATACAAAAATTAGCCGGGCTTAGTGGCACGCACCTGTAGTCCCAGCTACTCGGGAGGCTGAGGCAGGAGAATCACTTGAACCTGGGAGGCGAAGATTGCAGTGAGCCAAGATCACGCCACTGCACTCCAGCCTGGGCAACAGAGCAAGATTCTGACTCAAAAAAAAAAAAAGAGTTAATGGATGTGGCAAACTTCATTGTTGTCTTATTTTAAGAAATTGCCACAGTCACCCCAGCCCAAGAAACCACCACCCTGAAATCAGTCAGCAGCCATCAACATGGAGGGAAGACATAAGAACACCTACCAAAGCAGGACCACTCAGTGGCCAAGGATTCTACCCTGTGCCTCTGAGTACCACTGGCCCCTGGCTTACGCTGGTTTGGGTTTCTTGTTCCTGAGGAGATTCTTTTTCTGTCTGGGATGGAAGGGAAATCTCATAGGTTCCTAACAATAAGGATGTCCTGGGAGGGAGTGAACCAATTCATACTTGATTAACAAAAGAACAAAGGACAGAAAGAAAAGGTTGTCAGAAGATGTGGGTTCCTGGTCTGGTATCTGCTGCCAGCCTGCTGTGTGGCCTCAGGCAGTTTCCAGTGGTTGTGGTTTTTGCAGTGGCAGAGGTGTTGCGTTTTTGCAACCATCAGCACATGGTGGTTCTTAGTAAAATACAGCCCATGGCTTCTCCTGCCCACCACGCAGGGTTGTTGTGAGCCTTGCTCATTCCAGCTTGGCACCTGCTGTGTGGGGTATGGGAAGCCTCACCGAACTATCAGGGAGCCCCAGGAGCCACAGGCAGTTCAGCCAGGATGGCTGTGAGTAGCCTAGGGCGAGGGAGGAGCTGCCCGTGGCCAGGGGCCAGAGGAGGCCACCCAGAGGAAGGCACTTGTCAGCAGAGACCTGAGGGGTCACCAGGACCCTTGTAGGTGAGGAGAGCATGTGGCCTTATTAGGGCAGTTAGAACTCTGCAGATGCTCAGGGAAAGGTCAGATATTCCTGAATATTCCCAGAGGAACTACTACCCAGGGACCCCTGTGTTGCTTTGGGGCCACAGCCATGGGATCCTTTAGCTCTCCAGTGAGACTAAGCTGCTTCTCAACTCTGTGTCTGAGCATGGGGCAGATTTTGGAGACAGGATTTCCCCAAGCACCACAGCCCAACCCCGGCCTCCTGTGACTTGACCTCAAGGTGGTTTTGCGTTTCCTTCAAAGATGTGGGGAGATAGTTGGAGCAGAGGAAAGAAAAGGGACAGGTGTGGAGCGGATGCAGCGGGTTGTCGGGGAGCGGGGAGGAGGGCCTGTGTGTGTGTGTGCATGTAGCCTATGTGCAGCCAGGGACACACCCCTTCCCCCTGGCCAATTCTTTTTTTTTTTTTAATAATAGAGACGGGGTCTCACTACGTTGCCCAGACAGGTCTTGAACTCCTGACCTCAGGTCATCGCCTGCCTGGGCCTCCCAAAGTGCTGGGATCACAGGAGTGAGCCCCTGCACTGGCGCCCTCTGGCAACTCCAATTGGGAGTAGGGAGAGTGCTCCTGTTCCTCCCTGCTTGCATCTCATATGCTCTCTCCCCACCCCTTCCTCCTTACTCCTTCCCTCTCTCCTTGCAGCAGCCCCTGTCAAAGGGAACAGGAAGCAGTCCACGGAGGGTGACGCCCTAGACCCACCTGCATCCCCCAAACCTGCTGGCAAGCAGAACGGAATCCAGAACCCCATCTCGCTGGAGGTGAGTTGACTCCCTCTGCTGACTCCCTGGGCACTCTTCCCTGCCACCCTCACCTGTGCTCCGCCTCCAGGTGAACCTGGACACTCCCCAAGCTCTCAGGAGGGAGATATGTTCCTACCCTGGCCCTGCCCAGCAGCCAGGGGACTTACTTGTCATCTGTGGCAGAGAGTTTCAATCTTGGTTTTTGTAGCAGAACCCTTTTTTGAAATGAAGATGACCTACCACCCTGATCCATTAAACAGACAAAAGCTCCAGCCCATGATGTAAAACCACATTCACATCCATTCATTCAGATGCATAACATGGGCGTATAAAGTCACTCGGTGAGACCAGCAAGACTGTTTCGATGAGCACAGAATCTGAAGGGGGAGCTGCAGGCAGCTTTTTCGGAGCACAGTCGGCCCCGGCTTTCATTCATTTTGGCCATTTGCTTTGGTGGCACAGTCTGGAAAAATATCCTGATTCATGCAGAAAAGTGGTTGCAAATGGTAGTTGTCTTTAGCAGCTTGCCAGGAATTCAGAATAGAGGCCTGGAGGAGCAGATTGACTTGAGCAGTTATGAGAGAGCCTTCCTTCTGAGGTCTGCACAGACCAGCCCCAGGGCCCCAGCATGTTATGATTTCATGGGTGATATGTGAGTTCCTATGTTGTTTCTTCTTAGAGGTCTTTAATACCTTAAAAACACTGAGCTATTACAGAAGCTATTTACAACTAACAAAAAAAGTAAAAACACTGAAATAAACTTGAATCAATTATTATTTTTTTTTTTAGACAGAGTCTCACTGTTACCCAGGCTGGAGTGCAGTGGCACAATCTTGGCTCACTGCAACCTCCAGCTCCTGGGTTCAAATGATTCTTCTGCCTCAGCCTCCCGAGTAGCTGGGATTACAGGCATGCACTACCAGGCCTGGCTAATTTTTGTATTTTTAGTAGAGATGGGATTTCCCCATGTTGGCCAGGCTGGTCTCAAACTCCTGACCTCAAGTGATCTCTCTGCCCACCTCGGCCTCCCAAAGTGCTGGGATTACAGGAGTGAGCCACCGTGCCCAGCTGGATCAAATATTTTTGGAACACATGGCTGTCTGCGCTGTCCTAGTCCAGATGGTTTATGTCCTGGAAGCTGTCTGTTCTCTGAGCAGGGTATGGGCCCTAGGCTCTCTGCCCCGAGCCACTCGCTGGATAAACGGCATCAGCAGAGATTGCCCCTCTGGGACCCGCAACCAAAAGTCCTGTGCCCCTGACAGCAGTGCGCAATTGAAGCCCAGAGCTTCACCTCCCTGTGCTCAGCACGGCAGGCTGGGGCCACACAGAGGCTCGGGGAACATGGGCCTCACAGAGTAACCCCAGGGCACCAGAAAGCACCAAGCACCTTTGTTCCTTCAGCTTTTCCCTCTGCGGTTATGGGGGAGTCCCAGGGACACTGAGCCTGCCCTCCTGGAGTTCCTAGTCTGGCGGAGGAGCTGACACAAATAGGACAAATCAAGAACAAGACAGAGAAGTGACCCTGGCCTGGAGAAGGCTGGGGACTGCTCTCGTGGCAGCCTCTGGAGCCAGCTGCTCTGGGGTACCCAGCCTCCGGGGAGGTCCTGGACTCTAGCTCCTGTCCTGGGGCGCTGAGAGCTGACACCTGTGTCTGCCGAACCCAGGAACAGTCACTCCCTCCCAGAACAGTGGCTAGGTGTTCTCTGGGAAACTGGGGTTGGGGTAGGTACCTTATTCCTCCTGCAGCCAGTGGTTTCTGCACATCCCCAGCAGCCAGCCACCAACTGGGGCCCATCCCAATGCCTCCTGTTCTCTCCCCAGGACTCCCCCGAGGCAGGCGGGGAGCGGGAGGAGGAGCAGGAGCGGGAGGAGGAGCAGGCCTTCCTGGTCAGCCTCTACAAGTTCATGAAGGAGCGACACACGCCCATCGAGAGGGTGCCCCATCTCGGCTTCAAGCAGAGTGCGTCCCTGGGGTGCAGGCAGGGAGGGGGGCCCAGCAGGGGACCCCGCCCAGGCAGGGCATCGGGCAGGCACTCCCACTCTGGGTGACCCAGGTTGCAGATAGAAAGGAGGCCTCCCTCCAGGCTGCCACTGGGCCAGGGGTGCACAGGGCACAGCCTGCCCGTCTATTGCAGTGGCCCTGGCTGGGTGTGTGCTGGTCTGTGCCTGGCCTGTCAGGGCACCAGGAAGGGGTGGCATGCTGTCCCCACCTCCCACAGAGACTGACGGCCAGCCTGCTCTTCTCTCCCCCAGTTAACCTGTGGAAGATCTACAAAGCAGTGGAGAAGCTGGGGGCCTATGAGCTGGTAAGGAAGGCACCTCCCAGTCCTTGCCAAACTGCATATCCCTGGGGTGAGCCTGCAGCGCTGTCCTTGCCTCTGGACAGAGGAAGAGCCAGGATCCCCAGTCCTACCCCTGCGTCCCTGCCTCCCTGCCTTCCCCGCTGGTACTCTGCTGCTCAAAGCAGCTTTTCAGCCTTCCCCATCTGTTCTGCCCGCCCCGTGTTGGGAAAACTGCTTGGGCCAGCAGTCCATGGCCCTAGGAGAGAGAATCGGCTGGCCGCTGCTGGAGCCGCAGAGCAGCTGCCAAACTGCAGTCCTTCGAGTCCCTGCGAGGGCGGCCGGAGCTGCAAGGACCCCGCCGCCAGGGGGCGCCCGCCGGCCGCGCCCTCACGAGGTGCCCTTGCAGGTGACCGGGCGCCGCCTCTGGAAGAACGTGTACGACGAGCTGGGGGGCAGCCCAGGCAGCACCAGCGCGGCCACGTGCACGCGCCGCCACTACGAGAGGTACGGCGGGGCGGGCCCGGGTGCTGGACGCCGCCTACCCTGCGGGGCTTTGGCCGACCTTGCCGGGAGGGCCGGGTGGACTCTGCCCGGAGCGGGCAGGGTATGCGCCGTCCTCAGAGCTGCGGGAGCCCAGGCTGGCTGGGCGCACTCACTGAGGGAGCTGAAGCTTTGGGACCAGGAGAGGGCCTTCCTCGGCGCCGGCGGGGAAGGGGGCTCAGAGGAGGCTACAGAGGCCCAGGGAGGGGATGGGCGCCGGCCTCCTGGGGGACATGCGTGGTTCCTCACCAGGCTGGTCCTGCCATACGTGCGGCACCTGAAGGGGGAGGATGACAAGCCGCTGCCCACCTCCAAGCCCAGGAAACAGTACAAGATGGCTAAGGAGAACAGGGGGGATGATGGGGCCACCGAGAGGCCGAAGAAGGCCAAGGAGGAGCGGCGCATGGACCAGGTAGGCCTGCGGCTGGCTGGGGCCACCCTGTCCCTTGCCTCTTGTAGCCCCCTACCCCACAACTCCCTGTGGCCGCGGAGCTGTCTGCTCAGAATACACAGAACCTGCACCCAGGGCGGGACTTGCAAGGTTCCAGGTTCTCCACAGATGGTTGTGCAAGTGGACTCTGAACTCCAGCCTGCGCCCACCCACCAGGCACCTGAGGCTGTGTCCACTCAGAGGACAGGGCACCTTTGGAAAATTCTGTACAGAGGACTGCAGGGGCTGGCGGGGGACCTGGGCAGGCCTGAAAGTGCCACCTCTTGCTCCTCAGGTCAGGATGTGGGGCTGAGGCAGTCCTGAGGCAAGACTTTCTCTCATTCCAGATGATGCCAGGAAAGACCAAAGCAGATGCTGCTGACCCAGCACCACTTCCCAGCCAGGAGCCCCCCAGGAACAGCACAGAACAGCAGGGCCTGGCCTCTGGGTCTTCTGTGTCCTTTGTGGGTGCCAGCGGCTGTCCTGAGGCCTACAAGCGGCTCCTATCCAGCTTCTACTGCAAGGGGACACACGGCATCATGTCACCACTGGCCAAAAAGAAGCTCCTGGCCCAGGTGAGCAAGGTGGAGGCCTTGCAGTGCCAGGAGGAGGGCTGCCGCCATGGGGCAGAGCCCCAGGCGTCCCCAGCTGTTCACCTCCCAGAGAGTCCCCAGAGCCCCAAAGGGCTGACTGAGAACTCCAGGCACCGGCTGACCCCTCAGGAGGGATTGCAGGCCCCAGGTGGCAGCCTCAGAGAGGAGGCGCAGGCAGGCCCCTGCCCGGCAGCCCCCATCTTCAAGGGCTGCTTCTACACCCACCCCACCGAGGTGCTGAAGCCTGTCAGCCAGCACCCCAGGGACTTCTTCTCTAGACTTAAAGATGGGGTGCTATTGGGGCCTCCTGGCAAAGAGGGGCTGTCAGTGAAAGAGCCCCAGCTGGTGTGGGGCGGAGACGCTAACCGCCCTTCTGCGTTCCATAAAGGTGGCTCCAGAAAGGGCATCCTCTACCCCAAGCCCAAAGCCTGCTGGGTGTCCCCCATGGCCAAGGTCCCAGCCGAGAGCCCCACGCTCCCGCCCACCTTCCCCAGTAGCCCAGGCCTGGGCAGCAAGCGCAGCCTGGAGGAAGAGGGTGCTGCCCACAGTGGGAAGAGACTGCGGGCCGTGTCTCCCTTTCTTAAGGAGGCGGATGCCAAGAAGTGTGGGGCCAAACCTGCAGGGTCCGGCCTGGTCTCCTGCCTTCTGGGCCCAGCCCTGGGGCCTGTGCCCCCAGAGGCCTACAGGGGCACCATGCTGCACTGCCCGCTGAACTTCACTGGCACCCCGGGCCCCTTGAAGGGCCAGGCTGCACTCCCCTTCAGCCCCCTGGTCATCCCGGCCTTCCCGGCCCACTTCCTGGCCACCGCAGGCCCCTCGCCCATGGCCGCTGGCCTGATGCACTTCCCCCCAACGTCCTTCGACAGTGCCCTCCGCCACAGACTTTGCCCGGCCTCATCTGCCTGGCACGCACCACCAGTCACAACCTATGCAGCGCCCCACTTCTTCCACCTCAACACCAAGCTGTAGGCCAGCCCATGGTGTTGTGTACACTGTGGAGTCGACAGGGGCCTACAACAGGCAGGTACTGCTGCCAGGGGGCTCTGAACTAGTGCCTGCTACCCAGGACACCCGGGCCATGCCCCTGGCTGGGCAGCCTGGCACAAGTGAAGAAGAAGGCAGTGGGAAAACTGGGTTTATCTCAAGGCAGCAGCCTGAGCCCAGGAGCAGAGGACCCAGTTGTTATAAGGCGCTGGGAGAGGATGGGCAGCTCCCACTGCCCCAGAGCGGAGCTCGAAGCACCCAGGTTGCCCACGGAAAATCCAATAAAAAGACACCAGTGTGAATCCACGTAGCCCTGAGGTGTGTGTGGTATGGGCCTTTGCAACGGCAGGCAAGGCGGGGGTGAGCTTGTGGGTGGGGCTGCCATTAGGGGGCCAAGGAGGTGGACCTGAACGCCACTACCCCACTGAAGAGCGGGCCCAAAGCAAACCCCAGCCTCTGCCGTTTAGGCAGCCTCTAACATCTGTCCTTGCCTTCAGTCCAGTTTCCTAGTTGAGCTTCAGGGAATGCTTGCTGCCTTCCTCATTGTGGAGATGGGGATTGGAGGTCCTGGGAGGGTCGGTGACTTGCCCAGGTTCCCCTGGCAGGAGGGGCAGGGGAGGGCTGCACAGGCTGTGTGACTCCCGTGCTCTGAGCGGGACCCCAGGCTGTTACCAGTGCCCCTGGGGGGTTGGGGGTGTGACCAGGAAGCCTGAGTTGGTCTGCGTTGGTGGTGGATGTAGATTTCTGGGGCCTGCAGCTGAGCCCTCTCTGCAGCCCCACCCCACTTGCCTGAACCGCATGGACAGACCAGAATGACCACTGGATTGAAATCACCGGAGGTGCCTGGAGGGAAAGGGGAGCAAATCCACTGGTCTGGGCCTGGGTGTCTGCATCGGTAACAAGCCCCTGCAGTTTCAGATGTGGTTGCCCCAGGGCTCATATTAGAATCCCTGCGGCTTGACGCCCTGCTTCCTGCAGGCCGGATGGGAGCAGGGCCTTGGCTCAGGAGGAGGGAGGGTGGGTTCTTTTCAGAGGCACTGTCCCCTCCCTCCACAAGCAGCCTGCACCCAAACAGCTTCACATGTAGTCCTGGAAAAGTGGGGCTACTGCTGGCCAAGCAGAGGGCAGATGTCGGGGCTACAGGTGTGAGCAGGTCAGTGGGTGACACGCACCACTGGAACTTACCCTGGCCGCTGGGGCTGGGATGCTCATGAACTCCGGCCATGGGAAGGGCCCCCATAGGTTGCAGGTAGAGAGGCCAAGGCCGGGGATGGGCAGGGTCTTGCTTGCCCAAGGCTACCATCCACGATGACAGAACCCAGACCAGGGAACGTGCAGCATGCCTGGCACCAGGGAGTGGGTGGCCAGGCCAAAAGGGCACCCTATCCAGCCCCTGCCCCTGGCCACCTCCTTCAGGAGCAGCCTGTGGAGGAGAGCTCAGGCACCTTCCAAGCGAGGCCTGTGACGGGTGGAGGGGCAAAGAGTGGTGCTCCCTGCTGTTGAGAGCACTCAGGCTCTGCAGGGGCATCTCCCAACCTTCCACCTCTTTCCTTCTGAGAGATGCCAAGATGTCAGCCTGAGCACCTGGAGTGACCAGCCCTGAGCTCCGCACTGCCACATGCGCCCGTGTGCAGTCCATCTCTCCGAGCTGTGGAGGCTCAGTGGATGATAAAGAACGGGGAGGGGCTGGGTGCAGTGGCTAACACCTGTAATCCCAGCATTTTGGGAGGCCAAGGGGGGTGGATCACCTGAGGTCAGGAGTTTGTGACCAGCCTGGCCAAGATGGTGAAACTCCATCTGTACAAAAACTACAAAAATTAGCCAGGCATGGTGGCGGGCACCTGTAATCCCAGGTACTTGGGAGTCTGAGGCAGGAGAATCACTTGAACTCGGGAGGCAGAGGTTGCAGCGAGCCGAGACTGCGCCACTGCACTCCAGCCTGGGCAACGAGCAAAACTCGGTCTCAAAAAAAAAAGAAGGGAGGAGCTGAGTTCTGCCCACCCTCCAGGCCCTGGGTGCTGGGCCACAGATCACTGGGGTCGGATCCCCTGCCTGGATAAAAGGGGAGGTGACCCTGTTGTGTGCAGGGTCCTGCCCAGCATGGGGCAGGGTGCCCTTCATCTACGAAGCAACATTGGCCTGGCCCTGGCACAAAGATGGGCAGGCGGCCCGTCAGCAGGACTTGAGGGCAGGCAGCTCAGCGCTGCGATCACGGCGCCCTCTGGAGGCCGATCTGAAGAATGCACTTCCCGTGGGACGTCTGTCCTGGGCAGGTGGGCGCCCTGGGCAGGACGCAGGGGACCCTGCTTTGGCACAGATGCTAGAGCCGGATGTAGTCATGCTTCCAGGGCACCCTCTGGGCCCAGTGCCCCACAGCCCGGTACTAGCTGTACCCGATTCTCGGAGGGTAGCGTCCTGGCTCACAACCCGCCTGAATGGTGGGGTCCCGTCAGTGCCTCTGATTCCTCAGTGAGCAGAGACTGAGGACAAGTACCAGGGCTGGAGACCTGAGGTTGAGGGGAGGAGGGGACGAGAATGAGTGATCTCAGACGGGAGCACCGCCATGCCCTGGGGCCTCTGGGAAGCACTAGGTTCCACCTGAGGTTGGTGGCACGGGTTTTGGGTTTCGGCGGGACCAGGCCACAAGCTGTGTGACGATTCGGAGTAGGGGAGAGTCAGGTTCCACCGAGGAGGCACTGGGCCGGGACAGTCTGGCACAGCAGAGCGGGACAGGGAGCTGAGGCGAGTGCAGGGAGCCAGGCCAGTGGAAGGCCTGGAGTCCAGGCTGGGTGCGGGGAGCCAAGGACGGTTGGCGGGACTGATGCAGCGCAGTGGGGCTCCGAGAACCGCAGGACTCAAGGAGGTGGCCTGGGGATAAGAGGCATGGCTGACGTTCCCTGTACCTGGGTGCACTCGTGGGAGTGAGTGGAGGAGAGCAGGCCAAGGAACGAAGGGGCTGGGGCGTGGGAATCCTTGGAGTCACCGCCTTTGTGCCAAGGTCAGGCAAGAAGTGGGGAGGAGGGGCTCGGGGTCCACAGCAAGGCCACGATGCAGGGGCAGCAACATGGGCTGGCAGCAACCCCCACCTCGGGACAGCGTGGAGAAGCGACCTGCACTGGAGGGAGCTGAGGGAGTGGTCTCAGGGTGGGCACAGCCATGGGCTGGCAGGGGAGGAAGCAGAGGGGCAACTGGGAGCCCAGGCAGGGAAGTGAGAGACCTCCACCACTCAGCAAAGGTTTACCCTCAAAACCAGAGGGTGGGCCAGGTGCGATGGCTCATGCCTGTAATCCTAGAACTTTGGGAGGCCAAAACAGGCAGATCACCTGAGGTCAGGAATTCGACACCAGCCTGGCTAACATGGCAAAACCCCATCTCAACTAAAAATACAAAAATCAGCCGGGCGTGATGGCATGCACCTGTAGTTCCTGCTACCAGGGAGGCTGAGGCAGGAGAATCACTTGAACCCAGGAGGCGGAGGTTGCAGTGAGCTGAGATTGTGCCATTGCACTCCAGCCTGGGCTACAAGAGTGAAACTCTGTCTCAAAAAAACAAACAACAGAGGCTGCTGACAGTGGCCTGAGATGTGTTTAATTTTTTTTTTTAAGAGATGGGGTCTTGCAGTGTCACCCAGGCTGGAGTGGTGCTGTGGCTATTCACAGGCAAGACCATCATGCATTGCAGCACCCAAACTCCTGGACTCAAGCAGTCCTCCCACCTCAGCCTCCCAAGCAGCTGGGACTACAGGTGCATGTCACGGCAGCCAGCTAAATGTTTTTAAATAGTTGCCAGAATTTAAAAATCAGATTTCACATAAAAATGTGGGTATCAGGCTTCTCTTTAAAAACCAGAATTTTTGGCCAGGCGCTATGTCTCACGCCTGTAATCCCAGCACTTTGGGAGGCCGAGGCAGGCAGATCACCTGAGGTCAGGAGTTCAAGACCAGCCTGGCCAACATGGTGAAACCCCGTCTCTACTAAAAATACAAAAATTAGCCGGGCGTGGTGGCAGGCGCCTGTAATCCCAGCTACTCCGGAGGCTGAGGCAGGAGAATCACTTGAACCTGGGAGGCAGAGGTTGCAGTGAGCCAAGATCGTGCCATGCACTCCAGCCTGGGCGACAGAGTGAGACTGTCAAAAAAAAAAAAGGAAGAAAGAAAAGAAAGAAATCAGCACGTGCTACACATCAGGGCTCCCCCCGCCCCCAGCCAGGGGTCAATCACCTAACAGCACGCACTGCCGACTCAGCTCCAACTGCCTTCTCTCCCTGGGGTCCCGCTTCAGGATGCATTGTGAGGGGAGAATCTTATCTGAGGCCTCTGCTTACCCGGTAACCTCTGAGGCTGTTACCTCAGAGGAGGTGTGTCTTCCGTAGACCAAGACAGTAGCTGCTGTGCTGGGTGACGCCAGGTGCATACCCTTCTCTTGGCCTCCATTCCCTCACCTGTGATATGGAAATGAGTCACTCCTACCTCAAGAGTGGTGGGCATTTAGTGAAAGTGCTCTGTAAACTAAAGTTCTGATGAATGTGGATCATCACCTCCTTCCCCACCAGCAGTTCTGCTCTACCAGCCTGACCGCCCCGTGCCCTGCCCTTTACCTCACTGCTTTTTAACATTCCCGCTCTCCCGCCTGGCTTCTGACTCACAGTCACACTGAACTTTGGATCCTGTCAGCATCTGAGTCAAGTATGGCAAGTCACTTCCCCCCAGGTATCAACTTTGACTGATGGTGGCTGTCTGCAGCTTGGGGCTGACTCAGTGTGACAGTGATGCAATTGATTAGTAATGTCTGCCAAGGCCACAGGCAGCGGTGCGGAGGCTCACCAGCCACTTAGTTGCCATCTCTGTCTACATGCATGATGATCTAATCGTGCCTGATGATGGTCTGTCTGATGTAGGTCCTGACCTCACTGCCACATCTTAGCCACAGCTCCTGTGCAGAGCTGCCTAGTTTCTCTCCCACATGAGCAAGGGTTGTGGAGGAGCAGGTCTTGGATTGGGCAGTCAAATCCTTGGCCTTGAGCTACAGAGTTTGATCCCTGGGTAGTCGTCAGGGAGGCTGCCTCTTGGGAGAAACCCAGGTAGGCTGTCCAAAAACCAGAAAGGTCTTTCCACAGCAGCTGGAGAGGGATGATCTAGGATCCACACCAATAGGATAGAGTATAAGTGGAACAATTCTGGTGTCATTTGTAGAGTAACTGCAGTGCTTTTGAGCTGGGGCCTGTGGCCTTGAGTATGGGGATAATCAGTAGATGATAAATTTTTTAAATCATTTCAAGGCCGGGCACGGTGGCCCACGCCTGTAATCCCAGCACTTTGGGAGGCCGAGGTGAGCAGATTGCCTGAGGTCAGGAGTTTGAGACCAGCCTGGCCAATATGGCAAAACCCCGTCTCCATTAAAAATACAAAATTTAGTTGGGCATGGTGGTAGGTGCTATCAGCTACTTGGGAAGCTGAGGCAGGAGAATCGCTTGAACTTGGGAGGCAGAAGTTGCAGTGAGCCAAGATCACGCCACTACACTCCAGCCCGGGTGACAGGGCGAGACTCTGTCTCAGGAAAAAAAAAAAAAAAAATCATTTCAAAGTCCAGCTCTGATCAGCTCACCCCTCTGCATAAACCTGGTCCATGACCTTCCACTGACCTCAAGTTAAAACCCAAATGCCTCAGTCTGGAAGGCTCTTCATGGGCTCTGCTTCCTTCCCCAGGCTCCTGGCTCACCTCCACCCCACCCTCCACCACCCACAGCACCCAAACCCCTGCAGTTTCTGTCTTGGCTGATCCCTGAGGCCCCACTCCAGCTCCCTGGCCTGCCTGGCTGTCCCTCAACTATAGAAGGACATGCCACTCCTTTCACCCGAAAAACATGTCACTGCTCCCACTTTTCCTTCCAGCCTCTCAGAAGTTTCTTCCTCCAGGAAGCCTTCCTGGCTTAGGTACCCATCCCGTGTGCCCCTACAGCATCCAGTGCTTCTCCACCCGCCACTGTGGACCCATGACTTCCTGCATCCCTGCCTTCCCAGACTGTCAACTCCCTGAGGGCAATTCACGATTCCCGTTCACCACCAACCCCAAGTTATACCTAGCCCCATACGACAGGGGTCCCTTCCTTTCTTTTCTTTTCACCTAAATTATTTTGGTACATGTGCCCACTAGCAACATTCAGAAACATCCCTGGTATTCCTCCGCGTCCCAGTGGTTCCCAGAGGGCTCCTGCATGCTCAGGAGGCAGCCCCAGGTTCTTTCCCACTGCATTTGCCCAGATCGCTCTGGCCCTGGGGAGGAGCGGCTCTTCCCACCAATAACCTCCGCCACATTCCCATCTGGCTTTGGAGAAGGGAGAGAACCCGCCCTTGATTCTTCCTTCAGAAATACAGCCACACCCCGTCCCTTCCCCTCCCCACCCTGCACACACCCATGAGACCGAGCAGGGACATTTAATAAGGTTTTACTAAAGTTTCTGGAAAGCAGCAGAAGGGACTCAAAACAAGGACACAACCCACAACTGCTTCTTGAAGCTGCCTCAACCCCAGCTATGCAGCACATGCCACACCCAGTTCCTGACGTGGGTCCGCATCAGAGTCTAGACCTCCAGACACCACCTGCAGCTCCAGGAGGCTCCACACGTTGGAACTCACTACTCAGAGAAAGGAGGAAGGCTCGTTTTCCTCCACCCTCATTGGGGGCTTTTCTCTAAATCCTCATTTCTAGGATCGACCTCCTAGCTGTTGGTCGACAGTGCCTGACCAATGGTGAAAATGCTTGAATATCTCCTCTGCTGAGAAGCAGCCATCCAAATCAAAATGGTGGGTTTGGGTTGACTTCTGCCACTCCCCCACACTGACCCCCGCAATATGTTGAAGTCCTAACCCCCAGCACTTCAGAATGTGGCCTTATTTGGGAATAGGGTTGTTGCAGGTGTAATTTGTTAAGATGAGGTCACAGTGAAGTAGCGTGGACCCTCATTCACTATGACCGGCATCCTTGTAAGGAGATAGCCGTGTGAAGACATGAACACAGGGAGAGTGCCACGTGAAGACAGGACTGGAGCGACGCGGCTGCAAGGAATGCCCGAGATTGCCAGCAAACCAGCCGCAGCCAGGAAGAGGCAAGGAAGGATTCCCCTCCAGGAGCATGGCTCTGTCAACACTGTGGCCTCCAGAACTGGGAAAGTAGAAATATCTGTTGTTTTATTGATTTACTTTTGAGACTGGGTCTCGCTCTGTTGCCCAGGCTGGAGTGCAGTGGTGTGATCTTGGCTCACTGCGGCCTCAACCTCACAGGCTCAGGTGATCCTCCCACCTCAGCCTCCTGAGTAGCTGGGACCACAGGCATGTGCCACTACACCTAATTTTGCATTTTTTTTGTAGAGATGGGCTCTCACTATGTTGCCCAGGCTGGCCTCAAACTCCTGAGCTCAAGCAATCCACCCACCTTGGCCTCCCCAAGTGCTGGGATTCCAAGCATGAGCTATGCACCTACCTCTGTTGTTTTAAACCACCTGGTTTGAGGTACTTTGTCATGGCAGCCCTGGGAAACAAGTGCAGTGATATTCAAGGGATGACATACCTGTCTGCAGGATGAACACGAATCACAATCAATACCACTTTCCAGGAGGCAACGAGAATGCACATAGGCAGGACAATAATATTTATTCCGTACTGACTTTGCTCCAGGCTTGGTGCTAGGCAGGTCCCAGGAGTTATTTCTTCTCACAGCCCCCTTAGGAGAAAGTTCTGTTCTCATCCCGGGTTCCACAGGATGAGGCTAAGGGAGATTGAGTTGCCCGAGGTCACTGGCAAGAAAAGGGACAAGATCTGAACCCCAAGAGCCCAGTGCTTCACAATGCTAAGATGCAGGGACTGTGGCTCAAGGACGATGGGCTAGTAGGAGAAGC
This sequence comes from Homo sapiens, assembly GCF_000001405.40. Taxonomy (NCBI): domain Eukaryota; kingdom Metazoa; phylum Chordata; class Mammalia; order Primates; family Hominidae; genus Homo; species Homo sapiens. The sequence continues at coordinate 96,560,222 of NC_000002.12, forward strand.
CAGAGAGGGACTTCAGATGGTCTGCCATGGCTGGATTCTTAGCTTTCCTCCAGTTTAAGTGTGTTGGCAGGATCTGCCCTTTTCAGCCCGTCTTCAGTTTCTCTATTCTGCTTCTCTGAGGAGGAGCTGAGGAGTAAACTGCTAATGCGTGCAAGCGTGTGTGTGCTGTGCGTTTGCATGTGTAGCTGTAACATCGAATAAAAGATTGTCCATTTTGGCCAGGCGCCGTAGCTCATGCCTGTAATCCCAGCACTTTGGGAGGCCAAGGCGGGCGGATCACCTGAGGTCAGGAGTTCGAGATCAGCCTGGCCAACATGGTAAAACCCCATCTCTACTAAATATACAAAAATCAGCCGGACGTGGTGGTGCATGCCTGTAATCCCAGCTACTCAGGAGGTTGAGGCAGGAGAACTGCTTGAACCCAGGAGGTGGAGGTTGCAGTGAGCTGAGATCGCGCCACTGCACTCCAGCCTGGGTGATGCAGTGAGACTTAGTCTCAAAAAAAAAAAAAAAGATTGTCCATTTCCCCCATCTCCCTTCTTACCACATCCCCACAGTTCCCAAACCAGAAAACTTGGGGACATAGTTTGACAGGAATTCTCTAATTTAGGAATTGAGATATGTGAAAAGAAAAAGAAAACAACATTTTCTTTCTTTTTAAATTACAAATATATAGTGAGATGGAATTTAAAAAAAAACAGTGCTACACATTGCTGTTGAGAGTATAATTTACCACAGGCCTCTTGCATATTTCAAGAGCTGTAAAAATATTCATCCCATTTGACGGCAGTCCCGCTTCTGGGAATTTATTGTAGAAAATGATTGGAGATGCTCAGCAATGGAAGAAGGGGTGCAGAGGTGACAACCAAGTCTCGGGTAAGAAGACTGCATTTGTGGTGTTGAAATTATGAACAGGAGGACTATGTAGCAAAATGGAAAACATATATATATTATATATACACACACACACACATACACATTCATAATATATATCATGTGTTATTTCTATTACTTTTAAAGTGAGCATTCAGCAGTAGTCGTTGAATGCAAGCAGCAAGAACCATCTGGGTAATTTAAGCCAGAAAAAGGGGATGTGTAGGGAGTACACAGTGTCTCACAGTCTTGAAGGACTGGACAAAGATCAGGCCTTGGAAAGCACAGGCCAGATCAGTGCATGGAGATGGAGGGGCAGAGATGGGGCAAGTCTCCTTGGGGAGGTGGGGTCAGAACGAATTGGTGCCCACCATCTCTGCCCTGTGTCCCTAGGCTCAAGGAGTGTGACTAGACGCTTGGTCAGGAGCATCGCTGGGGACAGTGTGGCAGACCCTGCTAACTGTCCATCTCACATCCATTTCCCACTTTGTCCTTGCTAACAGAATCCCAGCTTGGTTCAGAGCACGACCCCAGGTAACAGGACATGAGTGGTGGAGGCCTCACACGGTTTGGCCAATCATTAACAATTCTGTCCCCCACATCCCCCACCACCTTGGCAGCTAGGAGCCACATGGCCCAGCTCCAGCCAGTGAGATGTTATGGACCAAACTGTGTTCCTCACAGTCAGATGCTGAAGCCCTAACCCCTAATATGGCTGCATGTGGACTTAGGGCCTTTAACAAGGCAATTAAGGTTAAATGAGGTCATAAATAAGGTTAAATGGGGCCAAATCTGATAGGACTGGTGTCCTTATAAGAAGAGAAGACACCAGAACTCACTCTCTTGCACATGAGCAGAGAGGACGAAGCAAGAAGGCATCTGTCTGCAAGCCTAGAAGACAAGCTTCCTCCAAAACCAACCCTGCCAGCATCTTGAACTTACACTTCCGACTTCTAAAACTATGAGAAAATAAGTGACTGCTGTTTCAGCCACCCAGTCTACGGTGTTCTGTTTGGCAGCCCGAGCTGACTAATGCAAGATCTAAGGGATATCTGCTGGGAGGGACTTCCACATTCCGGGGAGCTTTATCCCATGGAGAATCACTCCCCAACGGGTGCACGGGTGCATCCTCATCAAGGAGCCTCCAACACTCACCCCACTGAATTTCAAAGCTGCCAGGGACCAGTGGCTCTTAGGTGCCTCCCGCGTTCCCCTTTTTGAATAGGAATGTCCACTGCAGTTATCCTATGCCGGTCCCACCACTGTGGTTGAACATGTCAGGGATAGATAAAAATTCCTTTTAGTTCACAAGTCTTTGGATATAGAACTACTATACTTGAGAAATTATGCCCAAGAAGCCTCATCCACATCTGGTGACATCTTCAGGTAAATGATGACATCCTGGATTTTAAGCCAATGCTGGAAAGGGTAAGGCTTCTGGGGAATCTTTAAACAGGGTGAGTATATTCTGTATATGGGACTGTAGGCAGAATAACAGCCTCCTAAAGATGTCCACATCCTAATCCCCAGGACCTATGACTATATTAGGGGGCATGGCAAAGGGGAATTCCGGTTGCAGATGAAATTATGGTTGCTGGATATGAATAGACTATCCTGGATTGTCAAGAAAATACTGGGTGGGCCCAATGTCACATGAGCGTCCTTAAGAGTGGAAGAACAAGGTGGGAGAAAGAGACTCAAAAGGCAGCAGAGGAAGGACTTGGCCCAGCATTGCTGGCTTTGAAGACAGAAGAAGGAGCCACAAGCCAAGGAATGTGGGTGCCTCTTAGAAGCTGTAAGTCAAGCAGACAGATTCTCCCCTAGACCCTCCAGCAGGAACACAGTCCTACTGACACCTGATTCTAGCGCTGTGAGACCCATACTGGACTTCGGACCTCCAGAACTGCAATATAATAAATTCGTGTTGTTTTAGGTCACTAGGCTTGTGGTAATTTATTAGAGCAGAAATAGAAGACTAATACAGTGAGGGGTGTAAATAATCTGTGGCCAGCAGGCAGACTGTGGTAGCGGAAAATATGCCCACAAAATCTTGTACTCCTTTCAGAAAGTGGAGCCTAATTCCCTTCCTCTTGAGTGTGGGCTGGAATTAGTGACTCATCTAACTAATGAACTGATAAAATAAGGCAGAAGTGATGGTGTGTGACTTCTGATACCAGATCACAAAAGGAGCAGCTTAATGGAAGTCTGGGACAGCTCCCCATGCCATCGTGGGCTCAGAAATGGACGTACTAACTTAGGGACACCCATGTCAAACAAAGACCACACCAACAGCTTATGAAAACCAATGAGTGATTTGGAAATGATCAGAGGGATCTGATGAATGGTTTGTTTTACAACTTACATCACTTGGCAAGCAGTTTTATAAGAAATAGTTGTCCCTCAGTATACATGGGGAATTGGTTCCAGGACTCTCCCCCCATACCAAAATCCGTGCATGGCCAAGTCCAGAAGTTTGCCCTGCAGATCCCTCCTATATAAAAATTCTGCCCTCTGACGAGGCGAGTTTTTGCATCTTGAGAATACTGCATCTTCCACCTGTATTTGTTTGCAGATAGGGAATCAGTAAATACCAAGAGCCGACTACATCTTTTGAAAAAAATCAAAATATAAGCGGACCCAAGCGCTTCAAACCCATGTTGTTCAAGGGTCAACTGTGTTTATATTATTTAGAGAATAAAAAATATATATTTTATATTTAGATTATTGTAGTTATTACATATTTGACCATCACTCCTATGTAAATATTTCTTCCTTTCCAAACCCCTTGTTTCATCCCCTTCCTTTCCTTTTAAGCACTGGTCTCTGTGCACAGAATGCCAGGGATAGACTAACACAAACTGTCGTGAGAAACAGAAAGAAAAGCTGGCTGCTTCTCAGCACTTGTCAGTGGGACAACACAGGGCCATCCTTTGCCCTTTTTGGGAAGAAGGGAGGTCCTGAGAGTAGCCTTCTATGCAAATTGAGAACTTTGAGAAGTGGGTTGGTGGAATGATGTCCCTGTCCCTCTGAAGCAGGGTCCAGTCTCAGTGCCACAGTGCCCACCATGGAAACATGGCCCCAGGCCCATGACACTAGGACATGTCTCCTGCCTGGTTCCCTGGAGGGCGAGGCTGGGCCGTGACCGCCAGCTGTAGCATTCAAGTCTGGAAGCCTGGACCAACAATAGGTTTTGTGCCTGGTTTTGTGTGAATTTGCATCAACCTTGTTGCAGACTCCTTGACGCCTTCCCCTTCAAACACAGATGCCTGAGCCTTGGCCAGCTGATCAAATGCTTCTTTTGATCACTGACATCTTTGTGGCTGCAGTAGCCAGCCCATGGCCATCTCCAGAGTGGTCCAGTACTACCCGACCCCTGCCAGGGAGGGGCACCATCTAACTGGACTAATGGCGCTCAGTCAGGGTCATCGCTGTGCTCCGGGGAGACCCTGCATATCCCAGAGGATCCTAAATGTTTTCTGGAGTTGGAGAGAATTCCGAGAATCCTCCTCATAAATCCTTCTTTGGATATAAGCTAGCCAGATGTCGTTTCTGCCATTTGCCACTCCAACACCATCAGCCAGATATCCAGGTGTCCCAGATGGTGAACATTCAAGAGCCCCAGCCATGGGTCCAGGCAGCAGAGGCACGTCTATGGAGATAGGCTGGGCCTTGTCCCCTGCCAAGTCAGTGATGAGTGGGAGGACTCACTGGCCCTTGCACTGAGCAAGGCCACCTGACAGGCCAGCCTAATCACCCCCCTGTGGCCAATATAAGGATATTGATCTTTAGTGGCCAGAATCTCTCCTCCATCACTTTTTATGTATTTTGTTGTTGGTGGTGGTGGTGGGGTGTGTGTGTGTGTGTGTGTGATTTTCTGCCGAGTCCTTCATCTTGGATCCTCCACCACTTTTGCCAAGGAACACCTTCCAGCTCACAGGTAAGGGAAGAACTCTTTCCAGACAATAAGTCAGGAACCTCTGACTTGTGATGAGGAGAGGAGGGCTTGCCACATAGTGTAGAATTTAAGTCACTCCAGAATTTTCAGGACGATGGCTTTGGATCCAGCTACACTCAAGAACTAGGACCAAGAAGCAGATCTGATTGGTATTCCCTAGGGAAAACCTAGCCGTCATTTGCATGCAAACAATGCCTGGCATGTACGAGGCAGCCCTTTCAGGCTTCTCTGCCCCGTTGTTGGGCCCTGTCAAACCTGTGCTTGTATAGAAAGCAATGGGATGCTAAATCAGATAGAGTGGGATTAGAATTTGCATGAGAGAAAGGGAAAGGGAGGGGCAGGAACGAGGGAGAGAGCTGAAATCTGTCCTCCCTAGGAGAGTGGCTTCCATTGACAGGCAGGGAGAATGAGGGAAGGTCATCAGAAACACCAGATGCAAGTCTGTCACTGATGGCTACCCAATATCCTTGAGGGCATCTGGACCGCCCCCATTTTGGTCCTTTCCTATATTTTGAGTACCATCTTCCCAAGGGACAAGCTATAAAAACCTGCATTCCCAAACTCCCTTGCTGCCATTGAGCAGGCATGTGACTGAGATACCAACCAATCAGACATGCACACAGACTGGCAAAGGAGACACTGGAGGAAGTAGCCAAATGGATTTAATGGCCCAGAGGTCATGTCCTGATGGGTGAATGACAGCACAGCATCTAGTTTTCTATTCTTCTCTGCTTGTCTATTTGAACTCAAATTAATTCAGAATTTGTACCCTCTGGGAAAAGAAAAACTCACTGATATGAAATGTTTGAAAACTGTGAGTTTTCTTTGTTTATGCTTTTATTTATTTATTTATTTATTTATTTATTTATTGAGATGGAGTCTCACTATGTCGCCAAGCAGGAGTGCAGTGATGCAATCTTGGCTCAATGCGACTTCCACCTCCCAGGTTCAAGCAGTTTTCCTGCCTCAGCCTCCCAAGTAGCTGGGACTACAGGTGTGCACCACCATGCCCAGCTAATTTTTTAATATTTTCAGTAGAGACAGGGTTTCACCATGTTGGCCAGGATGGTCTCTATCTCTTGACCTTGTGATCTGCCCGCCTCGGCCTCCCAAAGTGCTGGGATTACAGGTGTGAGCCACCGCGCCCGGCCAAAGATGTGTTTTATCAGAATACTTTCCTATGCTTTATGTTGACTTTACCATGTCCTTAAGTAAGAAGAGAAAGTCTTACCACTTTTATAAAGAGCTAAGGTTCTTTACAATCATGTTACCTCCCATGTTTACTTTTAAAATATTTTCATTGTCACTTTAGCTAAATGGGGTAGCTAAGTATTGTTTCTCAGTAATCTATGACCCTAACTTAAGTATTCAAACCTCCTGACAGCTTTTGATATTCTACCTTTCCCAAATCAAATCCTAAATGGTATCTTTCACACCTACAACTGTCTTTGAGATTTCCCAGAGGGTCCCTGGAAAATCACTTAGGATTTGTTCTTTCACCTTGTAAAAGGAGAGGTACTAGAAGTAATTCAGCTTATCAGATATGTTATTAATAAATTGCATGGGAAGCTTTTGAGGTAGGAGGCAGGATTAGACTCTGGGGGTGGAGACTTGGACAAGAACGAGATTGAAGACTAGCTAAAACAGGGCCAGCGCAGAAGCAGCTTTCCATAAGACTGGCACACCCAAAGGTTACTGCCCCTTTCTGTGGCAACCACCCAACGACCCAGAAGTTACCACTCTTTTCTAGAAATGTCTGCATAACCCACCCCTTAATTTGCATATAATTAAAAGTGGGTATAAATACGACTGTAGAACTGCCTCTAAGCTGCTACTCTGTGCACACTGCCTATGGGGTAGCCCTGCTTTCTAAGGTGCAGCACTTCTGCTGCCGCTGTGCACTGCCGCCTCTATAAAAGTTGCTGTCTCACCCCACCGGCTCACCCTTGAATTCTTTCCTAGACAAAGCCAACAACCCTCCTGGGCTAAGCCCCAATTTGGTGGGGGTGGGAGGGGGCTCGCTTGCCCTGGATCACTTTGTCAAATCAGAAGAGATGCTTTTTTTTTTTTTTTTTAAGACAGAGTCTCGCTCTGTGGCCCAGGCTAGAGTGCAGTGGTGCGATCTCACCTCACTGCAACCTATGCCTCCCAGGTTCAAGCAATTCTCCTGCCTCAACCTCCCGAGTAGCTGGGACTACAGGCATGCAGCACCATGCCTGGCTAATATTTGTATTTTTTGTAGAGACAGGATTTCACCATATTGGCCAGACTGGTCTTGAACACCTGACCTTGTAATCCACCCACCTCGGCTTCCCAAAGTGCTGGGATTACAGGTGTGAGCCACTGCACCTGGCCTTTTTTTTTTTTTTTTTTTTTGAGTCGGAGTCTCACTCTGTCGCCCAGGCTGGAGTGCAGTGGTGCGATCTCGTCTCACTGCAAGCTCCACTTCCTGGGTTCAAGCGATTGTCCTGCCTCAGCCTCCTGAGTAGCTGGAATTACAGGCATGCGCCACCATGCTTGGCTAATTTTTGTATTTTTAGTAGAGATGGGGTTTCACCATGTTGATCAGGCTGGTCTCAAACTTCTGACCTTGGCCTCCCAAAATGCTAGGATTACAGGCGTGAGCCACCGCGTGCTGGCCTGGGCTATTATTAATATAAAATTTTCAGAAATTGTATGCTTTATGGGAAATTTCTAGACAATCATCAATGTCTTTGCTGTCCATGATATGTTTATGATTCCTGGTGCTCCTTTGCCTAATATTAGACAAAAACAGTATAGTGCTATCAGTTATAATTTGTTAGTTTTTAAAATGTTAACTTGGTTGCAGCTTTAATTCTCTAATGTGAATCTACTATCTTCTGGGCCAGGGTTTTTAATTGAGGATTCACATCACTTAACTATGGAGTTTTATTAATATACAGGTGTCTAGGACCTAATCCAGATTTGCTGAATCTCTTTCCTCAAGTCAAATAAAAACAAACCCAGACTACGTAAGGAGACTTTATTGGAGCAGTTATTGCAAGGGGGTGTGGTAAGGAACTATTGCCGGGGGAGGTTGCTCTGACCATAAGATCTGCAAGTATCTGAGAGGGTGGGCAAAGTGCTTTTATTTTGTAGAGAGGAGTAAATAAGGCTAGAAAGATCCAGGTATGGGAAAGTGGAATGGGAGGGTGGCATTACAGGATAGCAGACCCAAGAATGTCTTATCCCAAAGCCAGTCTATTTTCCTCCCACTCCGCCCCCGCTTTTTTTTTTTTTTTTTTTTTTGTGTGTGAGTCTCACTCTGTCAGCAAGGCTGGAGTGCAGTGGCATGAATATGGCTCACTGCAGCCTCAACCTCCTGGGCTCAAGTGATTCTCCTACCTCAGCCTCCTGACTAGTTGGGTCTACAGGCATGCACTACTACATCTGGCTAATTTTTAAATTTTTTGTAGAGATGGAGTCTCACTTTGTTGCCCAGGCTGGTCTTGAATTCCTGGGCTCAAGAAATCCTCCAGGCTCGGCTTCCCAAACTAAGGGGATCACAGGTGTGAGCCACTGCACCTAGCCCAGTCTGTTTCCAGAAGTAGCAGGACTGCCTGCTGGCTCAGGTTGAGGGTGGGCCAATACTTAGGAGCCTTGGGGGAAGCAGAGAATATGAACCAAAGATTTTGATTTTGTTCCCATTTTGTCCAGTGGGGACAAAAGAGTTCAGCTAATCATTTATGAGGCAAAGAATGGGAATTTGGAGAGTCTGTCTGACTTGGTCAAGGGTAAACAAGGAGCATTTGGGAGTCTTATCCAAGTCATATAGGGAAGGGTGGTCTTCACAGTGAGCTGTTTCCTGGAGGGCAGAGTGCGGGGATTTCTCAGCCTTTGCCGTTTTCCAGAAACACAGGGCTCTCACAAAACTTAACACTGTCATTTGTTATATACTTGGTATATTCATGATATATTATGTCCATGTTTGTTATGTTTTATATCTTAAGATTTTTTTCCCTGAAAAGGTTCACTAATTTTTATAAATTAGATATAACATCTACTTTTCTTTGAAAATAGGGTCAATCATTATATTCATAGATATTTTGCCTAAAAATATTTTGACTGACTTCATCTTGTTTTGCATGCCCCAAAAACTGCAAATATTCTTGAGTTGCATTATCTTTGTAATGAACTCTCATCATGCCTTTCACTTTTGATAATTATAAGCAGTATGTTAACCATAGTCATTTTAAGTCTTCTGTTATCTACCAATAGTGTTCTGTTTTACTCTGATGCTTCTCTGAAAGGACTTGAAATCACTTCAATAAAGAAGGACTGTCTCAGAGCTCCGTGGAAAAGGACTATGCCAGGTACCTTTGGGTATAGACTTCTGATGGCACTACTTAAGCAACTTTGAGACCACATAATTGAACTGAGTCAGGATTTCTAAAACTCTAGTTGAGAAACAGATGGATTCATGAGACTACTAACCTAAGATTGAGCAGAACAGGAATTAATGACATAGGACTGAATGAACTGATGGGGGATGGTTGTGGGTTTTGCTTGGACTATTGTTGTTTTAATGTTCTATTTTCTGAATACATAAAGAGCTCCTTTATCTTAAGCTATCTATAACTCATAACAATTTAGTAGACTATGTTCTTTAAAATGAACATTTGTGTATTGGTCCATTCTTACACTGCTATAAAGAACTATCTGAGACTGGGTAATTTATGAAGAAAAGAGGTTTAATTGACTCATAGTTTGGCAGACTGTACAGGACGCATGGCTAGGAGGCCTCAGGAAACTTACAATCATGGTGGAAGGCCAAGAGGAAGCAAGCATGTCTTACCATGGCGGCAGGAGAGAGAGAGAGTGATGGGGGAAGTGCCACACATTCTCAAACAAACACACCTTGTGAGAACTCACTCACTATCATGAGAACAGCAAGGGGGAAATCTGCCCTCATGATCCAATCATATCCCATCAGGCCCCTCTGCTGACATGTGGGAATTACAATTTGACATGAAATTTAGGTGGGGACACAGAGCCAAACCATATCAATTTGCAAATGGTGTATTTTTCTTACTGCCTGATCCTTCCAGAATTTGGAGTATTCTTAATTTCATTGCAATATAATTATTTGCACAGGTTCAATAAGAATCTGTCCTCCTTGTTTACGGGACAGAATTAGAAACATTGGTTATGCAACAAAGGCCTTTAAATCTTTTGTCATCTACAGATAGTTTTTTTCTTTTACTCTGGTGCCTCCCCGAATGTCATGTTTGAGAATGATGCTCATTTAATCAGCTATGACCAGATACTTTAAAGAACTAAGGTTGACTTTTTGGAGCCAATGTTTACAAAATGCTCTTGGGAAAACTGGCACTGGAGTACATGGTTTCAGCCTTACAGGTGAGTAAGAAAGGTCACTTCCTGACAGTACCAGGAAGCTTAGGATATTCTGGAGACTCAAGAAAAGAGGAATTTGTCCAAATTTATAGGTACTGCATTTAAAGTATGATGGCAAGTTCTTAGCTTGGCTTCCTAGCCTCAAGAGAATTTTAAAAGCTCAGTCTGAAAGTCCTGATGAAAACTTTCAACAAAGTAAACTTAAGAAGACCTGTGTGGCAAATTACCATTCTTACTCTACCTATGTGAGTAATCAGACAAGTCTAATGAGACCAGCCTTATTTTGTGATCAAGTGTTGATCAAGAATAATAGTTTTTTGTTTGTTTCTTTGTTTGTTTTTTTGAGACAGTCTCACTCTGTTGCCCAGGCTGGAGTGCAGTGGCATGATCTTGGCTCACTGCAACCTCTAGCTCCTGGGTTCAAACGATTCTCGTGCCTCAGCCTCCTGAGTAGCTGGGACTACAGGCACATGCCACCACGCCCAGCTAATTTTTTTTTTTTTTTGTATTGTATTTTTAGTAGACATGAGGTTTCACCATGTTGGCCAGGCTGGTCTCGAACTCCTGACCTAAAGTGATCCGCTTGCCTCAGCCTCCCAGAGTGCTGGGATTACAGAAGTGAGCCTCCGCGCCAAGAATAACAGTTCTTTGAGATTATTTTTTATCAAGATGGAAGTGACTGTAGAGAGGAATTTTGTGTTTCAATGGAAATCTATGCACACCCATCTGGGTTATCAGATTCTGGCTCTGGTCATTGCTGTTCATTTTTTTATAAATCACAGGTAACTGATGGATATGCAAACTGTTTTGTATGGTAAAGATTTAACTGACTTCCTTTCACCCTATGGAAAAAACAATTTTAGTACTTACCTGCAAATTGGACTGGATGCTGTCACCTTGCCTAAATTGTGGATTCTTATCAAATTTTCAATTCTTCCAGATGTCATCATTATCTGGCTATGGTTATCCAAACTAACATTTTTAATTTTCCTACCTCCTGCCTGACTCAGCATCACCAGGAACTGAATGAAGGCTCACCATCTAGATTCTACGTCAGGATTCCAGGTACCCTTGCACTGGCTCTTTGTCCAGGATCTGCAGAACCCCCTATAACCTACAGCCCAAAGACTTGATATAAACCTCAAAGGACTCATCACCATGGCAGACCATGCAGGGGCTGAATTCTCCCTGCACAGGCCACTGTCTGGACTACTAAGGAAGACCAGTAAAATGCTTGTATATGCATGTCTCTATATGAGCAAGAACCAAGACTGACCAACACCAAGAGCATCACCATCCTAGCTTGAGCTTCAAGAAACTCAAGAAGCACTGCTGCAAAACCAAAAGGTTTTCTTCCATTGACCACTTGGAATCCAGTAAACAGGTTACCCTCAGGCTCTGTACTTCAATTCAACCATTGATATGAATATTTCTCTTTTACATTTCAGTCATGCTTCTTTAAAGATGCCAGATTTCTAGCACTCTAAAACAACTGATCTTTGCCACCACCTTTCATCAGATGGCTCAACTGACTCTGCAAAACCACCACCAACAAGAGCCCTTGGGAGGCCATTTCTTATACCTGCTTTGCCCCTCTAAAGCTTTGCGATCACCTCTTAGTTGTTCAGTAATGAATGATATTCACGAAAAAAGAAGGGACTGACAACAGTAAACTCTGCCTGAGCCTCATATGCCTAAAAACAGCAACAGTTAAGAAATTTCCCTATCTTTTTGTGGCTCAGGAAATGGCTAACTGCAAAGTTCTGCCCTGCTCTGGCATATGCCAAGATAAGACCCATCTCCATCCTTCTGCATGACTTCCATAAGATTTACAGAAGATACAGATGGCTCCCTTGTCTAAGTGCCCCCATAAAACCCTAGGTCTCCCCGCTCTTCTTTGAGACTGTCTTCATTGCTCAATATTCTTCCTATTAATTAAGCATTCCTCCTTAATTATCCACTGCATTTTGTCTTTCATGCCAGCTTTCTACATCTTAGGTAGAAGAGGAACCCTAGTTTTGTTTTTAATATGGAGAAGATGTAAACATTTTTCTAGGCCAAGGTGAGAAACATCAGTAAAGAGGGGAAAAGAGGAAAAGTATAGGTGAGAGGAGAGAACGGAATTACTTATACACTCAACAAATGTTGAGTGTCATACCAGCTACTAAGATCAATACAAATGTAAATAATATATAATTTCTTCCCTTAAAGAGCCTACAGCCAAGGAAGGCAATGTGGCATGAACATAAACAACTATAATACAAAGCCATATGTGCTGAGTGTTAGGTTAACAATATCATTATCTTCCAAAATGAAAAAGAAGCTCTGTGGAATTACAGTTTGGGTGAGGGGGACAACAAAGAGAACTGGAAAGGGAAGCAGACAGAAGCTGACACAGAAGAAATTTCAGACGATGAGAACTTGGTAACAAAAGTATGCAAGCAGAAGGCCATGGGAGGCATTAAGGACAAAGTTAGTGGTGCAGTTTAGTAGGAATATAAGGTAAGCATAGGGGTTCAAGACCCAGTCATGGAAGGACAAGGGCTAGACCTGATAACATAAGCACTGGTGGAAAAGTAAAGGCTAATAAAGATTTGGGGGTAAATTACATAGTAGGAGCCACATAATAAGACTACTAAGCTAACTGCAGGGTGGAGGATGGACTGATTATAGGGGAGAGTGGCAGTTATAAGGATGACGGAATGAGGTCCTGAATAAGGGGGAATGAGTGTATGCATGAGATTAGAATACTCTGCAGACAGAACCTGGGCTCAGTGATTGAACGGAGGTCTGTGGGCCTGAATCACTCACTGATGTAATGGTTTTATCTTTAGAAACAGTGAGCCCAGCGAGGGAGTGGGCTGAGAAAAGGGAGGCAAGGACCACCTGGTCAGGGCAAGCAGCAGTGTCTAGGAGGAAGACAGAAACGCATGTTTGGAGGCAGATGCATGGTCAGGACAGGAGGCAGAGTCTGAGGAGTCGGCCTCCCTTGACTATAAGGCTCTGTGAGGCGAGAAATCACGTATTATTTACCTTTGATTTTGCCTTAGTAGCTGCATGGTATTCAACCATTTGTTGAGTGTGAAGTCCTGGAAATGTATGAGGTGGCCACAGAAGAGCAGAGCCTGAGAAGAGGAGCAGCAACAGCAGAAGAAGGTGCCAAAGCCAAACATGGCAGGGAGAGGTGGAGGCATGAGTGCAAGAGAGACAGAAGAAATCCAGGCATGCACCAGTCATGGATATGAAGGAAGAGGAGAACGCTGACATGCAGGAAGCTCTCAGTGCTTCTTATAGCTGTGTGTGGACCCCCAGGGCTCTGAGTACACCACTGTGGGCAGATCCAGGAAACCTCTTCCATCCCAGCCTCTTCAAGGCCAGCCATGCTGCCCAAAATTTCTAAATCTGGAATTCCTACTGTGCCTATTAGCTGTTGGTCAACAACAGCAGAGTTGGTCTCAAAAAAAATAATTTTTTGATAGAGATATGAGGAGAAAAAGCATGTGCCAGTTATTATTATATCACATATATAACACATAGCATATATAACACACAGCATATATATTATATATATTTCACACAGCATATATATTATATATATATGATATGCAGCATATATATTACAATTGGCCCTCCATATCTGTGGGTTCTGCAGCATATATATTACAGTTGGCCCTCCATATCTGTGGCCCTCCATATCTGTGGGTTGAATCCTTGGATTCAACCAATCGTGGGTCAAAAATATTCAGGGAAAAACTGTCTGTACTAAATATGTACAGACTATTTTTTTGTCATTATTCCCTAAACAATATAGTATAACAACTATTTATATAGCATTTACATTATGTAAGGTATTGTAAGTAATCTAGAGATGATTCAAATGATACGGGAGGATATACATGGGTTATATGCAGATACTACGCCATTTTGTACTAGAGACTTGAGCATCTATGGATTTTGATATCCACAAGAGGTCCTGGAATCAGTCCCCCTTGGATACTGAGGGATGGCTGTATATGGGAATAACATATAATGCATATATGTATCTCAGCTGCAAACCTACATTTTCTATTCTGGTTTGTGATATGGAACTCTACAAACCTCATTTCTGCTTTGTGATATGCTTCCCTGTGGGTCTTTGCTAATAGAGGCCACCAGAGGGAGGCTGCAAAGATGGAGGAGTGAGAAGGGACTTGCATCTTCTACTCCACTTCTCATAGGCTTCTCCTCCCTGTTCCTGTGTTACCGATGAGCAGGCGATAAATGGACTGAGTCCAAATTTGAACTACAGTGGACCCAGGACATCTGTAGATCCATGCCTGTGGTTGAATTCCCAGTTCCTGAATGTATAATCGGCATAGATATACTGGCAACTGGCTGAATCCCTCTACGCTGGCTTACAGTAGGAAAGGGCCAAGTGAAGCTCCTGAATAGTAATACTGCATCCAGGGGGAACTGCAGAAACCAGTGCTAATATCAAAGACTTGAAAGTTGGAGGGATGGAAGTACCTATCACATCTCCTTCTAACACACCTTTTGGACTGTGAAGAACATACTTAGATCTTGGGTAATGGCTGTGGATTATCATAAAATTAATCAAGTGGTAGGTCTGACTGCAACTCCTGTTCTGATGTAGTATATTTACTGGAACAAATCAACAAAGCCCCTGACACCTGCCATGCACCTATTGGCCTGGAAAATGTTTTTTCCTCCATTCCCCTTGGTAAGAACCATGAGCTTTTACCTGACAAGACCTTCATAGTATTGTGAATTCTCCTCCTAACATAACACAGTGTGTGGAGATCTTGACATTATACCCATCTGCTAAACTGACATTTATACTGATTGGATGTGATGAGCAGAAAATGCAAAATAGTTTAGATATCTTGGAGGCATGCACGTAAACAGAGGGTGGGAGATAAACCCCATGAAAATTCAAAGGCTTATGATCTCAAAGCTTCCAGAGATCTAGTGTGACGAGCTTGTTAAGATTGCCTCTCCAAGGCAAAAGACAAGTTGCTGTACTTTGCATCACCTACAACTAAAAAATAAAGAAAATCCTTGGTGGATCCTTCTTGGCATTTGGAGGCAATGCATACCAAACTTGAGTGTGTTATTTCAACCCATTTACTGAGTAATCAATTTTGAGCAGAGACTAAAGCAATCTCTTGCTCTGCATCAAGCCCAGGCTGAAGAACAAGCCTTATGACCCCACAGATCCAATGCTAGTAAAAGTGCCTGTGACAAACAGGCTGGTCTGTGGAGCCTGTGACAAGCATTAATAGGACAATCACAGTACAGAACTCTGGAGTGTGGAGGCAAATCCATGCCCTCTTCTCCAAGTAACTAATATCTGTTTGAAAAAGATTCTGCTTTTCTACTGGCCCTTAGTAAAGAATAAACACTGAACCATGAGATATCAAGTAACCTTGTGACCTGAGCTTTCCATCATGAATTTATAGTTATTGACACACCTAGCCACAGATTAGACCTGTGCAGCAAAAATAGAAAAGGCTGGACTCAAGCAGGTCCAGAGGACAGAAGTAAGTCAGACTCCTTCGACACTGACTCTGGCTGCATTGCCTCCTCCCCCTCAATCCTCATCTATGCCTGCTGGGAGTTCCTTATGACTAGGTAGCTGAGAAGGAAATAATCTGGGCTTGATTTGCAGGCAGTTCTCTATATGTTGGAACCAACAGAAAGTGGATGGCAATATTACAATCTCACTTGGGTGTCTCTGAAGGACAGTGATAAACAGAAGACTTCCTATTCAGCAGAACTTGGAGCTGTTTGGTTATCCACTTTGTTTGAACTGAGAGATGACCAGAAGTACAGATCTGCTGACTAAAGGAAGATTTCTAATTAATGACTGGATGGTTATGGAGGGACAAGGGTTGGAACATTGGTGATGAGATCTGGGGAAATTATATAGATAAACTTCTCAAACTGGGCACAAAGGGGAACAGATATTTGGGTCCCAAATATCTGATGTGGATACTCACTGGAAGGCATGCATTACAGAGGCTTGCAACAATGGGCTTGTGGTTCATGAAACTCATTGGTCTTACCAGAGATCCCATCGTGAAGAGGTCAGTCTGAACAGTGGGATGGCCTACTAGATAATTACCTAGGGCACCAGATGGGAGTCAACACCCTGAAAGAATAGGGTTTTATCTTATAGGATGCAATATATCCTTCAAATCAAAGACCTATTCATAGTGCTGTCTCTTCATGGGCCCAGGAAGCAAGAACAGAAAAGAAAGCAGGTCTTCCCACTAGCACACATAATGACCAGTCACTTCTCATCTCCACAATTTTGAGCTCTGCTTGCTTGGAAGGTCTTGGTTCCCAAGGGAGGACTATTTCCACCAGGGACCCAACAATGGCTCCATCAAACTGGAAGCTGAGACTGCCTCCATTTAGACATTTTTGGGTGCCTCATGACATTAAATCAAAAAAGAGCAGTGACTTTGCGGGCTGAAGTGACTGACCCCAATTATCAAGGGAAAATTGGGGTTATTACCACACGATCGTGGCAGAGGACTAGGTCTGGAACCCAGGGGATTTTCTGGGGCTCCAATGAACACTTCTAGCAAAAGTTAGTGCTGGCTTCTCCCCCTGCCACATGCACGAATATTTTCCCTTTTGGCTGTGCATTATTTAGTGGCTTTAGGACTAAACTGCTTAGGAAGAGAGGGAAAAAGACAAACCTACAGATTTGAAATTATTGTCCCTTGTTCCAGTTTTCCCTCTCCTTTGCATCTTTTGCTGCTCACCCTTCCCTGTTCTAACTCTCCACTTTTTTTCCATAGGGACCATCTGGTCTAGAATGACTGCTGACCTAATCTGGAATCAATCTCATTTGGTGCTGGGCATGATCCACATAAGAAGAGTCCCACTCCCCACTGCCTTGGTCTGCTTCTCCACTCTCGGAGAGGGCTCACCATGAGAAGCCCTGGCTTAGATCCTCCAGGACAGGTGCTCTCTAGGGAAGTCTGAACACATGGACCAAGAACCAAGTGGTCAAGCCTGGTTTCCACCTTCCTCAGTAATCACTTTAAGCCTGACAAGTTATGGGAAAATGGGATGCCCAGCATTGCCAGAGCCTACGACACCCATGTAGGAGCCATCTACCCATCCAATTAGCCAGACTGTCAATTCAACATGACATACAATTCTTCCTCAAAACCAGATTTGGTACAGATACTCCCTCTTCCTTGCCTGTTACCACCCATATTTGGCACCTCCCACGTGGTCTCTGGGCACTGTGAGCAAGCACAGTGTGTGCTTTTACAGGCCATTTAGATAAGAGGTTTGCAACCAATCAACCCTTTACCTATCATGGATAGGCCATGAGCTACTATTCAGTTTCCGAGCACAGCAGGCTTACCCACCACAACCCTGAGAGCCAAGTCATTGCGATTAGAGATTGCTTGAGAGTGGGCTTTGCAGTGGACTGCCAGAATTCGGCTATGGTTCTGCCACTTACCAGCTGTGTGATTTGGGCAAGTTACTTAACCTCTCTGTGCCTCAGTTTTTCCCTGAACTATAGAATACCAGTAATGATGGCCTAGGATAAAGCTTGAATGTAAGCATTGTTATTGTTCTCCCTACTTGGGGGAGGAGGGGGTGGGTGGAATCAATGCCAAGATGCAAGCAGGACTCAGAATTAACAAATGACACAGAGACAGAGCTGAGAATGGGGGCCAGGGTCCTAATTCTTTTTTTATTTCTTTTTTTTTTTTGAGACAGGGTCTTGCTCCGTCTCCCAGGATATGGAGTGCAGTAGCTCAATCATGGCTTACCGAAGCTTTGAACTCTCGGGCTCAAGAAACCTTCCCACCTCAGTCTCTTGAGTAACTGGGACTACAGGTGCATGCCACCATGTCTGGCTAATTAAAAAAAATTTTTTTTTTGGAGACAGGGGTCTCACTATGTTACCCAGGCTGGTCTTGAACTCCCGGTCTCAAGTGATCCTCCCTTCTCCTGAGTAGCTGAGTTTACAGGCGTGTACCCGCCTGGCTAATGAGTCCTAATACTTTTTTTTTTGAGACAGTGTCTCGCTCTGTCACCCAGGTTGGAGTGCAGTGGCGTGATCTCGGCTCACTGCAAGCTCCACCACCTGGGTTCAAGCTATTCTCCTGCCTCAGCCTCCTGAGTAACTGGGACTACAGGGACCCGCCACCACGCCCGGCTAATTTTTTTCTATTTTTAGTACCGACGAGATTTCACCGTGTTAGCCAGGATGGTCTCGATCTCATGACCTCATGATCTGCCTGCCTCGGCCTCCCAAAGTGCTGGGATTACAGGTGTGAGCCACCGTGCCCGGCCTAATGAGTCCTAATTCTTAATCCTTGGCCTTTCTCTTCAAGTTGCAAGTTGGGGCAGGAAACAAAGGTCAATGCAGGGCAGAGAATTTCTCCTCACGTGCCCCTCCCTTTTTATCAGGAGGAAACCCTTCCCAGTAGCCTCTGGCACAGTCCCCTTAAAATTCACTAGCCAGGACTGGGCTACATGCCCATCCCTCCCTGAGAAAGGGATCTCCCCCAAGTCTTCCACAACACTGTAATTCTAGTGGTATGAAGAATGGGAGAATAAGTCATCAGTTTTGTAGGCCATTCTTAACCTGCCCCTTGGCCACCCTGCCATCAGGATGCTTCCCTAGCCACCTTCTCTTCAAAAGCACCAGTAAATATAAAAAAATCCACTCTCTCCTACAGAGATATTAACCATCCTTTGCTTGAGCTACTAATACCTTACAGTCAGAGCCATCTCATCTATTCCAGTTTCTCAAGGAACCTTCCCCAAACCAAAAGCTCTCTTCCCCAAGAGGAATTCTGGTGCCAACTCATTACAAAAACTAATAAAAAACTACATGCATGGTGTGATTCCAACTACTGAAAAATATGTATGGAAAAGGACTAGAAACAAACACACTAAAATGTAAACAGACAATGCTTCTGGTTGATGAGATTATAGATATTCTTTTTTTTCTTCTTTATGCTTTTCTATACTGGCCAACATTTCTACTCTCAATATGTATGCCTTTTCCAGCTGAAAAATACATCTATCAGGTCAGATATTCTGGTTGCCCCTCCAGATCCATCCTTCTCCCTCACATCCCTGCTTTGCGCCCTAGGAAACTACCCCAGGAGGCTGACCTATAAGAACTGCATTATCCTCTGGCTTCCAGCAGGTGATGAGAGGCAAGAGAAGACATGGAAGTATTTATTTCCAACCTCCCACTCACCCAGCTCTCTCTGCAGCCTCTCCATGGCTACAGCTCTCCCAGAACCTAGTAACACTGCTCCTTCAGGCCTATGGGTGCAAGGCCTGTGGGAGCCCAGGGGGCTCTGAGAGGACAGGTGTGCTTATGTAGGCTGCAGGGATGGCGCCTGGTGGCGAAGGCTGCTCCTACCCACTCCTCCCTGCTTCATGAGCTCACTGAGGCCTTGCTGAAGCGTTGAGTGTGTGTCCTGGGAGCTTCAAAGCCCCGTTGTTTTCCTTCACTCTGTCTAAATTGTCCCTTCACCAATTCTAATATACCCTTTGAGTCTGCCATCTTTTCTTGCCAAGATGTGAACTAATGCATCTGTTAATAAAACTCTGAAAGACACACCTGTCCACTCAGAGTGGCAGAGACTTGAAAGTGTGTCAATTCACTTAGATGTGCACACTGATATGCATATGTAGCTCTTGGCACCTAAATAGGAACAGAACCTATCCTACAGCCTGCTGATGGCTTCCAGAGTAACTTCCTCCTTAGCTGAAGTGCCACTAGAGGAGGAATTCCAATTCTCGTTTTACTGGAACATAGGCTCCTTGACATGAGCATATCCTGCAACCCAACAACTCCATTCCTCCAACAGAAATGTGTGCATGTATTAACCAAAAGGCATGTACATAGTTGTATTATTTGCAATAATCCCAAACTATCACATGAAATAACATTTCATAAATGTTATATAACATCTCAAATGAACTATTACATACAACATGGATGTAATAGATGTTGTATGTAATACATCTATATACTTTCATAATGTTGAAAGAAGCTAGACATGCAAAAAATACATAATTCCACCTTTATTAAGTTTAAAAATAGGCGAAACCAACCTATGGTGGTAGAAGTCAGGAAAGAGGTTGTCCTGGAGCAGAAGGATAGTGTGGTAATGTTCTATTTCTTACCTGTATGTTGGTTAAACAGGTGTGTGTTGTTTGTGAAAATTCATTATACTGTATAGTTTCTATTGGTGCACTTTTATGCATATACATTATATTTGAATATAAAAGTTTGCATTTTAAAAAGTGTCATGTGTGGAATCCCTGCAAAACAGAGACATCATAGAGCCAAATAATGTTAGGTTTCCTATGCCTACAGTGGGCTCCACAGGAGGTACAAGACTTTTGTCTCTGCATTCCAGTAACCAGGATTCCAGCCCATGAGATAACTGCACTCCCTGAGTGAGGCCAATCCAGAGAAGCAGTAGCAAGAACTCAGAACCAGTGCTGCCACCTCCTGTTAGGCCAGGACAGTGAGACAGAATGAGCCCTTCTAGAAAACATCTGGCTCTTTCCCAGCCTTCAACCAGCGGCTGTGCAGCCCTGCAGACTCTCTGTTTTGAGTCTCAGGTCCCTCCTCTGGGAATTGAGGAGGATGCCTGAGAAGAGAGCCCCAAAGCCTAGTGCTTTAGTTTCCCCGCTTTAAGAATCACCTAAGGGGCAGGGCACGGTGGCTCACGCCTGTAATCCCAGCACTCCGGGAGGCCGAAGCAGGCAGATCACAAGGTAAGGAGCTCGAGACCAGCCTGACCAACATGGTGAAACCCCATCTCTACTAAAAATACAAAAATTAGCCAGGCGTGGTGGCACATGCCTGTAATCCCTGCTACTCAGGAGGCTGAGGCAGGAGAATCGCTTGAACCCAGAAGGCGGAGGTTGCAGTGAGCCAAGATCATGCCACTGTACTCCAGCCTGGGCGACAGAGCAAGACTCCATCTCAAAAAAAAAAAAAAAGGTTTAGATTATATCTTTGTTCTTAAGGTGGTTACTGGTATATTAGCATTCATTCTTATCTTCATATACTATTATAAGCTTCTTAAATTTACCAATATATTTCCACGAGTGCTTCAACATGCTGCTTTTTATCTTTTGCTCCCTTACCCCATCCTCATATTGATATTTAGAATTTTAGCTGTAGATGGCTACAGACTATATTTTCTTTGAGGCTTTTAAGGTAACAACAAACTTTATAGATACTTAACCACCCTCACTTTCTATATCTCTGTCTACTTCATCTGGACTTGTGTCTGAGTACTTCTAAATGTTTCTTTCAATATAAATGTTTTGTTTTGAGGATTTTGTTTTTTAACATTATAAAAAATTTCAAACACAGAGAAAAAAATGGCAAGACTTGTACAGTGAACATCCATATCCTATCACTGAGGCTCAAGGTTAACTGAGATTCTTGAACCTACAAATTTTGTCTTTCACCAAATATAAAAATACTTCAGCTATTATTCATTTAAATATTTTCCTTGGGGGGCCTCTTTCCTCTTGTCCTTGGACTTTAAAAATTATTTGTACATTAGATCTTTTGATATTGCCCTAAGGTGTTATTCACTATTTTCAATTTTATTTTTCTCTCCCCCAGATAACTTGTTTTTGTTTTAAAAGTCAGTAACTCGGCCAGGTGCGGTGGCTCACATCTATAATCCCGGCACTTGGGAGGCCAAGACGGGCGGATGACTTGAGGCCAGGAGTTTGAGACCAGCTTGGCCAAATGGTAAGGCTGGTGAAACCCCGTCTCCACTAAAAATACAAAAATTAGCCGGGCATGGTGGCACACGCCTGTAATCCCAGCTACTCTAGAGGCTAAGGCAGGAGAATCGCTTGAACCCAGGAGGTGGAGGTTGCAATGAGTGGAGATAGTGCCACTGCACTCCAACCTAGGGAACAGAGTAAGACTCTGTCTCAAAAAAAAAAAAGAAGAAAATCAATAACTCTTTTGTAACTTCCAATCTGCTATTAAGCCCATCCACTGAATTTTCTATTTCAAGTATTTAATTTTCCAGTGACAGAATTTCCATTTGGCTTTTTCTAGTTTGGACTTCTCTTCTGTACTTCTTACCACTTTCTTCATTATGAGCACTTTCCTTTACATCCTATAGCGTAATATTAAGAGCTGCTTTAAATTCCTTGCTTGCTAATTCCAATGTCTGCATCATCTCTGGGTCAGTCTCAATTGATTGCCTTTTCTCTTGAGCATGGGTAATATTTGCCTCTTTACTGAATAATTTGGGATCATATTCTGGACATATCATATGTTCCAAAAATGTTGGATTCTATAATGTTGCTGAAAAATACTGATTATTCATGCTAATAGGCAGGTAAGTTTACTAGACTCAAACTGCATATTGCTTGCCTGCAGTTGAAGGCAGCTGAAATTTCAGTTCAATTCTTTTAGCCTTAGCTGGACTGCTGGAAGTCTAACACACACATGTGTAGTTTAGGAGCTACAGGAAGGTTTGGACACAGTGTGCAGAATATCTGAGGCTCACTCTCTTCTTCCTGTGAGTATCCCCTCACTTTCCAGCTGCAATGGTCAACCCAACCTCTGCTATTTTGTTCTGCAAGCTGGACAGAATGGTTACAGCAGCACATTTCTGAGTTTTAGCTGCTCTGCATGGTACAGACTATGGTTTGCCCTCAGACTACAAGCCATACAAACAAAATTCACTGTTTTACTCTATCTAAGTGTCACCCACCTTCCCATTATCTGTCTGATTCTGTGGCTCTCCAGCAGCTTATGGGAAGTTTTCTATTTTTTTATTTATAGTTATTACATGTGCATGGAATGGTCTGGTAGGAGCTACTTGGCTATTACCAGATGTGGGCCCCTTCTCACTCAACTGAGTCTCAACATTTGTATACATCCTTGTAATGTCCATCCAAAACAAGATATAGAACATTTCCCCCCGACGGAAAAAGTCTCTGTACTCCTTTCTGGTTACAGTCTCTCTCAATCATGATCTGACTTCTATAACCGCAGACTAGTTTTGTTCAAATTTGGATTTCCTATCAGTGGAATCATACCGTGTAGTCTTTTGGGTCCAGCTTCTGCCATTCAGCATGCTATTGAGATTCATCCAGGTCATTGCATGTCAGTGGTTCTTTTCATTACCAAATAGTGTTCCACTATATGAAAATACTGCAATGTGTATATCCATTTTCCTATTAAGGGACATTCAGTCTATTTTCAGTTTTGGGCTATTATGAATAAAGCTGCTATGAATGTACTTGTAGAAGTCACTACTTTTGTGGACGTAAGTTATCATTTCTCTTTTGTATATACGTAGGAGAGGAATTGCTCAAACAGTTCTTCAAAGTGGTTTACTATAATAGACTACCACCAGCAATGTCTAAGAGTTCCAGGTGTTCCTTATCCTTGCTAACACTCGGTATTGTTGTTAATTTTAGCCATTCTAGTGAGTGTAAAGTGGTATTTTATTGGTTTAATATTGCATTTTACTCATGACCAGTGATACTGAAAACTCTTTCATGTGCACATTGGCTACTTGGATATCTTCTTGTGGAATGTCTCTATTTAAGCCTGCAAATATTTATTACATTTAAATCATGATTTGTAGTAATTCTTTTATGTATTCTGGTTATATGTGTGTCCTCGGTCAAATACATATTACAAACATTTTATCTGAGTCTGTGGTGTGTCTATTCTTTTTTCACTTTTATTTTTAGAGACGCTCTTGCACAGGCTGGAGTGCAGTGGTGACTCATGGTGCCCTGCAGCCTTGAATTCCTGGGCTCAAGAGATACTCCCACCTCAGCCTCCCAAATTGCTTAGATTACAGGCATGAGCCACTGCACTCGGCCAGCTTTTATTATTTTTAACTGGCATATAATTGTATGTATTTATGGGGCAGAGTACAATATTTCAAAGCGTGTATACAATGTGTAATGATCAAATCAGGATAATTGGCATATCCAGCACCTCAAAACATTTCTCATTTCTTTATCCTGGGAACATTCAAAATCTGGTTTTCTAGGAATTTGAAAATCTATAATAAATTGTTAATTATAGTCAGCCTATAGTGTTATAGAACACTAGAAGTTATTCATCCCACCTACACTCCCTACTTCTATAAGATCAGCTTTTTTAGCTCCTACCTGTGGGTGAGAACACGCAGTATTTTTCTGTCCAGACTTACTTCACTTAACATGTCCTCCAAGTTCATCCATGTTGCTGCAAATGACAGAATTTTTTTTTAACTAGGTAGTATTTCATTGTGTATATATATATCCCATTTTCTTTATCCATTCATCTGCTGATGCACACTTAGGTTGATCCTCTATCTTGGCTGCTGTGAATGGTGCTGTAATAAACATGGGAGTGCACCAACGAGTCTTTGTGTGTCAGATCTTCTGAAGCTGTGTATGCCTGAGAACATTCTTATAATGTCCTAACACTTAAATTCCATGTTCTGTCCTCCACTATGTTAAAAACATTAATGACTTCTTGAAGCGAAGATTCATGTTGTGATGTCTCACATTAGTCTGATTCTGGCTCAAACGCTGCGGTGGATGTGGATTTTCTCTATGGAAGCCTTTAAGATTTTCTGTCTTTTGTTGGCTTAGGTAAAGAGTTAATGACCAAGAGCCCAAAAGCAAATGCAACAAGAACAAAAATAAATAGATGGGACCTAATTAAACTAAAAAGCTTCTGCACAGCAAATGAAAAATCAGAGTACACAACAACCTACAGAATGGGAGAAAATATTCACAAACTATCCATCCAACAAAGGACTAATAACCAGAATCTACAAGAAACTTAAATCAGCAAGAAAAAAATATGTAATCCCATCACAAAAAGGGCAAGGGACATTACCAGACAATTCTCAAGATATGCAAATGGCTAACAAATATATGAAAAAATGCTCAACACCACTAATTATCAGGGAAATGCAAATCAAAGCCAGTGTGAAACCACCTTATTCCTGCGAGAATGGCCATAACTAAAAATTTTAAAATAATAGATGCTGGCATGAAAAGGGAACACTTTTACACTGCTGGTGGGAATGTAAACTAGTACAATCACTATGGAGAACAGTATGGAAATCCCTTAAAGAACTAAAATTAGAACTATCATTTGATCCAGCAATCCCACTACTGGGTATCTACCCAAAGGAAAATAGTCATTATATGAAAAAGTCACTTGCACACACATCTACAGCAATACAATTTGCAACTGCAAAAACATGGAACCAGCCTAAATGCCCATCAACCAAAGAGTGGATAAAAAAAAAATGTGGTATATATATACCATGGAATACTATTCAGCCATAAAAAGAAACAAAATAATGGCATTTGCACCAACCTGGATGGAGCTGAAGACCATTATTTTAAGTGAAGTAACTCAGGAATGGAAATCCAAATATTGTACGTTCTCACTTAGAAGTGGGAGCTAAGCTATAAGGACACAAAGGCATAAGAATGATATAATTGGGCTGGGCGCGGTGGCTCATGCCTGTAATCCCAGGACTTTGGGAGGCTGAGGCGGGCGGATCACTTGAGGTCAGGAGCTTGACACCAGCCTGGCCAACATGGTGAAACCATATCTACCAAGAATATAAAAATTAGCTGGGCGTGGTGGCGGGCACCTGTAATCCCAGCTACTCGGGAGGCTGAGGCATGAGAATCACTTGAACCCGGGAGGCGGAGCTTGCAGTAAGCCAAAATCGTGCCACTGCACTCTAGCCTGGATGACAGAGTGAGACTCAGTCTCAAAAAAAAAAAAAAAAAAGATATAATTGACTTTGAGGACTTCGGGGTAAGGGTGGGGGTGATTAAAATACTACACATTTGGTGCAGTGTACACTGCTCAGATGCCAGGTGCACCAAAATCTCAGAAATCACCACTAAAGAACTTACCCATGTAACCAAAAACCACCTCTTCCCCAACAACTACTGGAATCAAATTTAAAAATAAGAAAGATTTTCTGTCTTTAATTATAATGTGTCTAGATGTGGGTTTTCCTTATTGCTCCCAGTTGAGACTCCATGTGAATGCTTTCAAACTGAGGCCTTTCAATTTTCTCTTAATTCTTAGAAATTTATCCTCCATTATGTAAAAAATTACTTCCTTGTTTTTTATTTCATTTTCCTTTCATGGCTTTTAAAAATTGAAAAAGAAAATTGAGAGACAGGGTCTTGTTGCCCAGGCTGGACTGCAGTCGCTATCCACAGGCCTGATCATCGCACACTACAGGCTTCAACGCCTGGCCTTAAGCAATCTTCCCGAGTAGCCAGCTTTCCCTTCATGACTCTTAATTGTGTTCTACTGCTTCTACTTCTGTCCTCTATACTTCTTGGCTCTTTTGATGCCTTCTGAGAGAATTCCTAATTCTAATCTTCCAGTTAATTAATTCTTTAGCCATATCCCTTCTACTTTTTATCCCATAATTACCTTGTTTTAGCTATTATATTTTCTATAACTAGTATTTCTGGGTTTTTAAATAACAGTTTCCTGTTGTTTCATATCAGTATCTGACCAACCATAACTCCTTACATATATTAGTCACATATTAACTTATCTCTTCCAATAATTCTGCTTCAGAAAGTATATGTTGTCCACTGTTGCCTTTTGTGAGGTGGCTGTCTCCTCAAATGTTTAGTTTTTGGGGGGTGGTGTTGAAGTAGGCCAAGTGGGAAACTAAAACTTCAATCCCAATGAGTGGTAATAAAGCTCCCAACCCCCACTCTTCTTGTGCCATTAGAGACCATGTGGTTAGCCTGGAAATCTACCCACCTGGCAATAAGACACAACCCTGTCCCAGCTTAGGTGGCATCAGCAAAGACCTAGTGAAGAGTCAGGGCATTTACCTCTGCCTAGAAACAAGAACATGTGAGAAAGACCAACAAGGTACTCCTGCCCTTCCAGCTAGGCTGGCTGGCAGCAGCAGAGGCCAGGTGGGGAGCCAAAACTCCCACCTCCACCCAGCAGTAAAGACTCCACCCCAATGTCAATGAAAGCCAAGTGGGGATCCTAGACTTCCACCCCATCTGGCAGTAACAAAGTTCCCCTATGAGAGCAGTGTCAGATGAGGCCTGCTAAAACAGAAGATTTAAAGAAGATCGAGTTTCATAGATAACACTCAAAATGTCCCAGTTTCATCCAAAACCACTCAAAGAATATATCAAGAACCAAGAAATTCTCAACTCAAATAAGAAAAGACAACCAACAGATGCCAAAATTGAGAAGACACAGATATTAGAACTGTCTAACAAGGATTTTCAAGCAGCCATCATTTAAAATGCTGCAATGAGCAATATCACACTAAGACAAATGAAAACAGAAATCCTCAGGAAGGATACAGAAGACATAAAGAACAAAACAAATTTGAGAAATGAAAACTAGAATAACCTAAATGAAAAAAATCAATGAATAGGCTCAACAGCAGAACAGAAGGGACACAAGAAAGAATCCGTGAACTTGAAGACAGAACAACAGACACAATCTGAAAAGAGAACAAACCAACAGAAAAAAAACAAAAGAACAGAGCCTGAGGGTGCTGTAGGGCTATACCTAAGATCTAATAGTCATGCCACTGGGGGCATGATGCAGAGGAAAAAGAAGGAAGCACTGAAAAAATAGTGGCTGAAAATTCCCCAAATATGGTAAAAAGGCTTAAGCCTATACAGGTTCAAGAAGCTGAGCAAATCCTAAACAGAAAAAAAAAACCAAAATCCATGTCAAGATGCATCATATTCAAACCTGAAAATTAAAGAAAAAGAAAAAATATTGAAAGCACAAAGAAACAACACCTTATCTACAAACGGGAAACAATTTGAATGACACTGAATATCTCATCAGAAAACAAGAAAGCAGAATTTTCCAAATTCAAGAACAGAATTCTGTGGTCAACACAGAATTTATCTAGCAAAACTATCCTTCATTAATGAAAGGTAAAATTCAGACATTCTCAGACAAAGGAAAATTAAAAGAATGTGTTGCCGCTGACAACAAAGAAGACTGGCTAAAGAGAGTTCTCTAAATAAGAAGGAAATGGTAAAAGAAGGAATCTTGGAACATTAGGAAGAAAGAACAATGGAAAGAGCAAAAATATGGGTAACTACAATAGACTTCCCTTTTCTTTTCTTTTTTTTTTGGAGACGGAGTCTCGCTCTGTCACCCAGGCTGAAGTACAGTGGTGCAATCTCGGCTCACTGCAACCTCCGCCTCCTGGGTTCAAGCAATTCTCGTGCCTCAGCCTCCGGAGTAGCTGGGATTACAGGCGCCCACCACCACACCCAGCTAATTTTTGTATTTTTTTGAGTAGAGACAGGGTTTCACCATGTTGGCCAAGCTAGTCTTGAACTCCTGACCTCAAGTGATCTGCCTGCCTTGGCCTTGCAAAGTGCTGGGATTACAGGCTTAAGCCACCGCACCCAGCCCTTTTCTTAAGTTTTCTAAATTATATTTGAAGCAAAACTTACAACACTGTCTAACGTGGTTCTCAAAGTACATAGATAGTTATACTAGAGGTGGAAGAGGGTAATGTGGATACCAGGAGACTGTGGTAAGTTACATATATATAAAGTAACATTTTGGAGCAACCACTAAAAAACTATACAAGGAGATACAACTCAAACCGCTATGAATAAACCAAAATTGTATTCTAAAAAAAGTGTTCAAGTAACCCACTTACAGGCAGGAAAATGAAAACAAAAAATGGAAAACAAAAACTAAAATGGCCAACTTAAGGCCTAACATTACCTATAATTACATGTAAGAAAACAGTCTAAAAACTCTAATTAAAAGAATGATATTGGTATAGAAGAAAAATCATATGCTACATGCAGTCTACAAGAAATTCACTTGAAATATAATGACATAGGTAGGGTGAAAACAAAAGAATAAAAAATATGTCATGCAAACATAAATCAAAAACAAGTAGAATGGGTATAGTGTCAAATAAAGTAGACTTCATGGCAAAGAAAACCAACAGGGACAGAGGGACATTACATAATGATAAAAGGGTCAATCCACCAAAAAGACACAGAAATCCTAAAAGTGTATGTACCAAATAACAGAACTGAAAAATATGTGTAATAAAAACTGACAGAACTGAAAGGAGACATAGACAATTCCACAATTATAGTTGGAAATTTCAACACCACTCTTTACAGTTGACAGAACAACTTGACAGAAAATCAGCAAGGATATACAAGAACCTGACAACACCATCAGCCAACAATTTTATCGACATTTATGGAACACTCCACCCTACAGCAGAACACATTTAAGCACCCACAGAATACATACCAAGATAGATCACCCCTGGGCCATAAACCTCAACAAATTTAAAAGACCACAATGAGATACCACTACACACCTATTAGAATGGCTAAAATAAAAAATAAAAGAGGCCAGGCGCAGTGGCTCACACCTGTAATCCCAGCACTTTGGGAGGCTGAGGCGGGTGGATTACCTGAGGTCAGGAGTTCAAGACCAGCCTGGCCGACGTGGTGAAACCCCATCTCTACTAAAAATACAAAAAAAAAAAAAAAATTAGACAGGTGTGGTGGTGGATGCCTGTAATCCCAGCTACTAGGGAGGCTGAGGCAGAATTGCTTGAACCTGGGAGGCAGAGGTTGCAGTGAGCCAAGATTGCGCATTGCACTCCAGCCTGGGCGACAGAATGAGACTCAGTCTCCCAAAAATAAAATAAAAATAAATAAATAATAAAAGAGACAATATAGAATGCTGGCAGGAATGCCGAGAAAATGAATCTCGCATACACTGCTGATAGGAATGTAAAATAGTACAACTACTCTGAAAAACAGTGGCAGTTTCTTTTTTTTTTTCTTTAGAAACAAGGTCTCACTCTGTTGCTCAGATTGAGTACCATGGCACGATCACAGCTCACTGCAGCCTTGACCTCCCAGGCTCAAGCAATCCTTCCATTTCAGCTTCCCAAGTAGCCGGGACTACAGGTGCGCGGCATGACACCCGGCTAATTTGTATTTTTGTAGAGGCAGGGTCTATCTATGTTGCCTAGGGGGTTTCAAACTCCTGAGCTCAAGCAATCCTACCATCTTGGCCTCCCAAAGTGCTGGGATTACAGGTGTGAGCCATCAGGCTGGGCTGGCAGTTTCCTAAAAAATTAAAAACTTAACATATGACCTAGTAATCACACTCCTGGTTATTTACCAGAGAGAAATGAAAACTCATGTTCTCATTTTAAAAACTGCATACAATTGGCTGGGCACAGTGGCTCACACCTGTAATCCCAGCACTTTGGGAGGCCGAGGCAGGAGGATTGCCTGAGGTCAGGAGTTTGAGACCAGTCTAGCCAACATGGTGAAACCCTGTCTCTACTAAAAATACAAAAAAATTAGCCGGTCCTGGTGGTGTGTGCCTGTAATCCCAGCTACTCAGAAGGCTGAGGCAGGGGAATTGCTTGAACCAGGGAGGTGGAGGTTGCAGTGAGCTGAGATCGTGCCACTGCACTCCAGCCTAGGCGACACAGCAAGACTCCGTCTCAAAAAACAAAACAAAACAAAACAAAACAAAACAAAACAAAACCACTGCACACAATTGCCACAGTAGCTTTATCTGTAATAGCCCCCAACAGGGAACAAACTAGATGTCCCTCAATAGGTGAATGAATTGTTACACAAACTGTGCTAAACCCATACCATGAAATACCACTCAGCAATAAAAGGAATGAACTACTCATATACACGTAACAACTTGGATGTGTATCAAGGAAATGATATTGAATGAAAACAAGACAATCTCAAAAGGCCATGCACTGTAAGATTCTATTTATACATCAACCTATTTAGGACAAGTAGAAGAGATTAGTGGTTGCTAGGGTCAGGAATGGTGGGGAAGGAGATGGATGCAACTATAAAGGGGTGGCATGAGGGAGATCTTTGTGCTGATGGAACCATTCTGTATTTTGTTTATGGTTACAGCGATAAAATGACATAGAACTATACACACACATTGTACCAACTTCCTGGTTTTAATTTTGTATTATAGTTAAGTGAGATGTAAGTACTGGGGAAACTTGGTGAAGGGTGTTATACTATACTACAATTGCAGGTTAAAAACACACATATCTAACAGTCCAGCAGTGTTTTGCTTTGTTTAAATCCATCTACTTCTCCTTAGAAAAGTAATGATATGAACCACATGACTTCATCTTCTGGATACTATGATTGGACTGGGTGGGAAGAGATAAGGAGAACCAACCCACAAGTGAGAGTGAGCCAATCAGGCTGTCTTCAGAATTTGAACTGAATGAAAGAGACCAGCCATCCATAAAGGGTTCTGCAGCTAAAAAGTCCTGTGACAATAGGATCAAAACTGGATCCCGGCAAGTCCAAGCCACTTGAGGTCACGAGGCAAGTACCAAAACCGTGAGGCTCCTTGTCTATAAAAATGCCTAATGAGAGAATATTCCCTTTCAGAGCTATTTTGGTGGTGAATAGGTTTCTCCTTCTTGCAGCCATCAACCCTGACCAAAATGTGTGCTTGAAAAAGACATAAAAAGGTAAAAAAGACTTGTCTGCATCATTATTTGCTATGGCCCTGTCCCCATACCCCTGAAGTTTCAGAGAGCTGTCATTTTAACAATCTAATCCTCATCTCGCTTGACCTGACTGCTCAAGTCAGTGAGACTAGAGTTTGAGGGAGAAGACAGCAAACCAGATGTCTACTAAGGAGGGTAACACGATGTGCCCAGGTATACTGGACACTCCAAGCAGCATACCAGAACTATGGCCTCCACCCAGAGGGCTCCAATGCCAAGGGTAGTGACCTGGAATTTAGGGGTTAGAAGGAAGGTCCTCCTGAATACAAGTTAACAAATAATCTAGAGGTTGGAATTCATTCATTCATCTCTAAATCTTTATGTATTTATTGGCGGTGGGTGGAGGTATAGGAAGTGCGAAAGGATACTGATCTTTCAGGATCAAGGTTGAGGGACCCCACCTACTGACGTAGGCTCAGCCAAGAGCCCCACCATATCAACATCAATTACTCTTGGCCTGGTGGGAAGTAAACTGAAAAGGTCACGTGCAGGCCAAGCCACCATCTCCTCACCTCCTGGGTTAATCTCTACCTCCAGTCTCCCATCTTAGAACCCTAGCACAATGCAGAGTAGAAAAGACACTGACATCAGACTGTCTGGGTTCCAGTACTGCTTCTGCCATTTCCTGCTGTTTTGACTGCTCTGTGCCTGTTTCCTCACTTATAGAAAGGAAATTACAGGCTGGGTGTGGTGGCTCACGCCTGTAATCCCAGCACTTTGGGAGGCTGAGGCGGGCGGATCACAAGGTCAGGAGTTTGAGACCAGCTTGGCCAACATAGTGGAACCCTGTCTCTACTAAAAACACAAAAAATTAGCTGGGCGTGGTGTCGGGCGCCTGTAATCTCAGCTACTTGGGAGGCTGAGGCAGGAGAATTGCTTGAACACAGGAGGCGGAAGTTGCAGTTAGCCAAGATCGCGCCATTGCACTCCAGCCCAAATAACAATGCGAGACTCCATCTCGAAAAAAAAAAAAGGAAATTACAGTACCCCCTCATACCACCTGGCATTGGTGAGGTGATGATCACTGGCCTTACAATATCTTAGCTCTACCTTTGGTGCCCACTTCATTGGGTGGTTTCCAGAATACATATGAGAAGTCAACTGAAAAGAAGCTGAAGCAATCCAAATGTTGTTTTTGGTGTTTTTAATTGTTTTTGTTAATGTAAAAACAGAACCATCACAGCCGCTCAGCTCTATAACCCATCCAGCCCAAGACTGTTCTAGTGGTGAAACCAAGAGTAGACAGGTCTTCCTACCTCAGTGACCTCAAAACACAAGGACATCTCCATAGGGCATCAACATGCATCTGTCATCCAAGAATCTAAGAACTTCCTGATCCTTCCACATTTTCTATCAATAATATTGCCTTCTGAGGTTATGGATTCCAGGTCTTCTATGAAATAGGTAAAGCTTCCTTTCGCGTTCCAAGAAATATAGTTTGCGAAGGGAACTGGAAAACGTGACTCTAGGCCTCAGCCACTTCCTCTGTTACCCTGTGCAAGTTGTAGAACAATCCACGTTCTCACAGCTCCCCTTCTTCAGTTGTGGAGTTCTTCAAGGTGGACAGATCACACCTCAGGAAGTCATCCCTTGTAAGCACACTAGAATTTATCATAAAGGCAGGTCGGCTTGTTAGTTTTTCTTTGTCCCCAGCATACACTGAGCCAACAACTTAAGTCATGAATGGGTTGTTTAGGGCTCTGTCTGTCCTAAATGATTCCTAAAAGCTTCATATAGCTCATATAGTCTTATTGTCCACTGCTCTTTTGGTGTGGTATGATCCTACCTGTAAAGCTATCAAACCCCTGGGTCCTGGATGCCTCCTCCAGATTTCATACCTTCCTCAAGTTTACTAAATACTTTCTGAATTTAAGAATTTTGAGAAAGTCACCTACCAGCTAATGCAAAAACACAGCCTAATTCTGTGTGAATCCCTGTTGAGATCAGCTTTTCAGGTCAGGGAGGGAAGGTATGGGGTTTAGGGTACCCTCTCCTATCACACACATCCCCCCTGCCCACAGTACCCTGACCTACCTTGCCTGAGACTCCTAGACACTATGAGCTCCCTTCTGGCTGCCACTCAGACTGGCCAGGAAGGCTCCCAGATTGAACACAGGTGACCTGGTATAGATACACACTGTACTGTGGGCCAGAACCATGGACTACATTTTAAGCCATGTTGTGGGCCCTTCCTGCCTACAGAAAAGGACACTTGAGTGGAGTCACACTTGGGTTGCCTAATTTATTACCTTAACTAGAAACATTCTAAGTATGGGAGCCTGTTCTGGAGGATAGCTTCTAAACCAAATCTAAAACTATCTTTGCACACAAGTGTTGTGAAGAGGTAAGCAGGGGATCAGAGCTCCATCTTCTGTGACCACTTCTCCAGGGACTGCCACCTATAGGGCTCAGGTTGGTACCAACAGCCCTGCATAGTAGAGTCACTGTCAATCATCTTCCCACTTGTAAGCAGGAAGACAAAAAGTCTCATGAAATAGAAACGAAAACACTGAAGCATGGCCTTCATCGTCCTAATGCCACAAGTTTCCTGGGATGGCCAAGATACTACCTTAGCTTATTGTCCCTGCTTCACCTCCAGAGACTGGAGACAGAGGATTTTCCGGGGTTGGGGTTTCTTCTCTGACTTGGCAAATTCTTCTTTTTATCTCCAGCTGAACCACCAGTTCCTTGGGTAGCAGAGCAGAGACCTAAGCACAAACCACAGGGCTTACTAGCACATCCTTCAAGCCACTTCCTTTGCTGTTCTATTACTCTTCTTCAGCTTATCTGAACCTGCGGACTCTCTGGATACAGAAACTGCCCAAAGCATGGTGAAAAAGACAAAGGGCCCAGGTTTCACCTGGCAACCACTGCTCCCAACATCTAGAGTAAGTCAAAGAGGCTGAAAGATGACAGCCTAGTTCTCTTTGCCTTCATTATGATACTAACAAAAACCAGAAGTTTCCAGGAGTCAGCAAGCTACTCAGTATCTGACGTGGTTTCTAAGGTGGAGTTGCATGGGGAGCACTCTCCCGTGGCTGCTGAGTGAAGGCAACAGTGATGTCCAAAACAAGCCCGTCCGGCTCTGAACCACCAGTTGGCAGGCCAGGATGACTCCAGTCTTTAGCAAAGAGCTTTCCATTCTAACTCCCGAAATCCCAGACCAGATGGATGTCTCCTCCCAACTAGGCGCAGAGGGTAGCACAGACTTCCAAAAGGAAACACCTTCATTAAATGCAGCAGGCAGTCCTATATGCTGACCCTTGGGTCAAACCACAGCTTAAGCGGGGGAAGAAGTGGTTCTGATCCATGTACAGCCAGATCTGCTGAGGAGTCTGGGGTTCCCAGGAACCAGATTTGCAGATCCTGGACGATGGTGCTTCCCTTGCTGGCACCGTATCACCTAACCTAATGGTTTCTCTGAAGACAGTTGGCGGAGAGGCAAAAATGACTGTCTTAAACAGGTCTTCCGACACGTGGACAGCTCAGCAGGACCACACACCTGTCCAGGGCCCACCATGAGGCAGCCATCACCAACTTGGTAAGGAGGACATATCACACAGCATCTTCAGGGTGCTGGAGGCAGGCGCTGTGGCAGGAGAGGTAGTGAAGAAGGGTCAAAGCTTTGACAGGTTATCATCATATTCAGACCCTCTATCCCAATTATCCCAACTCCTGAGAATTTATTTTAAAGAATTAATTCTCAATAGGAAAGAAGTTGGATACACAAGGACACATGTTCTAGCTGCCAAGTGGTTAACAGAACATGGACTCTAGAGTGAGAGACTCAACTTTCCACTTTTTAAGGCAAGTGCCTATGTTCTCTGAGCCTCCTTTTCCTCGCCTGTAAGAGGTAGATGACAGCATCTACTTTCCAGGGTCACCGTAAGGATTAAATGAAATAATCCACATAAAGCTCCTGAGTTTAATCTGTGCTCAACAACAAAGGTCACCTCATATTATTACACATGAAGACAGAAAAGGAATGCAGAAAAAAGGAAATAGGTGAGTTTTTAAGGGCAACAGAACAGAAGGGAAGATTTCCGTGACTTCTGATTTTGAGGCCTTAGACATGTAGGTGTGGGGGGATGCCATCAATGTTGAGCCCTGCAGCTTAAGAATAAGGAAGCAAGTAGAGAGGGTGGCCTTTTTTACCAACGCTTTCCCCACTTTTCTAAATTTCCCCCTTGGGAAACTCCTAAGAGGTCTCTGAGAATGTAGTAAAGGAGGGAAGGCCAGGCGAGGTGGCTCATGCCTATAATCCCAACACTTTGGGAGGCCAGGCAGGAGGACTGCTTGAGCCCAGAAGTTTAAGACCAGCCTGGGCAACTTAGCCCATCTCTACAAAATTTTTTCAAACATTAGGTGAGCATAGTGCTGCATGCCTTATAGGCCCAGCTACTCGGGAGGCCGAGGCCACAGGATTGTTTGAGCCCAAGAGGTTGAGGCTGC
The DNA here is from genome assembly GCF_000001405.40 of Homo sapiens. Lineage (NCBI taxonomy): Eukaryota > Metazoa > Chordata > Mammalia > Primates > Hominidae > Homo > Homo sapiens. Next base: position 96,596,495 of record NC_000002.12, read on the forward strand.
AGTGAGCCATAATCACACCAATGAAGAGGAGTTTGACAATCAAACCTCATGACTTCAATCCCAGCACTTTGGGAGGCTGAGGTGGGAAGACTGCTGGAGCCCAGAGTTCCAGACCAACCTGGGCAATATAGCAAGACCCCATCTCAATCAAAAACAAAAACAAAACCTCATGGGCTTCCCTGCCCAAAGGCAGGGCTGTACACAGATGATCACTCTGTTCTGATTATGAATACACCTTAGAGTGAGCCAGCTTGCCCACAGCCTGCTACAAGGCTACAGTGAGGCCCACTGCCAGAGGCCTCCAGCTAGAGGTGCTGCTTGCCAGGCTGACAAGGTCCTGGTATGGCCAGCAGGACAGAGAGGAGAGAGAACTTATAACCACAGGCAGGGAGTCCATTTTTTGGACCCTGATGCAGGGCACAACATAGTCTCTGTCTGTCCTCTTCCTCCCTGCAGCTTCTCAGCTGTGATGAGTACACAATAGTCCATTCCCATGAAGGAAACACATAGTAAACACCAATCAGTGCCAGAAACAAAACAGATAATTAAGTGCTTATACAGATCTTAGAGAAGTCTAGTTGGTGTTCACTTTTCTTTTTAAATTCATTCCATCCAAAAATATTGCAGTATGGAACCCCAAAATAAAAAATGACTGTTTTAAAATCCTAACAATACCATTATCACACATTAAAAAGGTTAACAATTCCGTAATATCAACAACTATCCAGTCAGTGTTAAAATTTCCAATTGCCTCATAAATGTCAAAAAAATGGGTAGTTTGTTTCTAAGCATTAAAAAACGTCGGTTTCCAAAGCCTGAGGAGATTCTGATCCTGCCACCACAACAGTCACTGAATTAAGTCAACTTCCTCTCTAAACCAGGTAAGAAAACCAAAGCCCAGAAGGATAGGTGATTTGCCCAGGATCACACAGCTGGCTGAAAACAGATGACCTGACCCATAGTCCAGTGCTCTGTCTGGCAATCTGAACAGAGCTATTAGAAGCTTCTGAATCAGCAAGAAGCCTTAATCTAATAACATCCCCTTGCTTGTTGGAAAAGAATCACCACCTGACTCCTCCTAGCAATTACATATCCACTTTATTTTATTTATTTATTTTATTTTTTTGAGACAGAGTCTGGCTCTGTTGCCCAGGCTGGAGTGCAATGGTACAATCTCAGCTCACTGCAACCTCCGCCTCCCAGGTTCAAGCAATACTCCTGCCTCAGCCTCCCAAGTAGCTGGGATTACAGGTGCACGCCACCACATCCAGCTAATTTTTGTATTTTTAGTAGAGATGGGGTTTCACCATTTTGGTCAAGATGGTTTCGATCTCTTGACCTCGTGATCCACCCGCCTAGGTCTCTCAAAGTGCTGGGATTACAGGCGTGAACCACCATGCCCAGCCTACGTCCATTCTATTAAGATGAAAACTAATCTCATGTTAACATCATCAGTTAGAAGGCCAGACCTTGATCTTTATTCTGTGCTTCAACTGAGCTCCAGAAAAGGGGGATTCTCAATGACCTCTACTCTCTTCTCAATGGTAACTGGCTGGCCCAGGCCATGGCAAGCTGAGACGGATTACCTAACACAGGAGGAAGGGATCACGTGGCAGGATCTGTGTTCTAGTTGTCCATCAACATGGCATCAGCAAACGAAGACACCCTAAAAACAGGCCCAAATGGCTTTGTAGGTCACTTCTATCAACCCATCAAGGAACTATCATTTCTGTACTATAAAACTGTTTTAGAGTATGAGAGGGGAAAAGCACTTCCCATCTCATTCTACAAGGATTGAATTACCCCTTTTACATAACTAGACAAAGGAAAGCACACACACAGAAGTAGGGGGTGGAGGGGAAGAAAACTATGGGCCAAAGCCTGAGGAGATTAATATAGACGCCAAAATCCTAAGTAAAATAAAAGCAAATAGAATAGACATGCTTTTCTTTTGAAATGCTTAGCTTCTTTCTTTTTTCATTTCGTTCTTTTGATAGGGTCTTGTTGCCTTTGTATGTATAATAAAAAGAATAGGACACACTGAAAAAGCCACTGCATCTAGAATTCACACAGTTTGATATTAGGAAACCTATTAAAGTAACTCATCATTTTAACTGATTAGAAGGAAACGTTGGCCGGACATGATGGCTCACGCCTGTAATCCCAACACTTTGGGAGGCCAAGGTGGGTGGATCACTTGAGGTCAGGAGTTCAAGACAAGCCTGGACAACATGGTGAAACCCTGTCTCTACTAAAAATAGAAAAATTAGCTGAGGGTGGTGGCATGAGCCTATAGTCCCAGCTACTCAGGAGGCTGAGGCAAGAGAATAGCTTGAACTTGGCAGGCAGAGGTTGCAGTGAGCTGAGATCGTGCCACTGCACTCCAGCCTGGGTGACAAGAGTGAGACTGTCTCAAAAAAAAAAAAAAAAAAAAAAAAAAAGGAAATGTTTATCCTCATTCATTTCATGTGATTCTAAAAGAATAATGGAAAAAATTCAAAACTATCATGAGAAAGGAAAAGAATGAAGATTATCTTAGCAAACTAGAAACAGAATTGACACTCCCTTAACTTCAAGATCCATACTATCAACCCATAACAGAAGGCCAGCGTAGGATAGACAAATTCAAAACTACAGAACAGGCCCATATGTGTTCAGTACTTTAGAATGTGACAGCAGTGGATTTTAGATGAGTGGAGGAATGATGAATGGACTCATCCTTACCTCACTTAACATACAAAAGTGAACTATAAGGAATTAAAGGAAACAAGCAAAAGCATTATAAGAAAACACAAAGAGAGAGTTTCAATATGGGATGACAGAAAAGTTCTGGAGATGGATGGTGGTGATGGCTGTACCACAATGTGAATGTGCTCAATGCTACTGAACTGTAAGCTTGAAACATGGCTAAAATGGTACATTGTATGTTATATATGTTTTACCACAATTCAAATTTTAAAAACAAAAAGGATTACTTTTATATTCTTGTGATAGGGCTAGCTTTCTTAAGGCATAAAACTTTGGAGCTATAAAGGAAAATATTTGAAGATTTTACTATATGAAACATTTAAATGGCTGTATGATCTAGAAATAAAAGTTAAAAGACTGACTGACATTCAATGAATGCTTCAATAGAAAGAAAAAAAAATATGAGCCACTGACAGGAATAACATATATGTAATTTGTGTAACAGATAAAGATTTAACATCTGAATATACAAAGCCACTATAATTCAAAGAGTATGACAAACATTTCATAAAAGACATAAAACTTCTTAAGTAATCAGGAAAATGCACATTAAAACAATTTCATTTTTCACCCAGATTAATAAAGTTAAAATTTTGATTTCCACAAAATATGAAACATATTTTCATCACCGTGGCTAGAATTGTAAAGTAGCAAAAACTTTTTGAAGGGCAGTTAGTGAGCAGCTGCCCAGATATTAGAGGTACACATCCTCTACTTATTCTCTGGCCTGGAGAAATGCTCCCAGAGGTACACAAGAATAAACAAGTGTTCACCAGAGCATTATTTAAAATATCAAAAACCAAAATAGAACCCAGCTATCTACCTAACAGAAGGTGGTGAAATACATCTTCATACATCTACTCAGTGAAATACTAGCCAGCCTCTGAAAAGACACAGACAGGGAAACGTGTCACGACATGATTTATAAAAAAAGGCAAGTTACAAAACAGTCCATACTCTGTAATCCCATATTTGTACAAAATAAATAAAATAACATACTTTGTGTAGAAAAAAAAATTTGAATGGATCCATATCAGGCTATTAACAGTGAACATCATCTCTAGGAGTAGCATCATGGGAAACTTTCCCTTTCTAAATTAATTATTTCTATAATGTTTGAATTATTTAAAATAAGCATAATCATTTTTATAATTGAAAAAATAAGAAATAAGATAAAATTAAAACATTTCCATCCCTCTGCAAAAAAAGGTAGCTATGATCCCAACGAATGTCAGGTGTTGACCTCTGTGCAGTATTTTCCCTAAAGAGGAAGAGACAGAAGAGCTTTTAGAATGGCTCAGGAACTATCACTGCACCTCCAGTTCACAAGCAGGTTGACATGGTGGAAAGGACAGGGAGACACAGGAAGGCCTTGGCTGTATAGCGGATACTGAAGGAAAGCACACTCAGTACTAGACTCAAACTGTTTTTTGGCTTAACTTCTAATCTTTGAGTGGCTCCTCAGATTACCATTTTAAGATTAGAAATATTTGACTTGAAAAGGTCACAGGGGAAATTAGATCAGCTAAGAGAAACTAATCATGACTTCCTGGGTGAGACCTATAAAAACCTAGCTGTGCCCTAAAAAGACAGCAATAAATGCTAAGATATGGGAAGGCACAGTGCTAGAAAGCCAATGTCAAAGAAAGAGTATTATACTTGGGGGCCGAGGCGGGAGGACCACTTAAACCTTGGAGTTCAAGGCCAGCTTGGGCAACATAGTGAGATATCTCTGTCTCCATGTCCTTAAAAACAAAGAAAGGGCCAGGAGCGGTGGCTCACACCTGTAATCCCAGCACTTTCAGAGGCCGAGACAAGTAGATCACTTGAGGTCAGGAGTACGAGGCCAGCCTGGTCAACACAGTGAAACCCTGTTGTAGCCGGGCATGGTGGCGGGCGCCTGTAATCCCAGTTACTTGGGAGGCTGAGGCAGGAGAATTGCTTGAACCGGGGAGGTGGAGGTTGCAGGGAGCCGAGATCACACCCCTGCACTCCAGCTTGGGCGATAGAGCAAGACTCCATCTCAAAAAATAAAAATAAAAACAAAGAAAGAGCATTAGCCAAGTAGCCTCTACTCATAACCTCTGAAGGATGAAACCAAGGATGAGAAAAAAATGAAACGAAAGGAAAAGTAAACAAAAACATTAAATACTAGACACTGCTACCCACTTGAACATATGTACTCTTCACAATATCAAGGGAGGGATGTAGAAGAGGAAGCTCAAAGATGTCCATGATTCGCTCAATATTATAAAGCCACAAACTCCAGAATACAGATTTGAATTTGAATCTGAATCTCGTCTGTCCAGTGCATGGGCAGCCCCTTCAATCAGCCAGTCAGCTGGTCTTAAACTTCCCAATAATGAAGCCCATGTCCTCAGTCCTTCCTGGCAGACTCACCTGTGAGCTGGAGGGCAGCACCTGGGAAGAGGACTCCTCGGATGGGGCTGCTCCTGAGCCCATAGGGCTCAGTGTAGTGATCCTGCTCGGCTGGCCACGAAGTGTCAGAGTAATGGTGGTGGGGACCTTCAAGCCTGAGATAAAGAGAGAGAAGCAGAATTTTTGAGTCACACTCTCCACCTTCTACTGAGGCTTTCCTTTCCTGGAGAGCTTCTCCCCCACATAACACAGTCCCTTGGCCTCCTCCCCAGCTGGGTCATCTATGCCCTATCAGTCAATCTGAAAGGCAACAGGAAACAGCCTGTGTTCTCTCAACCTCTCTGGGGGATGGGTCCACACAGCTGAATCCAAAGGTCAATGCCAGGACCCTGTGGGACTGGTTTCAACATCATACCTTGCCCACATGAGATGGGAAGGTCCTGGGGGAAAGATCCCAGATCTGGGAGTCCCCACAGTTCTCATGAGAGACTCACCTGATGCTTGGTTAGAGATCTGAGCCAGGCCAGGGAGGCTGCTTGCCAACTTAGCGAGGCCCCCATTGGTCAGCAGCTGGTGGATGGCTGTGGGCTTCCCACCAGGAGTGGCACCCAAGGAGGAGAGAGTGGTGGCCACAGGAATGGTACGGACAATGGTGCTGGTGCCCGTGGTGATGGCACCCAGGCTCTGCATGGGGGTGGGCAACTTCACACTGGTGGCCTGTGGGACACACAAGCCCAGGTGATCAGAAGCTGTCGCCCAACAGCAACATTCGAGCTTGGAGGGCCCACAGCATATTATTAAAGGCTAACATGTATTGAGTGCCTACTACATGCAAGGTACTCTTCCAGGCATTTTGCATATATTATTTCATTCTTATAACAACTCTATGAGGGAGGTACTATTATTACCTCATTTTATAGACAAAGAAACAAAAACAGAGTGGTCAAGAAACTTGCCCAAGGTCACACAGTAAATGATAGACCTTAACTTTTGTAAGTTCCCTGCTATGTAGCTAGAAGGCTGTTTGTCCTTGATCCACTGACTCCAGACCTAGTTTCCCTGCCAAAACCAACTAAGCTGAGGAGGCCTCCTCCCTACACCTGCCCAGCCCAGCAGATGGCAGATGTGCACCTGTGGGGCTGGTCCTGGGGAGGGATTTGCTGGAAGGCCAGAGGTCTTGCTGCTGATATCCTGCAAGCTGAAGCTGAGGCCTTGGAGGAGGCTGCTGGCTGATGTGGCCCCTAAGAGAGGACATAGCAGGAATCAGTAGAGACTCAATCACTTGCACTATCCCGAGAGCAGCCACATCCATCCACCCTCACCACCAACTAAAACACCAGTGGTGCTTGCCCTTGGACACCCGTCCTCAGAGAGAAGGCAGGAAGCTCTCCCCAACTAGGCACACACGCAATGGATGCCACACAGGAAAGGTACTGTGCCAGACACTGCCCCGGACTTGCTCTGCACCTGCTGCAAACCATCAGTCATACATTTTAGACCATTTTGAGAAATCCAAGTTTGTTCCTTTCTTTCCAGGGAAGAACTTTTTAAGCCAAAAGAATTATAAATATCCAACTTTCACTTCGCCTCACACAATCAAAGCAGTAAGGAAGTAGCCTCAAAGCAATAAGAAAGGTTCTCTTAAAGGAAAAGGGTTTATTTTATTTTATTTTTTTTTGAGACGGAGTTTCGCTCTCGTTGCCCAGGCTGGAGCGCAATGGCACAATCTCAGCTCACTGCAACCTCCACCTCCTGGGTTCAAGCGATTCTCCTGCCTCAGCCTACCAAGCAGCTGGGATTACAGGTGCCCACCACCACACCCGGCTAATTTTTTGTATTTTTAGTAGAAACGGGGTTTCACCATATTGGCCAGGCTGGTCTCAAACTCCTGACCTCAGGTGATCCACCCACCTCGGCCTCCCAAAGTGTTGGGATTACAGGTGTGAGTCACCATGCCTGGCCAGGAGAGGGTTTCTGCAATGCCTTGGCCCTGCTGGGCTCAGGCAACAGGCCTTTCAAAGTAGGGTTAGTGGGTAGGACAAAGAGAGAGACAAGCACAGACAGAAAAATGTCTCATTTTGCTAATGCCCAGTGTAGCACCATTTCCAGTTTTATTCAGGCAGATGTGCTTAAAACAGCAAAGTAAAACCACAGTCAGCTCTCAATTATCTGTGAGCTTCACAGCAGATTTGCAGATTCAAACAACCACGGATAGAAACCTGTGGATATAGAATTCCAACGGTATGACATAATTTCATATAAGGGACTTGAGCATCCATGGATTTTGGTAGTGGTGAGGGTCCTAGAACCAATCTCCTGTGGATAAGAAAGGCTGACTATACATATATGTCCTATCGGCTATTTCTCCTTACAGTAGAGGATACAGCACCTGTAGACTGGAACATTTACTCACTTGCAGACCAGGACATTTACTCACTGCATTTATTCAAGGCCAAGGAATCCCTCTGCCCAAGCTAATTCCAGCTTCACGTCAAGCCTCTATGATCACTCTAAGACCCAGAGGCCCATCCTATGGATTTAGCTCCAGGGATGCTTTCCCAGGACCACCCAGAAGCAGCAGACCAAAAATTCTGTGTTGGAAGGGGAGAATGCTGGGCCACAAGATACCTGGGAGGGAGCTGCCAGGAGATGTGGCCACCAGGCGGCTCTGCAGTGTGTGCAAGGCACTGGGTGCAGTGCTGCTGGAGACCACTGAAGGGACTGGGCTGGCTGAGACTCCACCTTCAGAAGAACTGGACCTGGAGACAAAGGAAGGAGCTCTGTTATCCAAAGGTCACAGGACAGCAAGCCCTAGCAACACTGGCAGGGTACAGAGTGGGGCCCAGCAAGGCTTTCAGCAGCAGACATACACCAAAAACCTTCAGCTTCTTTGTCCCACTTTCTGTACCTGGCCTCTAGTCTTCTAAAAGTCCTTACTTACAGGACTTATAGCAAAAGCCAGGGGACGATTTGGAGTCTTAAGTAAAAGTGAACTCTGGGTTGACTCAAAAGCAAGACAAAGATCCCAATCAGAAGTAAGTCACATTTCCAAAACTGACAAGAATCCAGAATCCATCATTTTCCAAAGCACTAAATAAACCAGAAACAGAGGGAAGGGAAAAAAGGAATAGACACAGATGGTCCAATAAACACTCACTTGGCTGTGGTGAGAAGTCCTGTGAGCTCCTTGGCCCCTGCTGAAGCCTGCCCCAGTGTCATGGTGATGGGCTTCCCACCTGCAGCTTCAAAACAGAAAACCCCAAGGCCCCTGGTCAGTCCTATTTGGCCTCTATGTTTCCAGGTTCCACAGCTTAGGCTAAATGCAAGATATTACGGACGAAAACTGGAAAATGAAAAAAGATGAACTATGCTAGAGTAGGGAGAGTTGGGGTTATTTTTTCCTTCTATTTTCTAAACTTCCTGAAATATTCTGTACCTTTAATTGAAGCCAACAAAAAAAGAACAAAATATAGGATGCTTTGAACGATGGCACAGCTTCCTCTCATATTCTGCCTGCCTGGTCCTCATTCAGATGGACTCATGCCAACTTTACCCACATGTACAGACTCATGTCTTCTTTGCTCCGGGCATCTCTCAAAATAAAGCAAAGGCTGACATGCTGGTGAATGGCCACCAAAGGGCAATGCTGTGTACCTGAGAGAGCTCAGTTCTCATTTAACGTACCAAGAGAAACTCACCTTCTGGAGCACTTCCTTGGGAAGGAGCACAAGGCCCTCCAGCTGTGTCCCCTTGGGAGATAAGGGACACCTTGATCTTCGGTCGTTTGGAGGTCTTACTGCCAGGAAGGGGACTCGAGGGATGGTGTCGCTTCAGCTGAACCCTAAGATCCTCTTTCTCTCCTTCCTCTGGTGGTTCTGATGAAATGGGAACTAAGACATGGAGCTGAGTTGAGATCCTCCACAATCCAAAAAATCCCAACAGACACTCAGTCAATACCAGCACCAACACAGCCATGTGTAGAATGTAGAACACACAGGATAACCACTCTACGTACAGGGCCACCCCTCAAAGGAGACTGCCCATGCTTCAGGACCACTTCACTCAGGCCCTGTCCGTGGGGGACCCCACTTTGCCCTTCTTAGAGGATGGCACCCTTCTCATCCCTCATCCTGCACTGGAATCGGAAGAGAAGGGGCCCTGAGTTGGTAGGAATTAAAAGACAGAAGACATCCTGACCCTGCCTAGCCAAGGCCAATGGCAACAACAACAAAAATAGAGGATTCAACAGAATGAGTAAACAGTCCTTCTCAGACTCAAAAAATGTGATCATCTTCCTGTCTGAAGCCCTCCCCACATCATCACACAGTTGGAGACATCAAACATTCTATGAGAACTCATGGAGGAGCAGGTCATCCAGTCCTCTCTAAAAAGTAGAGTTTTCCAAAGGCTCTCAAGAGTCCCACCCTGCCCTAAGAGCCCACAGTTGAGGATCCACTTGCCAAATGGAGGCAATGAAGAGGAGTGTCACCAGGACTAAAAGCTGGCTATGAGTAGCTACTAGGAGAGAGAGTACCTCAACCAGGCAACCTCACGGCTCCCACCCAAAAGTAACAGGGCAACACTGGCCCATGTCACAACCTAGTCCCCAGGTCATGTGTACTAGTACAGACAAAGGCCATCTGTTCACACATGGGCTTCCACTTCCACTGAATCAAACAGGCTCATCATGTATACAGCCAAGCTTTTTGGACTCTTAGGTTATCTTTCAAGCTTCCTCAAAGATTCCCTCCTCTTTAAACCCAGAAGTCCACCCTAGTCCTCTTGTAGCACAGGGAAGCAAAGACTGGTGTGGGGAGGAAGGTAGCAGTCACATGAGGAGGGAGGAGGGGTCCTGGCATGAGGCAACAGTCAGGACATAACCAGCTAGAAGGATTGCTTAGGGGACAAATGCACTGGCTAAAATCAGAGTAGGAAGGAGGGTGTAGGGGAAAGGAGTTTCAGGTTCTATGCTGATATGTGGCTGGTAGGCTTGTAGCCACCAGATAAACACAGGACAGGAGGCAGGGAGAAAAACACACAAGGAAACTGAGACTCAGGCAATGCCACAGACATACAAAAAAGCAGCAGAGCCAAGACCGTAGTGAAAGAAAGAACCACACTAAGAGACAAAAAAGAAAACACCATGAGAAGCAAACAAAAGAATGGAAAAAGGGCAAAGACTACAGAGTAAGCAAAAGGGGTCAGCAAAACAAAAGAATACAAAGAAAGAGAGAGAAAAGAACAGGAGGAAACCAAACTGAGGCAGATGAGAGGCAGAGATGGAAAATAAATAAGGGGTTGAGGAGCAGAATGTAGTGGACGAGCAGGCAAGAAAGAGTAATACTCACCAAAGAGACAGGAGGAGGTGCCAGGAGGAAGAGCTTTCCTCACCAGCATATTTTGTTTCAGAAAAGCAGCAAACTGTGCTGGAATGAATCAGAAAGAATTACAGAATCACAGCCAGCCAGAGAAGGGAGAAAAAGAGAGGGAATAAGAAAAAAGGTTGTAGAAAATGGCCAATAGGGGCTCCTTCTGAAATTACTGCATGGCAACCTGACTCTGCCACGGAGTCAGTCTGTAGAAGCATCTAAAACTGAATAGTACTATCTGCCTCATGGGGCCATGCCAAAACTCAACAAACTACAGCAATGCGAGTGCCATGAAGAAGGCATGGCACACAGCAAGGACTCCATATATGTTCGCTATTAGTATTCCCCGTTTGCCCATCAGCTCTGCTAAGCCAGGGTTCTAAAGCTGCTACTCTCCCCCATGACACCCTAGATCCCCATTTCAAACCCAGCTCGCCAATCAGCCTTCCAAACTCCTTAGATTCTCAACTAATCACCCTCTGCAGAAGCACAGCAGACCACCAGCTCTGTCTTCTTCAGAAGTGTAAAGACACACTGTCCACACGGGACTTGGCTCTGGCCACCACTCATGAAGATCCATGGCAGAGCATCCGCGCAGACCCTTGGGGCCTGGCCTCATTTCTCAACTCCTCCCATCCACTCACACTTCTACTCCTTGTTAGTACTACTCTTATAAGCAAACTCACAAGAGGTCTGGGTTTCGGTTCTGATCATTTGGCTCCACTAAAAGAAACACAGGGAAAGTAAACAGATGAGCCTCCTATCCCCTCCACGTCTGTCTGCCAGACAGCCAGCTCTGGCTGCTGCCTCTTCCCAGGCACCCCTATTCCTGAAAAGCTCAGGTGACATGCTCCTGGACACATCGTTAAACACCAATGCCCAAGAGGCCTTACCTCAAGGCCACCCAACTGGATCAATGTGGGGGAAGGGGGACAGAACCACTGTTTCTTCTTTCCCTACCCAATGAACTCTCCCTTTTCTATAGCTCCTTTCATAGCACTCGCAGCTCACCAAACTCTTACTTTCGACTATAGGAATACTTCCCAGCTTCATCTGAAACCTGTATGCAGAGAACCCTGATAAACTTCACTGAAAGTCTCAGTGTGAGAATCTTAACGCTTCAAGGGTCAAACAAAGAAAGGGCATGATGCCAGGTGAGTTACCCTAGAATCTGATTAATAAAATCAATCACCCAATACATATGATTGGAGAGCCCCGACTGGAGGAGTGGCTGGCAAGGTAGAAAAAAGTTTAGGCCAATATACATGTTCATAAAGCCTAGCCTCCCCAGAACAGCAAGACAAAGCTATAACTAGTGATCACAAAGCCCCACTAACTCAGAGGCCTTGGCATTCATTTCAATAATTAATTTTGAATTTTGCCTGCACAGAAATGTGAGAAAGGGCGCCTCTCACATCCCCCTGAAAAAAGCCATAGATATCAATACTGTGCAACTGCCATGTGACATGAACTACAGAAGACAGACCCAAGAGGAGCCACTGGCCAAGTGCCTATACCTTGAGCTTGTTTGTGGGTCAGCACAGCTTCTGTCCGCTGCACATGTCTCTTCAGCAGCTGAGAACTTCCAATCTGACTGGACTTCTGGGCAGAGGTCACTGTGGTCACTTTGGTCTTGGGACTGGAGGTGGGGCTGCTGGACACACTGGAGAGATCCTGAGTAAGGTGAGAAGGTCAAGAGATGAGACAATGTTACTAGGATCTGACCATGAGTCAGCATGTCCCTCTGGAATTCCCCTTGTAGGAACTCACAGGCCCATGGCACTAATAAGACAGAGGCATCCCCAGGAAATTAAGGAACCAACTCTGTGGTGCTGATTCCCCAGCAAAAGCGCTCCCTCCCTGCTCACACTACCTCTGAGCCTGAGGGTGAGGCGGGCAGCTTGGCAGCTGGGGAGGCAGGTCGACTGCCCCGCTCAGGGACTTCAAAGGCCAAGTCTCTGCGGGCCACATCGCGGGGCTTCTTCTTCTTCTCAGCATCCTGATCCCGAGGTTCAGAGCCCATGTGACCCTCAGCACGAGTGAGCACTCCAGTCAGAAAGTCCACAATCTCATCCTAGTGTAGAGAGGAGCCAACCAAGGCCTTTTAGTCCTCATCTGGAGAATGGGAACCTCTCATATACTTTCCAACTAAAACAGATTCTCCCTCAGCTCTGGCATCCGCATGTGCCAGTCCTTCCCCACTCAAACAAGGTCTGGCGCAAATCCCAGGCTTCTGAGCAACTGTGGTTCAAGAAGACCAGCAAGTGCCTCTGTCAGGGGGAGCTCTGGGGTGGTCACATTCCACCACTTTTCCAACACTCTCCCCCGTGATGCTTTGCTTACATTAATTCACCACTCTCATTTTTCTTTTCTTTGCTTATGACTGAGACCTACCAGAGGCCCCAGTGGAGGCCTTAGAGCCAAAGAGACCACTACCAATAAGACCAAACCTAAAAGGCTACAGAAAGGCAAGCCTAGCTGAGAAAAGCACACAAAACAACTGTTTACCTGAATACATCTGTCCACCATGCTCTGAGTCAACCCTTCTGATTTCTTCTTTGCTTTGCTTATTCTAAGAAACAAAAAGGATGACATGTTTACTTCTTACACATTGCACGGCATCCTATGAAAATAAGAACGTATTTCTTTTCTGGGTTGTTTATTTTCTAGCCCCAGAAGGAGGGCCATGTTAGCCTTAGGCAGGTAATGCAACCTCTCCGAACCTGTTTCCGTGTCTGCAAAATGGGGAATCATAACATCCCATTCATGGAGTTGTGGGGATTAAACAAAATAACATATGTAAAGAAACCAAGCACAGTGCCCAGGACAGTCCGCTCCAGAATTCCTATACCTATAGCTTAATAGATCAACTCTATCCAGAACTCAGGAGGCGGAGGTTGCAGTGAGCTGAGATTGCACCACTGCAGTCCAGCATAGGCGACAGAGCCAGGCGCCACCTCAAAAAAAAAAAAAAAAAAAAAAAAAAAAAAGCTCAAGGTCGTGAAAGACAAAGATGGAGGAACTCTATCAAATTAAAGGAGACTGAGGAGACATGGCAACTAAATCCAAGTGTGATCCTGGGCTGGATGCTGGACCAGAAAAATGACATTAGGGAAACAACTGATGAAACATGAGTCTGTAAATTACAGTATCATGTAGATGTTAATTTCTTGATTTTGAGAATTACACTTTGGCTATGTAAGATGTTTAACATTTAGAAAATCAGGTGAAGGGTATATAGGAATTGTTTTGTACTAGTGTTATAACTTTTTATAAATCTGAAATTTCAAATATTAAAAAAGGTTTTTTTAATGCTGTCTTTTTTTAATTTTTTTTTTTTTTTGAGACAGAGTCTTGCTCTGTCACCCAGGCTGGAGTGCAGTGGCGGGATCTCGGCTCACTGCAAGCTCCGCCTTCTGGGTTCACACCATTCTCCTGCCTCAGCCTCCCGAGTAGCTGGGACTACAGGCGCCCGACACCAGGCCTGGCTAATTTTTTGTATTTTTAGTAGAGACGGGGTTTCACCGTGTTAGCCAGGATGGTCTCAATCTCCTGACCTCGTGATCCGCCTGCCTCAGCCTCCCAAAGTCCTGGGATTACAGGCGTGAGCCACCGCGCCCGGCTAATGCTGTCTTTTAACTGAACCAGACTGGTCTGTAGTTACATTGCCAGCTTCCAGGCTTATCTCTAACACTGTAACACAGCTCTCTTGCAGCTCTGGGAGAATCCACCCACCTGAGATTGTCATCAGCTCCCCCAACCACCACCAAGCTGTTCTCAGCTCGAATCTTCTCCCGGAAGTCCTCCATGGCTTCAGGGTGACATTGAAGGGAATTCTGACCAATGACAAAGAGGACTGGAGTCTTCATATCCAAGAGGGGATCATCTACATCCTAAAACAGGTATAGGTTTTAGAATCGGCTTCTTCATATTCACAAAGCACTGACCCAGAAACTCCACTAAGGAGGATCAGCCATGCAACTGCAGTCAGCCTCAGCATCAGCTTGGACAAGGCATGCACACTCGCGCTCCCACTGCCAATGACCCAGCACTCAGCTTTACCACATTCTTACCCCTCTGGGGCCATCCACAGTAAGCAGAGGAAACCCAAGGCAGACAACTGCAGTGACATACTCCATTACTGACACCTGTAAATAACAGAACAGTTTGTCTAAACGTCAACTGAGTTCATGGCACCTCAGCCTACCCAGAATCCAGGAGTGGTCCAGACCCACCAGACAGTCTCACCTCTTCCTCTCCTGTCCTAATATCCGGGTGCATCTTCTGCCACAATGGCAGCAGTAAGAGCACAAGACACAAGGTATGTCATTCCATAAGCAGCCACTACCTAGAGAACTGGGGCCCTAAGAGGACCCCAGCAGGTGGCTGAACCATAGGATAGAAGGTTCAGTATTCCTACCCTGTCAACCCCCTCAACTAGAGCCCTCCTGCTCCATTTTTCTCCACAAATAGTAAATATAGTCAAGAGAACACAATGTTGCCATTAACCCTTAAGTGAAAAAAAATTCTCTCTATTGAACTTAATGGATAGCTACCAGACAGCCTAGATTTCTTGGAGCAAACTGCTAAGGCCTAACACCCTGGGAGCAGGGACTATGGGGACCTTCTTCCTCTCATAGCTATCACACTTGATTGGACTGCATGAAGCAAAATTAAGGGTTTGGACATGAGGGACACTTACACAAACTGACAGACATACAAATATATGTAAAATACGAAAAGATTCCTTGATGTCTTGGAAAAAGACTGAAATGAACACAGCATCAAATTCCAGAGCTATTAATATTTGCCAGCTACAATTACTGTTGTTTTTTAGGTGGGAGAACAGTATGGTACTTATGTTTAGAGAAAAAAAGGGATCTTTTTTTTTTTTCCACAGATATATACCCATATGTGTGTGTGTGTGTGTGTGTGTGTGTGTGTGTGTATGTGAAAATGCTATTATATTTGGGATTTTCTTCAAAACAATCTAGGGGAGAAAGAAAATGAGCAGGGTGAGATGAAACAAGCCCAGCCAAGAGTTGATCACTGGTAAAGCTGGGTGAGGATCCGGGGGTTTATTATACTACACCTGCTTTTGTTTCTGCTTAAAGTTTTCCAAAATAAATTAAAAATTGTTTTAATAAAATTTGTCTTCTACAGTTTAAAATGTAATTATATAGGTAAAGTATCTAGCGCAGAGCCTGACACACAGTAAAGGACTCAATGGTAGCTATGATTAGTGGTATTCCATCCCAGGACAACCTCCAAATAAGATAGAAATTACTTACATGACAGGCCACCAAAGCTCCTGTGTTCCAGCCAATCAAGATAATGGGTTTGTGTGGGAAATGGCTGTGAATCTTCATGGGAAGAGAAAGAAGACAGTAAGACAGGAGGCCAAAGATAGGTGCAGAACAACCCCAGAATGCTGGGTATGCCACAATGTACTGAAATACGGGCATTCTCACCTCCAGCACTTTGCTTCTCACTGCCCCAATCATATGCTCGAGACACTGTAGAACTCCTACCCCACTGCCATTGTTCAGCAGATGGGTGGCTACAGGGATGACCTGAAGGAAAGAAGTAGCCCCCACACCAGCAGAGGTAAGTTTCAAATCTTTCAATTCTGTTTAACCTAACCTAAACCCAAAACCTTGGAATTCCACATGAAAGAAGGATTAGAGGAGGCTCCACATGAAAGAAGGGTTAGAGGAGGCTCCACATTCAAGTTACCCATTTTGACCTCCTCCCACATATTCTTCTCCTCAATCCTCCAAGACTATATTCCCTGCCAGGAAGGAGTTCCTCTTGCCCCCACACATACCTTGCCCAAGCAGGACAGCTGAGATTGCCAGAAGCGGTGGCGGCGTGAAGTGGGAAACACAGAGCTGGAGGGACCAGAGGAGGCGATGAGAATCAGCGGAGAGCCAGGGAGTTTGCTCTAAAGAGGAAGAATCCCACCCAAAAACCAGTGAGTGAGAAGTGTCCTTTCATGAAATTCCAAGTATCCCAATACCTTTCTCATCCCAACCAATGCTCCTTTGCTTGTGAAATTATGTTAAGCACTATGTAAAATAAATTATTAATAATAGTTAAAGAAGCTGGCCAGTCATGCTGGCTCACACCTGCAATCCCAGCACTTTGGGAGGCCAAGGCAAGTGGATCACCTGAGATTAGGAGTTTGAGACCAGCCTGGCCAACATGGTGAAATCCTGTCACTACTGAAAATTAGCTGGGCATGGTGGTGCATGCCTGTAATCTCAGCTCCTCAGGAGTCTGAGGCAGGAGAATTGCCTGAACCCAGGAGGTGGAGGTTGCAGTAAGCTGAGATCGTGCCACTGCACTCTAGCCTGGGTAACAGAGCAAGATTCTGTCTCAAAAAATAATAATAATAATAAATAGTTAAAGAAGCCATTTATCCTCCTGCCAAGGTTCTAAGGCTTGAGTCTAAAATTTTTATGTACCATTGTTAAGTCCTGAGCCATCCAACTTACTGGTTTGTTATGAGAAAGCACACCCACAGCAGGGTCCCAGGGCCTCTTCAGTAGGAGAGACAAGGCCTCAGCTCCTGCAGCCCCAGTCTTTGTGTTGGATGACACAAGCATCCGGTCAATCAAGGTTGGGATCTACAAAGAAGAAAGAGCAAAGATGACTCCAGTGTAAAGCAGGAGACCTTCCACCACCAGCAATCAAGCAGAAGAACAGAGCCCCACTATAAGCCATAGACAGACTTCAACTAAGCCTCTGAAAACCTCCTAAGGATCAAGAATATATATAAATAAGCGGGTGAAAAGTATGCTCCCACCATGAAAAGTGAATGTGTACAATCCTTTGGAAAGCAGTCTGGATATGCAGCAAGGGACTTAAATGTATTCCCATCCCTTTTCCAAATGTTTCTACTTCTGAGAACCTTTCCAAAGAAAACGTATCAGAAACAAAAACACACACAAAAGGATGGGGACAATTATGCACAGAGACAAATTAACTATGAATAATAATAAAGTAAAAACAATTTAATATATATGTGCATATGTAAGGGAGTAGTTTAGTCAACTATCTACCTAATTGGATATTAAAGATTATTTTCGAATATTTACAAGAATTTATTTATTTATTGAGACAAAGTCTCGCTCTGTCGCCCAGGCTAGAGTGCAGTGGCCTGATCTTGGCTCACTGCCACCTCTGCCTCCCGGGTTCAAGCGATTTCTTGTTTCTCAGCCTCCCAAGTAGCTGAGATTACAGGCGTGCACCACCATACCCAGCTAATTTTTTGTATTTCTAGTAGAGATGGAGTTTCACCATATTGGTCAGGATGGTCTTGAACTCCTGACCTCAAATGATCCACCCGCCTCAGCCTCCTCAAGTGCTGGGATTAAAGGCATCAGCCACTGCACCCAGCTTTCAAATATTTACAAGGATATATAATAACACACAGAAATAATTTTGCTAAAATGTTACAGGTAAAATAGAAAATATAAAGATTATCTCTACTCAAAGCTGGGCTCAGCGACTCATGCCTGTAATCCCAGCACTTTGAGAAGCCAAGGTGGGCAGATCACTTGAGGTCAGGAGTTCGAGATAAGCCTGGCCAACATGGTGAAACCCTGTCTCCACTAAAAATACAAAAATTAGCCAGGTGTGGTGGCGCACACCAGTAATCCCAGCTACTTGGGAAGCTGAGGTCCGAGAATCACCTGAACCCGGGAGGTGGAGGTTGTGGTGAGCCAAGGTCATGACACTGCACTCCAGCCTAGGCAACAGAGTGAGACTCTTCTCAAAAAAAAGAAAAAAAAAAAAAAGAAAGAAAGAAAAAAAGAAAAAAATTATCTCTACTCCCCTAATGCTAAATGACGAGTTAATGGGTGCAGCACACCAACATGGCACACGTATACATATGTAACAAACCTGCACGTTGTGCACATGTACCCTAAAACTTAAAGTATAATAATAAAATTAAAAAAATAAAAAAAGATACATTAAGTGGGATAAAACAGATTTCTAAACAATGAATATAATAGAATCATATTTTAAAGAAAATATGCTGCACACCTGTAGTCCCAGCTACTCAGGAAGCTGAGACACGAGAATCGCTTGAACCCAGGAGGCAGAGGTTGCAGTGAGCCAAGAGTGTGCCACCGCACTCCAGCCTGGGAAACAGAGGGAGACTGTCTCAAAAAAAAAAAAAAAAAAAAAAAGACAAAATGTTAATAATGATCTCTATGGAGTTTATGGGTGACTTTTTCCTTTACAGATTTCTATGTTCCCTAAATTTCCTCAATGAGTATCAGTTGATTTTATAATATTTTTAAATCTCCATTTTCTTCTAGAGTACTGCCTTCAAGCTGTGGTGTACTAAATAAATCTGTTATTATGTACAAAAATATATATCCTGCTATACTATATACAGTGTACTTTATCTCATGTCTGTTTTTTACTATCTACCAGAAATGTGACATTACAGATGTGCAAATATAGGTTTCAGACATGTTGATGCTTACACTGAGAAGAAATATCTGCGAATTCCATGCTACCCACAAAAGGTCAAAATGACCTAGGGGAAAGGAAAAATGTTTAAATATTAGAGGCAGTTTTCAGAGAAAGAAAAAGGTTTTGAAAAATTGGAGAATAAAAAGTACTACGGTTTGATGCAAGTTGTAAAACTCCAAAAATAGCAGAAGATAAGTTGCTCTTAATTTAAAAACAGGGACACTAAAAGGATTTCTGTATGAGAAATTAGAGAATTATAACCATTAGACTTTCTCAGTTTAACTCAGGAAAGAAATATTCGTGCAACTGCTTTTACAAGGTACCAGGCTAGTACTGCAGAGGAATTTAATCTACAAGAGGTAAGGAAGACAAACACACAAATAATGGTGGGGGACAGGAATAGGGAAAGACCGATAACTGCCATGAAAGAAACAGAAGCCCAAACTGCTATGATTCAAACCACCCAATGGAGAAGAAGTTAAGAGGCAATTTTCATCTAAAGATACAGCATGTGAAATGAGACAGGCTCTTTGGAACAGGCAGGATTCCAACAGAAGATGAGAGAAAAGCCTTCCCATCAGAGACACCAGCAAGAGGCAAGAATGTGTAGAGCTTATTCCAGGCACAGATGGACAAAAGTCAAGGATGCAAGTAAGGAAGGAGGAGGATGTAAAAAGCCAGTAGGAAGGATAGGACCAAACCGCAAAGGATAAGACCAAACTGCAAAGGATCTTCATGTTCTTTGTAACTCACTCTAGAACTGTGAGCCACTCAACACTTTGAGGCAAAGGATGTGACCCTGGGTTAAGCTTTATCTAACAGTAGTATATAGCTTTGAAACCAAAAAGCCTTGACACTTGCTTCCTGTCAACAAGGGATAAAAAATCAATACTGACTTTTCCACTTGGAGCTGGGAAGACCAAGCTTCCCTGGCCCTTCCAGCATTGCATTCACTCTCAACAGCCAATTAAAAGGCTAAGGTCTATACCTTCTCTGCCCTCTTTATCATAATGGATCTAATAGTGAAAGTAGCTGGGTGAAGAGCATGATCCCATCCACCTGCGCTTTCACATCCAGCAGGCACTTTAAAAGTAAAACAATCCTATAATCATTTATATCCTTTGGGAAACAACCAAAGTATTTGTTGTGAATCTAAATATAGTCATGGGAAAATAAGAGTCCGATGGCAGAGGAACCACTGCGGAGAGCACAGCCCAGAGAGGATGTTGCCTTGAGTCTGAGGCCCTTGCTGACTGGTGTACCAGCGAGCCTTCCACTATTCCAGTCAACCCACACCGTGGCCCAGCAGCATGGGAGGAAAACACCCAACTATGCATGCTATGGAGTCCCCCCAGTGGTCTGCCATGCTCATAATATCCGACATGCACCCAGGAGATGTCCAGTCAGTAACTTAAATAGGGCAGCAGTACAAATTCCTCCTTAAAGGGAAATTATGCTAGCCACAGTGAGTGAAGCAGGGTCACCAGAGAACTGAGACCCTGGCCACTACCAACACTCATCTCCTACAGTGTATTCACCAATGTTACACTTTTACCGTAGGTAGAATGCTGAGGAGAACATATGTGAAGATGCCTACGATACTTCTGGGCCACCACTCTCTGTCTGCCAGGATCCAGTCTGGGCCCCACACTCTACCTGCCCACCACTCACCTCCCGGGTCCAGGGTTTCTACTACAGGGGAGCAGTACAGGGGAAAGTCTGGGACTCCCTTTTCATTTGTCTCTTTCTTCACTAGAAAATACACTCCACCAGAGAAGGGACCAGTTTTGTTTTGCTCACCCCAGTACCTGACACACGTAGGGCCCAAAATAAGTATTAGTTAAACAAAAAAACTAGTGTCAAATTTCCTACCATGAATATCATTAATGTATCTAGTCCTGAGTTTTATTTCAGCACTAAACCAGTCTTCTAACAAACTTGGCACCCTTTAACTTAAAAACACATAAGAAACAATGAGTCTGCAAGTTTTGGGGATGTGGCTGAGGGAACGTGTTGGCCAGGCAACTTACAGCAGCAAGATGAGCCAGCTTCCTGTGAAGCAGAAAGTAAAACTATTAAAAAAAAAAAAAAAAGTGTCAAAAACTGAATCATGCTTATGCCTGTAATCCCAGCAATTTGGGAGGACAAGATGGGAGGACTGCTTGAGGCCAGGAATTCAAGACGAGCCTATAGCAAGACCGTCTCTACAAAAAAATTAAAAATTTAGCTGGGTGTGGCAGGGCACGGCAGCTCACGCCTGTAATCCCAGCACTTTGGGAGGCCGAGGCGGGCGGATCACGAGGTCAGGAGATCGAGACATGGTGAAACCCTATCTCTACTAAAAATACAAAAAAAATTAGCTGGGCGGGGTGGCACACGCCTGTAGTCTCAGCTACTCAGGAGGCTGAGGCAGAATTGCTTCAACCCAGGAGGCAGAAGTTGCAGTGAGCCGAGATCGTGCCACTGCATTCCAGCCTGGGCGACAGAGTGAGACTTTGTCTCAAAAAAAAAAAAAAAAAAAATTTCTTTGCTGGGTGTGGTGGTAGCACACACCTCTAGTCCCAGTACTTGGGAGGCTGAGGCAGACGGATTGCTTGAGCCCAGGAGTTCGAAGTTATAGCAAGCAATGATAGTGCCACTGCACTCCAGCCTGAGTGAGAGAGGAAGATCCTGTCTCCAAAGAAAAAAAAAAAAGGCCTCAGACAACTTGGATTGATTTGGTTCTTTCTCTTCTCTCTCTCTCTCTTTCTTAGAGACAGGGACTCCCTCTGTCACCCAGGCTGGAGTGCAGTGGTGGGACTGAACTCACTACAGCCTCCTCCCACCAGCCTCCTAACTAGCTGGGACTACAGACGTGTGCCACCATGCCTGGCTAATTATTTTATTTTTAGTAGAGACAAGGTCTTGCTATGTTGCTCAGGCTGGTCTCAAACTCCTGAGCTAAAGCGATCCTCCTGCCTCAGCCTCCCGAAGTGCTAGGATAATAGGCATGAGCTACTATGCCCGGCCGTGAGGCCATTTTGTATTGGAGCAAAACACCCCAAATATTTCAAGAACCTATGAGGGTACTACTTAAATAACTGTTAATATTAGTAATAATAATTACTGTGGGCTCACTGCTTACTATGTGCCCAATTTTGTGTTAAGCCCCCTACCTGAATTAACTAATTTAATTTTCATAAAAATCCTAGATAGCTATTATTATCAGCCACATTTTAGAGATGAGACACCAGTCCAAGCTTACACAGCTAATCAGTAACAAAGCTGAGATCAGCCAGGCAATCTGCCTCCAGCATCCGCATTCTACCACATTGACGATAGCCTGATGCAATCACTGGAATCACCAAGAAAAACAGTTTAACTTTGTGCAATACTAAGTAAGAAAGCAGGGAACTATAATGATATGTTTGTACTGAATTATAAAAGTCTAAGTGTTGCTACTAAAGGCTCATGCCCTGGGGAGCAGAATTGAAGGCATCACGGCACGTTCCTGCTCTGCAATCTCCCAGTGCTCCGAGCACCAAGGGTCTGCTTCTGTCACCTTTCTCAACAAACTCTTCCCTGGTAAACCCTTCGTCTCCTTCATGATAATTCAATTCAGCCATGACTCAAACCACAAGCTGCAAGGCTAGGAAGGCTAAATGTATACTCTGGTTTTCAGGCCCCATACCTCATCCTGGAGCCAGCAGGGCTGAAAACGTTTACACCAGACACAAATGTGAAATGATACCCTGTCTCCCAATTTTAGTACCAAACCCATTAGTTTTGGCCATGCACTCCAGACCGACCAGATAATTACTTTGCCTAACCCCACATCCTGAACCCACAGGGGAGGATGGCTATCCCTAGGACAGGGCAGACCCCAATCACAGCCTTACCTTCCCCTTCAGCGTCTGCAAAGCATCCAGGTAGGCTGCCAGCATGGGCAGACTCAAGGTCTCCACAAGGGTGGTGTGCAGCCACTGGATCAGCTTGGTATCCCAGCTCACACTTGCCAGAGCCTGCCGCACTCTCCTTGCACACTTGTCCACAGCAACACGGCGCAGCACTGGCTCATTACAAGCCTGAAGGATGTAAGTGGAAGTAATAAAACATGAGGACTACCTGGTTAACAAGCAGGGGGACAAGTCAGTCAGCCAGTGAGGCCTGAACTACGAAGAGCCCACTGTGGGCGGATTGCTGGTGTCTTACCCCTTCGTTGGCCAAGCGGGCAAGCCGGTCAGACTGCAGGGCTTTGAGGATCTTGTTGAATAGCTTGTTCTGGGCCATTGTCCAGCCAGTCCTATAAGGGAAACTCTGAGGAATTATAGTCAAACCCTGGGGACGCTCCCCATGTATGTACACCATATAAAGAAGATTATGCCATAGTTTTATGTCTCTGCTAGGGAACAGTAAAACGAAGTAGCTTAGTCTAAGACCACTGACCTAAAACACAAGACCTAGATTCTTCTGGTCTCAATCCTACCAAATCAAATCGTCACAGCACACACTTGTATTAATAATACACACATACACACAATAATATACACAGTACAAGTCAAGACTAGTCATGAAAAAAGTCTTTCAGGCTAGCAAAGCTAATTACTTACTTAGTAGCTAAAATTATTCCAATCATAAATAAACGCACAGCACCACTGAACAGACGACATATTTGAATTTCATAAGTTTTATATTTCACACAAAAAGGCAGACAGGATCAGCAAGCATTTTAATGTACTAAAATCTCAGACTGAGGTAAGAATTCTATTTAAACTAGGCTTAAGAACAAAAATATAGCAGAAATATAACCAATAAAGAGGCTATTCTTCCACTCCTCAATATTCTACCCCACACTAATCTCTCTTTTCCATATATATTTTTTGTATTTTTTCTATATGCCACACAATTAGCAAATTTATTTTTGAGAGGCCTGCTCCATATAAGCTAATATGTTATCATCCCAGCATACGGCACTGGTATTCACACATCTACCTTATTGCTTATTGCTTACCTATTACTTACTGAGGCTTTGTGTGTTGCAGACATCTATCCTACTGTTCTTATCTCCACCTCATCACACCCAGTTTAGTGATATGGAGCTTATTATTGTCCCCCTTCACCCCACTCCCAGCAATCTTAATTACTCAGATGCTCTAACTCTGGCTAGTGACCTTCCTAAAGATACCAAAAGAAAGGCAATTGAAGATGCTCTATTAATATGTGTTTTCCTATTCTCCCTGCCTTAAAAAAAAGCTGATGGTGGCCAGGCGCAGTGCTTCACGCCTATAATCCCAGCACTTTGGGAGGCCAAGTGGAGTGGATCGCTTGAGTCCAGGAATTCAAGACCAGTCTGTGCAAATGGCAAAACCCCATCTCTAAAAAAAATACAAAAATTAGCTGGGCATGGTGGTGCGTGCCTGTAGCCCCAGCTACTCGGGAGCCTGAGGTGGGAGAATCGCTTGAGCCCAGGAGGTTGAGGCTGCAGTGAGCCGTGATCATGCCACTGCACTCAAAGCTTCAGTGACAGTGAGGCCTTGTCTCAAAAAAAATAAAAATAAAAATAAAAAATTACCTGGGTGCTACACCCAAATGAGACCCTGGAATGGGATCAAGGTAGCATTTCAAATCAGTCTGGATAAAGTCCCTAAATGTAGGGCTGAGACAACCACAACTGGAAAAAGAAAATCTGATCCCTACATATCATTCTACATCAAATTTCAGATGGAAGAAAAAGAAGACATAAAAGGAAGAAAGAGAAATGTAACTACATAAAAATTTCAAACTTTGGCCAGGAGTCTGTAATCCCAGCACTTTGGGAGGCCAAGGTGGGTGGATCACGAGATCAGGAGTTCAAGACCAGCCTGGCCAATATGGTGAAACCCCATCTCTACTAAAAATACAAAAATTAGCTGGGCGTGGTGGCATGCGCCTGTAGTCCCAGCTACTCCGGAGGCTGAGGCAGAAGAAGCACTTGAATCCAGGAGGCAGAGGTTGCAGTGAGCCGAGATTGCGCCACTGCACTCCAGCCTGGGTGACAGAGTGAGACTCTGTCTTGAAAAAAAAAAAAAAATTCAAACTTTAAGCCAGGCGTGGTAGCATGTGCCTGTAGTTCCAGATACTTGGGAGGCTGAGGCAGGAGGAGTCCAGAAGTTCAAGTCCAGCCAGGGCAACATGTCTCTCAAAAAATAAAAAACAAAAAAAATTTAAAAAGTATAAACAAGGTCAAAACACAATGGGAAAATGACTGCCATTTCATTAAAATAGAAAGAGGCTCTAGAAAATTAATAAGAAAAAGATGAAATACTCAAAGGTCAAAGAACACAAAAAGGCAGGTCACAAAAGAAGTAAAGTCAACTCTACTTCAAAATTAAACAGGCTGGGCGTGGTGGCTCACGCCTGTAATCCCTGCACTTCAGGAGGCCAAGGCAGGCGGATCACAAGGTCAGGAGTTCGAGACCAGCCTGGCCAACACAGTGAAACCCTGTCTCTACTAAAAATACAAAACTTAGCCGGGTGTGGTGGCACACGCCTGTAGTCCCAGCTACTTGGGAGGCCGAGGCAAAAGAATTGCTTGAACCTGGGAGGCGGAGGTTGCAGTGAGCTGAGACAGTGCCATTGCACTCCAGCCTGGGCAACAGAGAGAGACTCCAGCTCAAAAAAAAAAAAAAAATTAAACAAATGCAGCCAGGCAAAGTGGCTCACGCCTATAATCCCAGCACTTTGGGAGGCTGAGGCAGGAGGACAGCTTGGGCTCAGGAGTTTGAGACCAGCTTGGGCAACAAAGTGAGACCTTGTCTACTGAAAATCAAAAAATTAGCCAGGCATAGTGGCAGGTGCCCAAAGTTCCAGCTATTCAGGAGGCTGAGGCTGGAGGATGGCTTGAGTCTAGGATATCAAGGCTGTAGTGAGGTATGATCATGCCACGGGGCGACAGAACAAGACCTCGTCTCAAAAAAAAAAAAAAGAACCAACAAATGCAAATTAATAAAGTATTATTTTTCACCTATCAAATGGGTAAAAATTAAGAATTTAATAATTCTCTGTTGTTGTGAGGGTACAAAAGAACTCTCTCTGTATTCTGTTGATGGAAATATAAATTAGTACAACCTTTTGGAAAAGCCAATTTGGAAAAATTAATTGAAAAACCTAAGTCAGATCATGTCACTCCTTTGCTCAAAGTCCTTCAGTGGCCCCAGTTCAATCAGCTAAAAGCCAAAGTCCTTGCAATGGGCTGCATGGACTCCATGTCTTTCAGATCTTATCATCCATGACTGATCCTCACTTACTTCAGTCACGCCGCCTTCCCTCACAGCACCCTCTACTCCCCTGCCCTTGCACACACAACAGGCATGCTCCTGCATCACAGACCAGGGCCCTGCCCTTCATTACGCCAACCTGAAACAATGGCTCCCTCTCTCATCTCCTTCAGGTTGTTGCTCAAATGTCACCTTCTGCTGAGGCTTGCTCTGACCTATCCCTATTTAACACTGTAACCCTCCAGTCTTACCCTAGGATTCACTAAACTGCTTTCCAGCCATACCACTACCTCATATTCTATCCATGCTATTTATTTGTTTAGTTTGTTTCTCTCTGCCAGGGTGTAAAAGGCCAAGATGGCCAGGACTTTTGCTAGTTTTAAGTGCTATATCCCCAGCACATAAAACAGAGCCTCACAAATACTGGGGAATTAAACATCTGCTGAATAAATAAATGGATGAATTGTGTGCACACTGCATTCTAAGTTCTGTAAACAGCCAGGTCCCTATCCAAACCCTCAGACTCCATACCATATTAATGCGGAGGAGCAAAGAGGAACACAGGCACATGATTTATGTCTTTCGCCATACCAAGACAGTCAAACTGCAAGAATGCTGCTTGAAACATCAACAATCTCAATTTCTCTGGCTTCGTAAGAGACCAGCATCCTTTCCATCATATCCCACCCCACAAGATACTCTAATTTCTACAGGTCATTGTTCTAGGAACACCAACAGTATGGCCCAGTGAGTATGCAGATGGAGGACAAATTACCCTTTGTTATTCACTTTGTACAACTATCTAAATGTCCCTGGATAGAGCAAATACCCTCTAGAAAGGAGGAAAACAATGGTCCAACTCCTTTTCCTTCTGTAAAATAAAATCTCCACCTACCACATCTCCAGTTTTACAACTTAACCACAGTTACAGGATCCAGGAGAACCCTACCTAGGGACAAGGGTTCTATCCCACCCTCTAATAAAGAGCTATGTGCCCTGAGTCTTCTTGTCCATAAAATAGATACAGCTAGATTACCTCTAAGTTCCTTCTAACAATAAAAAAAAATTCAGGTTAGCTATGATTACTGACAGCAGCAAAAGTTGAGAGCAGTCGAAATCCGAGATTAGAGAAACAAAATGGGATGACTGTCTTCTTCAGAAGCGCCCTCCATCTTCAGAAGCTTTCCTTGCTAGAGCTAAATCCCCTCTTAACTGCCAAAGCCACCCATCCTTTTGTAACCCCCTTTTGGGGGTACTAGAAGCAGTCTGAGGTTTCTTGGAATTGTCCTGTTTCTTATTCCTCCCTAGTTATCTTGGCTTAATCTCTGCTACTTCATCAGGATCCAGTTTTTGTGGTTTGATATTCAGAGATTCTGGACTTCAAAGCTGAAGGGATGAAAGCCTCAACTCAATGTTGGGACTCAGGATGCCTTGGAACTGGGAAGGTTTGTTGAGACCGGAAGCTCCAGCCCCACTGGTTCATTATCCTGTTTTCTGTCCATTACTTAGATGCACAGCAGACTCACAAGAGTAGTAGCTCTCTTATGTACAGTGATTCTCAGGTGGGCTTGAGAATTTGATGGTGGTAGGAGGAGACAGAGGATGCTTACAAGTCATTTGAAAAAGCTCTCTGGAAACATGGATATATCTCCATGTTAATACACCTCTTTGTTTTCAAAGGCTAAGTAAGTTCTACCTTATTTGTGGACATTTAGGTTGTGCATTTTTTATTGCAATTTATAAGCCACTGCAGTGACCACCCCTCCCTTCCTCAAATATATACATACATATCTATCTATATTTTATTATTAATTCTTCTTGTTGTTGAGACAGTCTTGCTCTGTCGTCCAGGCTGGAGCGCAATGGCGTGATCTCGGCTCACTGTAACCTCTGCCTCCCAGGTTCAAGTGATTCTCCTGCCTCAGCCTCCAGAGTAGCTAGGACTACAGGTGCCCGCCACCACGCCCAGCTAATTTTTATATTTTTAGTAGAGGCGAGGTTTCACCATGTTGGCCAGGCCGGTCTCAAACTCCTGACCTCAAGTGATCTGCCCACCTCAGCCTCCCAAAGTGCTGGGATTACAGGTATGAAGTCACCATGCCCAGCCCTATCTATCTATATTTTATATACTCATACAAGTATCTCTGTAGGATAATTTTCTTCAAATGGAAATAACCAAAGGCTATCTGTGTTATAATCTCTGGATAAGGCCAGGAATGGTGGCTCATGCCTGTAATCCCAGCACTTTGGGAGGCCAAGGAGGGCGGATCACCTGAGGTCAGAAAGGAGGTCAAGACCAGCGTGGCTAACATGGCGAAACCCCGTCTCTACTAAAAATATAAAACTTAGCTGGGCATGGTGGTACGAGCCTGTAACCCCAGCTACTCGGGAGGCTGAGAGAGGAGAATCGCCTGAACCCAGGAGGCAGAGGTTGCAGTTAGCTGGGATCGCCCCACTGTACTCCAGCCTGGGTGACAGAATGAGACTCCATCTCAAAAACAAAACAAAACCAAAAAAACAAAAATCTCTAGATTTCCAGTTCTTTGAAAGTAATAGGTATAAAGGACCTGTAGCATCTTGAAAGTAGTAGTATACTGCAGCCTTACCTCTAGCAATCATGCTAATTTATAATCAACCAGGTTAAGCAACGAATACAATTTTTCATGTTCAACAATCTCTGGAGCTTTCTCAAAGCCTATTGATCACGTTGCAAACTTTAATTCCAACAACAGAGAATAAGGTATAATTTATTTATGAAATATCAACAGCATTTCCAAAATTATCCTGTTTTTATTACATAATGATGCTTTCCCTATTTGTTTTTCTTACTCTGTATTAATTCTGCAATCCAAAATTATGGGAGTAAGGAAAATGATGTGAATGCAAGATGCAGAGGGTTAGAAAGCTATTTAGAAATTATTACCATACACCAATGACAGCTGAAATTAAATTTTAAAACCACAACGTTGAGAGTCCAAAATCCCAGAAAAAGTTCTTAGGATTGCTGCTGGATATATAACAAAGTGACTCCAAGAATTGAAACATGATCTCTATATTTTGTCAGCTTCGTGGGAGGCTAGAAAATTAAGTGGGCAGAAAAAAAATGATCTAAACCAAGATTAAGATAAAGAGCATGCAAGAGATATAATTAGCAAAAATTTTAAAAACAGGAGACAGAATTTTAAATACAAGCCTAAACAGTCAAATAGCTGATGGGAACTGTGGTGAGCCAACTGGCACTCCCCACCCCGTGCCCCACCCGCCTATTCAATTTTCATGAGGGCAAAAATGTCTTTTCTTCCTTTCTTAGATGAGATCAGAAAATCTTTTGTTCTCCCTGCTCTGACTGAACCTGAATGATATGCTGACCTCTGGCTCATTCTATTCAAAGCAGCCAAAATATAACATTGGTCCTGAAAATATCTGGTATTTTCAAAGGTAATCATTATTTTGGATACTGTTTCAAAGAAGACTAATTAATTCAACATTAAAATATCTAAAGGATTTTTTTTTAACCAGAAGTCAAACAAGGAGACACAAAGTACATCAGATAAACTCAACAGTCATACTTTCCTTTTTCAGATTATAAAATTCTTTGTCTAAACACTAGAAGAAGGGAAGGAATGAAGGAAGGGGAAATAAAGAGGGTGGGGGAGGGGAAGGAGGGACGATAACTCAAAGACCTTGGACTTAAAATTTCAAACATCCAACCTAAGATTTATACAGATACATACAATATTGAATATAAAACTAAAGAAGGCTCAGAAAAGGAAAATGGGGTGTTTTTGGCTGGAATTCAGAAGTTCTGATTTCTAAGATAAGAAAGCCTGCTTTTGGATACTACTACATTCTTTCACTAAAATGTTGGAAATGTCCTAAAATCCATTTGAGCAATTCTGAGAAGTATCATGTGTCAGGAAAATTTTATTAAATGTCTTTCAAAAGCTATGCAACTAATGAAACTTCACATTTGACAAACATCTGGAGGGAAAAAAAAGCTGGCCCAACATCTTCAGGACTACATCACTATGCCAGCAAATAGAAATCATTTTCAAAGGTCCTCTAAGTCACATGCCATGGCACGCAGACACAAGAACATGACCCAGGAAGCTCACTTTTTCTATAAGAGGCCGGACAGAAAATGTTTTAGGGTTTCCAGGCCATATGGCTTCTGCCACTATTCAATTTTGTGGCTTTACTGCAAAAGCAGCCATGGATAATACCTAATGAATATGACTGTATCTCAATAAAAGCTTATGCACACCGAAATTTTAATTTCATGTGTCATGAAACAGTATTAATTTTTTTGCAACTATTTAAAAATGTAAAAATCATTCCACACAAAAACAAGCAATGGGCCAAATTTAAATCAGCCCACTGTCATAGTTAGACAACCACTAATGCAGACAATTAAATAAGGTAGTAATATTTAAACCATTTCACAAAATATCAGCCATTAATAAAGAAAGCCAGAGTCAGGGGCAGGGAAGGGAGGAACATGCTTCTTTTTTTTTTTTGAGACGGAGTCTTGCTCTGTTGCCCGGGCTGGAGTGCAGTGGCACGATCTCGGCTCACTGCAACCTCTGCCTTCCAGGTTCAAGAGATTCTCCTGCCTCAGCCTCCCGAGTAGCTGAGATTACAGGCGTTTGCCACCACACCAGCTAATTTTTACTATTTTTAGTAGAGACGGGGTTTCACTATGTTGGTCAGGCTGGTCTCAAACTCCTCACCTCAAATTATCTTCCCGCCTCAGCCTCCCAAAGTGCTGGGATTACAGGCGAGAGCTACTGCGCCTAGCCTATATACACAAAGCTATCTGAAGACAGTTTCTACTGAAATCATTCAAGAGAGAGGAAAAAAGCTCTTAACAAGGAAATTAAGTTTCTGCCTCCACAGACAAAGAGCAATCAGTAAACTCTCCGGGAAAGAACTCCAGAGTTCTAGGGAGCCGACCTACACCGTTCATGGAGCTCTTGATGTGGCAAACTAATTTTACATGACTTTATATAAGAAGAAAGGAAGCAGCAATTTAACAATCAAGTCAGGGAAAGAATGGCAACACGATGATTATAATCAGAGCAGAAGGAACTGCAAGCTCCAAACAGGCTACAGATTCAGGGACAGGGTCATAAAATGGTGGTATCTGAAACTGAAACTAATAAGTTATCATAAATAATAAAATCGGCTATGTACAAAAGTTACCTACCAAAAGAGATGGTGTGTAAGCCTGCTGCCAATGAGAGAAGGCCTCCAAAATCTCATCAGACACTAAGAAAACAAATAATCTGATAAATTGAGCTTTAATGGATTACATCAATCTGTGGCAATGTGGCAATGTCATAACAGAAGGGTGGTGGTCCACAAGGAGACTGGAGAAAGATAAGCCAAAGACAAGAATCTGTCAGTGTTTCTCTAAAGGACAGGCAGGAGAAGGTGCACACTGGCCTATTCCGTGGACTCATCTTGCCTAGAGGAAAGATGTGTACATCCAGCTATTCTGCTGTGCCTCCTGTGTAGACTCTCCACTCATCTATTCACTTCTGAAATAAAATGGTTTTCCAGACTTTCCTGCTGAGAACAGACACTCTGGCCAGGCCACCCCAGTGTCTCTTATGCTTTGCAGTTATATCTCTCCTTATAAATTAAGAAACTCAGCCAAGTGCAGTGGCTCACACCTATAATCCTAGCACTTTGGGAGGCAAAGGTGGGCAGACCACTTGAGCCAGGAGTTTGAGACCAGCCTAGGCAACATGGTGAAACCCAATCTCTACAAAAACTACAAAAATTAAGAAATGGTGACGTACTCCTGTAGTCCCAGCTACTTGGGAGGTTAAGGTTCCCACCCGGGAGAATCACCTGAGTCCTGGAGGTCAAGGCTTGTAGTGAGCTGAGATCGTGCCACTGCACTGCAGTCTGGGTGACAGAGTGAGACCCTGTCTCAAAAAAAAGAAAAAAGAAACAAACTGGTATTTATAGTATTATTAAGTCTCTAATGACTTTGATAAGTATGAATTGTCCACAAAAACCTCTTAATCATAACCATGGATAAACTGACAAAAAAAAAAAAAATCACACAGTTCTCCTATGTACTTTCTGAAATTGCAAAGGACAAGGTAGTAGAAAATACCACAAAGGGATACATAACCATACCAGGCCACCTTGTTCAGCCACCACTAACTGGTCTTAATCTCTTCTTACTGCCCTTAATTAAGGCAGAGGGTATGGTAGTTGAGAACACTGGGTTCTGGAGTCAGGCTGCTTGGTTTGAACAAAATCCTTCTCCATCACTTCCTAATTAAGGTTTCTTAAACACCCTGAGCTCAGTTTCTTCATCCTGTTGAGCAGAGATGAAGGGGGGATATACCTCCAAGAGTCATTGGGAGGATTAAGAGACAATGCATTTGAAGAGACATTGATACAATGTCTGGCACCTAGAAAGCACTCAACAAACGGTAGCTCCTTTTTGTTATTACCATCGTCGTTATTTTTTATTATTAACTGTAAAAATAGTGATAAATCCTTTTGCTGAATATACTGACTCTAGCAATATTCCAGTAGTTGATCTTCATTCGTAGCAGTTTTCTTCTTTATCTGAAGCTCAAAAGAGCTTTTTTTTCTTTTTTTGAGATGGTGTTTCACTCTTGGTGCCCAGACTGGAGTGCAATGGCACGATCTCGGCTCACCACAACCTCCGCCTCCCAGGTTCAAGTGATTCTCCTGCCTCAGCCTCCCGAGTAGCTGGGATTACAGGCATGCGCCACCACACCCAGCTAATTTTGTATTTTTAGCAGAGACAGAGTTTCTCCATGTTGGTCAGGCTGGTCTTGAACTCCCGACCTCAGGTGATCCACCCGCCTCAACCTCCCAAAGTACTGGGATTACAGGCGTGAGAAAAGAGCTTCTTAAGGCACTAAATTAATTCCAATGCAAGACCCCAACCAACTTCTTCACAAGCTTTTTCAACCAAGGTGCAGAACTGCTCCTCCCTCAACAGCTGCTGTTTTGATCACACAAGCACACCTGTTCAATCTCATTCCCAACTTCCAACCAGCTTCAGAAGTCATGTCAATCACCTCAAACTTTCTACCCCTCTTTCTCTCTATTATAAAATAAGGGTTCTCCAAAATTATGGAAAGTTACCACCTACCAACTCCTGATATAAGAAGTAACATTTCCTTATATATATAGTAGATATATGGATACACAGACAAAAAGCCATCAACAAAATATAAGTTGAAACCACAATGAGATGCCACTTTACACGCAGTAGAATGGTTATAATTTTTTTAAAAAAGAAGAAAATCAGTAAGTGTTGGCAAGGATATGGAGAAACTAGAACTCTCATACACTGCTGGTAGGAATGTAAAATGGTACAGCCACTTTGGAAAACAGTCTGGCAATTCCTCAAAGGTTAAATACAGAGTTATCATATGACCCAACAAGTCCACTCCCAGGTATATAACTAAGAGAATTAAAAACTTAGATCCACACAAAAACTTGTATGCAAATGTTCATAATAGCATTATTCACAATTGCCAAAAAATGAAAACAATCTAAATATCTATCAACTGATTAATGAATAAATAAAATGTGGGCTATCCATACAATGTAATGTCATTTGGCAATAAAAAGCATGAAGTGCTGATACACGCAACCACATGGATAAACCTTGAAAACATCATGCTGGGTGAAAGAAGCCAGTAGGAAAAGACCACATATTGCATGATTCCATTTATATGAAATGTCCAGAATAGGCAAATCTATAAAGACAAAAGTCAATTAGTGCTTCCTAGGGACCAGAGAAGCTGGGAGGAAACGGGAAGTAACTGTTTATGGGTAAGAGGTTTCTTTTTAGGATGATGAAAATGTTTATCAAATTGATAGTGGTGATGAATATACAACTCTGACTATACTAAAAACCAATGACTGTACATATTAAATAGCTGAATTGTATGGTATGTAAATAATATCCCCAAAAAGCTGTTATGTAATTAGGTAAATGTTTACCAAATGAACAGGGACAAATAACCAGGAGAGGAGTGCTGAGTCCCCTGGGGGCAGTAGAAAGCTTGGGAACAAAACTAGCCAGTATACTCGTGAAAATAGGCTTCAGTGTGCCCTCCATAGCCTGCAAATCTATTTTTAAAAGCCACTCAAACATCTGTTAGCTTTTCATGTGACTTCACAACTTCCATCATCCTAGTTATAAACCATTTAAACACAATATCTTACAAATGTACATTTCATTTTTTTGCAGTTTGGGTAACCCCTATATCATAACTTATACAACAGAAGCTACTACAGAGCTAGTCATATGTATCAAATTTAATTCACTTATTTATTCAACAAACATTATATGCCTACTGTGTGCCAGACAACGTCCTAGTGTGAAGTATGCAAAGATGGCTGAGATGTAAGCCCTACTCTCAAGGAGCTCACACACAGCATGGTGAACTGAGAGTTATAATGTGAGACTTTGGAGAACACTCTGACTTGTGTTGCTGCAAATGAAATAAGGTCCTAATAAGTGTTATTTCAATGAAGATGATACAAAATAATTACAGGGCAGTGATCATCCTCCTGATGAGCAGCCTACCTGTTGACATGCTCCTCCCAGTCCTCTGGTGGAGGAGGGGCATCTGCATCAGTCCTGGCAAAGATGACATGCCGTTCACACTCATTCATCACGCTGCGTGCCTTCTGATTGTCATAGAGTGGCATAGGCGTTGATGTGACCGTCTCCACATCTATTGGGACGTCTGATTCACTGTAAACAGGTGAGGAAATAGGACCGGGCCACACATACTTCACAGGTATTTAACAATCATCTGGTTGACAAAAAATGTATCTTTAATACAGTCAGCTTTAAATTACGCATAAGCACATTATATTCACAAGAAAATTTTGATCCAAAGTCATCTTTCCCACACTTGTCTAGATCTCTGCCCTCTCAGACATGATGGTATGTACTGGAAGAACACAAAGTCATTTTTTCAATGAGTCTATATAAAAAATGATAAACATCTATTTTTTTTTTAAGATAAATATGGGCCAGGTGCACTGGCTCACACCTGTAATACCACCACTTTGGGAAGCCGAGGCAGGTGGATTGCTTGAACTCAGGAGTTCAAGACCAGCCTGGGCAACATGAGGAAACCCTGTCTCTACCAAAAATACAAAAATTAGCTGGGCATGTGGCACACACCTGTGATCCCAGCTACTAAGGAGGCTAAGGTGGGAGGACTGCTGGAACCCGGGAAGTCAAGGCTGCAGTGAGCCATGATTGCATCACTGCACTCCAGCCTGGGTGACAGAGCAAGACCTGGTCTCAAAAATAAATAAATAAATGACAAATACAGCCAGACACAGTGATTCACACCTGTAATCCCAGCACTTGGGAGGCTGAAGCAGGAGGATCACTTAAGCCCAGGAGTGAGCTGGTCTCAAAAAATAAATAAATAAATGACAAATATAGCCAGGCACAGTGATTCATACTTGTAATCCCAGTACTTTGGAAGGCTGAAGGAGGATTGTTTAAGCCCAGAAGTTCAAGACCAGTTTGGCAATATGGCAAAACCCCGTCTCTAAAACAAACACAAAAATTAGCCAGGCATGGTGGTATGCGCCTGCAGTCCCAGAAACTGAAGTGGGAGGATGGCTTGCTTGAGCCCAGGAGGTTGAGGCTACAGTCAGCTCTGATCATGCCACTGCACTCCAGTCTGGGTGACACGGCAAGACCCAGTCTCAAAAAAAAGGACAATATATTCCATAAGCAAGTTGATTTGGCTCAAGCTAATATTTTTAAAAGATCACTTTCAATTTTTGTTTAGTAGGCTACAGCTCAGGAGTGGAATTTAGAAGACCAGCTAGGCAGCCACTGCAGTTGACTGAGATGGGCCAGAAATCATGAGAGCTCGTTTAGGGACAAGAACAGTACAAATGGAGAAAAGTGGCTAACAAGTTGATTGCCTAGATACTGTTCAATACAGTAGGTATAAGCCACACACGACTACTTAAATTGAGGCAGGTGGATCACGAGGTCAGATCGAGACTATCCTGGCTAACATGGAGAAACCCCGTCTCTACTAAAAATACAAAAATTTAGCCAGCCATGGTAGCAGGCATCTGTAGTCCCAGCTACTCAGGACACTGAGGAAGGAGAACGGTGTGAACCCAGGAGGCGGAGCTTGCAGTGAGCCGAGATTGCGCCACTGCACTCCAGACTGGGAGACAGAGCGAGACTCCATCTCAAAAAAAAAAAAAAAAAAAAAATTACTGGGCACAAGGGCTCACAAGGGCTCAGGCTTGTAATCCCAGCACTTTGGGAGGCCAAGGTGGGCAGAACACTTGAGCCCACAAGTTCAACAGTGTGGGCAACATGGTGAAACCCCGTCTCTACTGAAAATACAGAAATTAGCTTGTGGTCCCAGCTACATGGGAGGCTGAGGTGGGAGATCAACTGAGCCTGGGAGGCGGACGTTGCAGTGAGCCAAAATTGCACCACTGTACTTCAGTCTGGGTGACAGAGACCTCGGCCCAAAAAAAAAAAATTTAAATAGAATTAAATATTCAGGCTGGGCGTAGTGGCTCGCGCCTGTAAACCCAACATTTTGGGAGGCCAAGGCGGGTGGATCACCTTAGGTCACGAGTTCGAGACCAGCTTGGCCAACATGGTAAAACCCCATCTCTACTTAAAAAAAACAAAAATTAGGGTGTGGTGGCACGTGCCTGTAGTCCCAGCTACTCAGGAGGCTGAGGCAGGAGAATGGCGTGAACCCGGGAGACGGAGGTTGCAGTGAGCCGAGATCACACCACTGCACCCCAGCCTGGGCAACAGAGCGAGACTCTGTCTCAAAAAAAAAAAAAAAGGCCGGACATGGTGGCTCATGCCGGTAATCCCAGCACTCTGGGAGGCAGAGGCATGCGGATTGCCTGAGCTCAGGAGTTTGCAACCAGCCTGGGCAACATGGTGAAACCTCGTCTCTACTAAACACAAAAAATTAGCTGGGTGTGGCAGCGTGCACCTATAGTCCCAGCTACTTGGGAGACTGCAGCAGGAGAATTGCTTGAATCCGGGAGGCGGAGGTTACCATGAGCCAAGATTGCACCACTGCACTCCAGCCTGGGTGACAGAGCAAGACTCCGTCTCAAAAAAATAAAAAAATAAAAAATTCAGTTCCGTAGTGACGTTAGCCACATTTCAAGCATTCAACAGATACACGTGGCGGCAGTTACCACACTGGACATCCCAGGTATAGAACATTCCTATTATTACAGAGAGTTCTGTTAAACAGTGCTGGTCTAGAGTTTTAAATTCATACAAACTTTCCCTTTCATTAGCAAGTCAACTGGTAGTTATTTAATATATACTGTAAAGTCTATGATTTCCTTTCTGTATGATTATCTAAGACAGATGACCTGGAATGCACATACCTTAGCTACTTAGCTCATTTTGTACAGAGCCTAGAACAGAAACAAATATAAATGAACATCTAAAGGTCTTTCATATTTTAAAATGAGATCTAGCTGGGCATAGTGGCTCACGCCTGTAATCCCAGCACTTTGGGAGGCCGAGGCAGGTGGATTGCTTAAAGTCATGAGTTCAAGACGAGCCTGACCAACATGGTGAAACTCCGTCTCTACTAAAAATATTAGCCAGGCATGGTGGCGGGTGCCTATAATCCCAGCTACTTGGGAGGCTGAGGCAGGAGAATTGCTTGAACCCAGGAGGCAGAGGTTGCAGTGAGCCAAGATTGCGCCATTGCGCTCCAGCCTGGGCAACAGAGACTCCGTCTCAAAAAAAAAAAAAAAGAAAGTAAGAAACAAATCCTAGTGCCCCAAGGGTCCTTCCCCACTTTATGATACATTGCACCAACTTTGTCACCCCAAATACTATGCCAAACAAACTGGTCTAGTGGCTACCTGCCAAACTTTATGTTAACTTTTTGACTTCAGTGACCTTACTGCATCCATTTCCAATGACTGAAATAATTACATCATTATGAAATGAAATGAAATCATGTGCAGCTAGATTTGGTGGTGGGCAAAAGAGCTGATTATCTTCTCCAGGCCAGACATTGAGCTAGTACTTGGATATGTGTAGCTAAAAGAGAACTCTTGATTTCACCATCACAAACCTATCCTCCTCCAGTCTTCCCTAACTCATGGCACCACCCAACTGCTCAAGCCAGAAATCTGTCATCCTAATTTTACCTTTCCCTTTAACCCTGGTTCTTGCTCTTCCTTCCAATTCACCATAGCAGATCCTATTAACCTATTCACTCTACCTATGAAATACATCTCAAAGTCATCTATATTTCTCCATTTGTACTGTTCCTGCCCTATACAAGATATCACGATTTCTGGCCCATCTCAGTCCATTGCAGTGGCAGCCTGCAGCTGGTCTTGTAAGTTCTACTCCTGCACTATAATATACTCAACAAAAAATCCAAAATGATCTTTTTAAAGTATAAATTGAATCTCTAGTTTAAGATCCTTCAGTGACTTCTTACCACTCTTAGAATCAAATTCCTTCACGAGGTAACCCTTGCCAACTTCTCCCTACCTCCCACTTATACCCCTACTGCTATTATATTCTGGCCACACTGGCCTAAAAGAGTTCTTACAGCATGCCAAATTCTCACTTTCAGGGTCTATATTTGGAGACAGAGATTATAAAAGGAAACAATTTTCTAAGTACCAAAAGAACCAAGTCCACAGAATCTCACTTTAAGAAAATGTCATGAGATGTGGACACAGGAGTTTTAATGTCAGCAAGAAGCTAATATGCAGCAAAAAAGGAAAAGACTTCAACTACTATTTAAAGGAGCTTTTCAGTTATGCCCTAGGCCAGAGGCATCAAGATTATGCTAAATTATTGCCTAAAGTTACAGATTTTATCTCCTGTACACCAAAAAAGCCAACAAAATTATAAAGTCATTGGGAAATGAAATAAAAGACACTATTCTGCACATGTTTAAAACACACAGTGGGTCAGGAGCGGTGGCTCATGCCTGTAATCCCAGCATTTTGGGAGGCCGAGGCGGGTGGATTGCCTGAGGTCAGGAGTTCGAGACCAGCCTGGCTAACATGGTGGGTGGAAACCCTGTCTCTACTAAAAATACAAAAATTAGCCAGGCACAGTGGCACACGCCGGTAGTCCCAGCTACTCAGGAGGCTGAGGCAGGAGAATCGCTCAAACCCAGGAGGTGGAGGTTGCAGTGAGCCAAGATCACACCACTGCACTCCAGCCTGGGCGACAGAGCAAGACTCCATCTCAAAAAAAAAAAAAACCACACACACACATTGTGGTATCTCTAACTCATTAGGTCATTAAGTCTCAATTCCAGGAGGGGTGACTCTAAAGAAGCCTCTACAAGGGCTCTAACCCCCAACAAAATTAAAACCAGTGCTTAAGGAAAGATTAAACATTAGGTCAGATTAAAAACAAACAGACAAAACTCTTCTCCAAAAGTTTACAAAATTATTAAGGACATGATTTGATCACCATAACGGAATATATCAACACATCATGAAACATAATTAGAATGCCTTAAAGTGCAAAAGAACTGGCAAACAGGTTTATTTAGACCAAATGTAACTGTATCACTCATCAGGTAGTCAATTTATGAAACTTCCTTACCCTATAACATAGGCTGGGTGAAAATATCATTAGACATAAGAAGGGTTTAGATTAACCTATGGATAGCAGCTCTGTAACAAGGGAAGAGAAAAAGCAACGTCTTGGGAATTGGCTCCTAACCTTCGTGTGTGAAACCAAGAAAAGCAAAATGCATTACTATAAAAAGGCTATTGTTGCCACTGTCAAGCAACCCAGAGCACTGGACTAATGTGATAAAAGAGTCGTATCCTGTGGGTAATCTTTTAAAATCAACTTTTCAGTCTTTTTCTTCACCAGTTAAATAACCCTCTACGATTTTCCCCTTTCCACACGTCCTACTATCTAAGTGGAATAGGTTGTCTGCTTTTCATTTGCACGTCTTGCTTTCCTAACTCTTGTTAGCTGTCTCACAGAGATAGCCACATTCAAGCCTGCTATCCTTATGCTGCTTAAGAGATGCCTGAATT
Organism: Homo sapiens; assembly: GCF_000001405.40. Classification (NCBI taxonomy): domain Eukaryota; kingdom Metazoa; phylum Chordata; class Mammalia; order Primates; family Hominidae; genus Homo; species Homo sapiens. The sequence goes on from NC_000002.12 coordinate 96,636,804, forward strand.
TAACATCCAAATGCCTCATACAATCTCCCCCAGTCAATCCTGAGAAAATCCTCTCTAAATTCCCATCTGATCACTGCCCAGTGAGGTTACCAGCAGCCCTTAGAAGCCCCAACTCACATGGTACTTTCGTGCTGCCGCCGGGGAGTGACAAAGAGCATGCGGGTGGGGCGGGCACTACTGGCATCTGGGTGGGCACTCCAAGGCTTGGCATAGCTATGATCCAGAAAAACCAGGTCCAGCTCCCGTTCATGCACTGAAAGCTGGAAGAGCAGCGAGGTGCCCATGCGTCGAGCTGAAGTCTGGAAGTCCCTCTCCCCACCCCGGTGGGCCATGTCAGTGGAGGGGCAGAAAGTCAGAGCATGGGTATCTGCATGCTAGTCACCTGCAGTGAAAAGTTTCAGTTTAGGTCAATTCCAATATCCTAAATTTCTCCCAATCTACACCATCTAACATGCTTACTTTTGTAACCTACTATCATTCCTATTGAGTATCCATTTCACGGCAGACCTCTGGTGGGGACGGTTCGTGGAATCCCACACCAACACCAAAAAAAAAGAAAAAAAAAACTATGGTGCCACGAGTTGTCCCATACTCAACCTCTAGCGAACTGAAATTACCTAACGGGAGAGCTCACCGACCCCAAGGTTCAGAAAGACCTCGCGTGGACAGACAGTAAACTTGCTTGGCCAGCACCACTTCCTAGGTGGGCAGGAAGGGTTTTGACAAACAGGAAATCACAAATATGAATTCGTTGAAAGCTAAGGATCTCTGTTGCTTCACACCATCCTCTAACGACAATGCGAAGGGAGCCGGGGCCGCAGCTAGAGCGTGGGCACCCCTAAAGGGCAGGGCAACGCCGGCCTCAAAAAAGCGAATCCCAGCTAGGGCTCCACTTCTTCAAGCCTCTCGTATTGTGCGAAACAAAAGTTCTGTTAAGTACTTCGTAATATTCCAGAGTTGTTTACATAAAAATGAAAACTGCCCCCCCAACAAAGCCTGTGACAAAATGATCCCCGTGGAAGCCCTTTCACCCTCACCCCCAGTGAGGCGTCCCTAGCAAACCGCCCAGGACCCCGGCTGCCCCGCAGGCGTTCCCGCCACTGAGCCTCCACACGGCCCATCTAGGAGACAGGGCTATGACTCGCATTTTACAGACGAAGTCGCCAGCTCGGGGAACTGAAGCGATTTGGCCAAGGTCATCCAGAGTTCGCGACGAGGAGGAGCCGCCTGGCCCCCGCCTCCCGCCTCCCGCTCCCTGGGGCAGGGCTCGGCGTCCGCGTCACGGAGGCCCAGACGCGGCCCCTGCCAGCCCGCCCCCGGCCCGACCCGCCCCGCCCGACCAGCACCGGCAGCCGGCCCTAGCCCGGGCCCCCGCATGCCCCGGGAGCCCTGAAGCCCTCGCCGAGACCCCCGGCCGTCCCAACCACGGCCGCGATCCCCACGGCCCGCCACTCCCCTCGAAGCCAACGCTGCTCTCACCCGCGGTCTTACGGCCGCGCGCTCGGCCACGGCCGGATCCCTAAGCGCGTGCGCGTTAACGCCTCCACGCCCCGGCGCTGCGGGCACCGAGTAAAACGCGGAAGCGGGTTACGGCCTGGGAAGGGAGAGGCGGTGAGCGGCAAAGCCCGGAACGGATGAAGCTCCGGCGCCTCTGTCCGGAAGAGGAGAGCCAAGAACACGCGAGCATGTCCGAAGCAGAAAGTCAACAACTAGGCTGGAGTTTCCCCCTCGCGCATATTCAGTAGGGAAAGCGAGGGCGGAGGACTAGGCTGGCTTCTACGGCCCCAGTTCTCGCCACCCCCACCGTGTTGGTCCTTTGTGCCCTCTGGGCGGTCGAGCACCCAACGGTCCACCTCCACCAGGGCAGCCACCTGAATTTACTCATTAAGAATTTACCTAATGTGGCTCACGCCTGTAATCCCAGCGCTTTGGGAGGCCTAGGCGGGAGGACCTCTTGAGCTCAGGAGTTTGAGATGAGCCTGGCCAATATGATGAGACCCCCGTATCTACAAAAAATTTTAGAAATTAGGTGTGTGTGATAGTGGTGTATGCCTGTAGTCCCAGCTACCCGGGAGGCTGAGGTGGGAGGATCACTTGAGTCTGGGAGGTCCAGGCTGCAATGAGCCATGGTTGCACCACTGCACTCCAGCCTGGACGACGGAGTGAGACTACGTCTCAAAAAAAAAAAAAAAGAATTTTGTTACTGACCCTAGATTGTTTTGTGTGGTTAACTTTCCTATGTGTTTTGTGTAGAGAGAGTAGATCCTCAAAATCAGGGACATTAACCTTTGTATCCTCCAGAGAACATACACCCAGAACATAGGTAATTGTTCAAATGTTGACTGATCAATAATTGGTTATTTGGTTGACTGACTGACAACATGACATCAAGAGACATGAGACAAGACAGCAAGAGACATGGTTCAAGATGATAAATCTCACCCGGGATCTGTGGCTCATGCCTATAATCCCAGTACTTTGGGAGGCCAAGGTGGGAAGATTGCTTGAGCCCAAGAGTTCAAGACTAGCCTGCACAAAACAGTGAGACTTCGTTTCTATTTAAAAAAAGAAATGGCCGGGTGCGGTGGCTCACGCCTGTAATCCCAGCACTTTGGGAGGCTGAGGAGGGTGGATCACGAGTTCAGGAGTACAAAACCAGCCTGGCCAACATAGCGAAATCCTGTCTCTACTAAAAATACAAAAATTAGCCAGGTGTGGTGGCGCATGCCTGTAATCCCGGCTACTCGGGAGGCTGAGGTGGGAGAATCTCTCAAACTCAGGAGGCAGAGGTTGCGGTGAGCCAAAATCGCGCCATTGCACTCCAGCCTGGGCGACACAGCAAGACTCTGTCTCAAAAAAAAAAAAAAGATAGGTACAGACATGCAAACACTCGAAACATTCAGAAAGCCACTCAAAGCTGTGTTCCACAAAGATGAGAGGGTAAACTGAGAAGACGGAAGGCATAGGATCGGGGAAGCAGGGTCTAACACAAGAAGCAGACGAGGAATTCTGAAGGTGATGGCAAAGAGTATCCCAGGACAATAGCTATGCTGCAGGACTGGGGACCACTAGTCTCAGCTGGGGGAGAAGAGAAGACCAGGAGGGAGAGCCCCGGGGAAAACAATAAAACTGGGAAAATGCCTCATAGATTTGAAAAAATCAAGGAATGCTATTTAAAAGTGCTGTTTAGAAATATGGAGCTTAAGGCCATAGAAATTATCACAAATAGAGCAGCCCCTGCCCCACCTCTCCCTACCCTTAACTTTGTCTCCTGGGCGCTTGTTTGGGGCCAGGGTTCTGCTATTTCTCTACTTATATTCCCATTCCCACTAAAAACAGATTTGTATCTTTTCTCTGCCCCTTCCTTTCCTCAGCACACCACGTTTATCATTTTGTTTCATTCTTTGCCAATTTAAGAGGTGATAAATGGTATCTTATCCCATTTATTTGCTTATTAATGAGTTTTTTGTTTTGTTTTGTTTTTGTTTTTTTGAGACAGAGTCTCTCTCTGTCGCCCAGGCTGGAGTGCAGTAGCGTGATCTCGGCTCACTGCAACCTCCACCTCCCTGGTTCAAGCGATTCTCCTGCCTCAGCCTCCCGAGTAGCTGAGACCACAGGCGTGTGCCACCATGCTCGGATAATTTTTTGTATTTTTAGTAGAGACGGGGTTTCACTGTGTTAGCCCGGATGGTCTCGATCTCCTGACCTCGTGATCCGCCCGCCTTGGCCTCCCAAAGTGCTGGGATTACAGGCGTGAGCCACCGTGCCCAGTGAGTTTGATTTTTTTTTTTTACATCTTTTTTGGCTTTTGAAACCAATTTGGCAAAGTCATAAATTGTATTTCATTGTATTTCTTTGATTATTAACAAGACTGAGGGTTTTTTAAAAAAAATTTTTTTTTGTCATTTTGGGCAATTATCTGATAGGAGCTTTGCCTTTGTTTTCCTTTGGGATAGTCATCCTTTTCTTATTAAGAGCTTGCTCTATAAACATTTATTAAATAAACTGTTGGACATTAAGTATATTGAAAATGTTTTCCCTGCTTTGATATTTGTCTTCTAGCTTTAAGGCATAATTTCTACATAGGAATTTTTTATTTAATACAGTCAAATCTGTCAGCTTTTCACTTACAGGGTCTTTTGTGTCACGCTTACTTTGAAAAGCCATTCACAAAGCGAAAAGCACTGTGTTGTGTTTAGATTTCAAGAAAAACTTCCAAGAAGCACTTTTTTTTTTAATCTGCTGCACTAGAAAGCAATCAGCACCCTGATCACTGACCCAGCGTTTCAGTCTTTGAATCCATTCATCTCTTAGACTGCGTGGTACGCTTACTGCTAAGTAGTTGTTTCATTAACTAATAGATTGTTCTTAAACATTGTTTTTTTTTTTTTTTTTTTTTTTTTTGAGACAGTCTTGCTCTGTGGCCAGGCTTGTGTGCAGTGGCGTGATCTCGGCTCACTGCAACCTCCGCCTCCCAGGTTCAAGCGATTCCCCTGCCTCAGCTCCGGAGTAGCTGGGACTACAGGCGCGCAATACCATGCCCGGCTAATTTTTTGTATTTTAGTAGGGACGGGGTTTCACCATGTTGGCCAAGATGATCTTGATCTCCTGATCTCGTGATCCGGCCGCCTTAACCTCCCAAAGATCTGGGATTACAGGCTACAGGCGTAAGCCACCACGCCCGGCCTTTTTTTTTTTTTTTTTGAGACAGAGTCTCGCTGTGTTGCCAAGGTTGGAGTGCAGTGGTGCAATCTTGGCTCACTGTGACCTCCACCTCCCAGGTTCAAGCGATTCCCCTGCCTCAGCCTCCCAAGTAGCTGGGATTGCTGGCACGTGCCACCACGCCCAGCTAATTTTTGTATTTTTAGTAGAGATGGGGTTTTGCTATGTTGGCCAGGCTGTTCCCGAACTTCTGGCCTCAAGTGATCCGTCCACCTTGGCCTCCCAAAGTGCTGGGATTACAGGCATGAGCCACCAATCCCAGCATTTAAATATTCATTAGTTTTCATTCTAACTATTGGATAAGATGTAATTTATACGATGTTCAACCCTAAAGCCTAAAAAGCCTTGCTGTGGACAATAAGAATAGGTGCCCCAGCTCCATCTTAATGCACAGAGGCTCAGACAGCCATAAAGACAGCCACTTCAAAACCGCATTGTCTTCTTTGACCTTCCATATGAGCTCATTAATTCAAAAGCTAATTTCCTTTTGTCAAAGAGGGTCTCGTATCTAAACTTAGGTTTTTCTTAGTAAAAAGGTTTCCACGTTAGGAAGAACTTTCCCTGAGACCTCACAGAAATAGTCCTTGATTTTCCTATCCCTTTTCTCAGGTCACTTCACTGTTTTCTTATTTTCTCATCTACATTGTGTGACTTTGGCAATGATTGGCTCCAGACAACTTGCTTGTACAAGGAGAAAACATCAACCTTATGTCTGACCTTGAAATCAAAAGGACGGCAAGGAGGGCAGGTGTGGGGTGGGCAAAAAAAAATTTTTTAAGGCCAGACTTGGTGGCTCACGCCTGTAATCCCAACACTTTGGGAGGCCGAGGTGGGCAGATCACCTGAGGTCGGGAGTTCGAGACCAGCCTGACCAACATGGAGAAACCCCATCTCTACTAAAAATACAAAATTAGCCGGGCGTGGTGGCGCATGCCTGTAATCTCAGCTACTCGGGAGGCTGAGGCAGGAGAATCGCTTGAACCAGGGAGGTGGAGGTTGCGGTGAGCTGAGATCGCACCATTGCACTCCAGCCTGGGCAATAAGAAAAGGGGGTGAAAGCAGCCAGGTGGTTTTGTTTCTACAGGCCCAGTCACCTATACCCTGTTCCTCCTCCCCCTTCTCTTTCCCATTAATTCCTCTCCAGAACCAAGAACCGCCCACCTTTGTGACAGCCTGTCTGTTGCTTAGCAACAGACAGGAAGTGGGGCTCCACTCACCCCAGGATCGCTGGGAAAAGTCTTGGACTGAGGAGCTCCAAAAAGGAAGCTGTGGCGCTGCGTAGGGAAGGAGGGAAGAAAGTAGGTCTCCGAGATGCTGCGGCTTGTGGTGCAGTCGGCCAAGATTGACCCACCACTAGCCCCACTACCCAGGCCCTGCATGTCCATCGACTTCAGAGGTGAGAGCCTCCCTGGGTCCACATGGGAGAGAGAAGCCCCCAGAGGCAACATGGATTCAGTGAAAAAAGAGGTGTATGGCACCCCACTACATAAAAGATGCCCTGTGTAACACAAAGTGAAGTAGACGTTGTCCAGCTCTCTCAAAACTTATTGCTATCATTTGATTATGACTTCTCTGCCTCCCACTTTTGCTAGGGAATGGCTATGGAAAAAAGAGAGGACTAGTGCTTCTGGACCTTCTTCCATGACCTGGAGCTGTGCCATAAACTAAGGTTTAAAGAGAAAGTCCCTGCTTCCTCAGATTGATGCGGGAGTTTAAAAAGATAATATGTGTATAGCCCTTAGTACAACTTTTAGTAATAACTGCTTGATCATATTAGTTTCATTTGCATGAGCTTTACAATTGACAAGGCATTATTATTATTTTTTATTTTTTATTTTTTTTGAGACAGACTGTCACTCTGTCACCCAGGCTACAGTGCAGTGGTGTGATCTCGGCTCACTGCAACCTCTGCCTCCCAGGTTCAAGCAATTCTCCTGCCTCACCCTCCGAAGTAGCTGGGACTACAGGCACATGCCACCACACCCAGCTGATTTTTGTCATTTTAATAGAGACGGGGTTTCACCATATTGGTCAGGCTGGTCTTGAACTCCTGACCTCAGGGGACCCACCTGCCTCGGCCTCCCAGAGTGCTGGGATTACAGGCGTGAGCCACCGCGCCCAGCCTACAAAGCCTTTTCATATGTACAATGATGTCTGCTCCTCACAGCAATTCCAGAGGTAAATGAAGCAAGTTTTATTATCTCCATTTTTTTTTTTTTTTTAGGTAAGAGAAAAGAATCCCAAGAAGGAAGGGAAAGAAAGGGGAGAAAGAATTTGTGAGAGAAAATGAGAGATGTTAGGTATATTTAGATATCAAAGATCTGGCAGCTAAAAGGAAAGAAGTAAAAGAAAAAAGGGTGAAAGGGCGGGGCACGGTGGCTCACACCTGTAATCCCAGCACTTTGGGAGGCTGAGGCAGGCAGATCACTGGAGGTCAGGAGTTCAAGACCAGCCTGGCCAACACGGTGAAACCCTATCTTTATTAAAAATATAAAAATTAGCCAGGCATGGTGGCAGGTGCCTGTAATCCCAGCTACTTGGGAGGCTGAGGCAGGAGAATCGCTTGAACCTGGGAGGCGGAGGTTGCAGTGAGCGGAGATCGTACCACAGCACTCCAGTCTGGTCAACAGATCGAGATGAGGTGCCTTCAAAAAAAAAAAAAAAAGAAAGAGGCTGGGCATGGTGGCTCACACCTGTAATCCCAGCGCTTTGGGAGGCCGAGGTGGGCGGATCACGAGGTCAGGAGATAGAGACCATCCTGGCTAACACGGTGAAACCCCGTCTCTACTAAAAATACAAAAAAAAAAAATTAGCTAGGCACCATGGTGGGTATTTGTAGTCCCAGCTACTTGGGAGGCTGTCAGGAGAATGGCGTGAACCCGGGAGACGGAGGTTGCAATGAGCCAAGATAGCGCCACTGCACTCTGGCCTGGGCGAAAAAGCAAGAGTCTGTCAGAAAGAAAGAAAGAGAGAAAGAGAGAGAGAGAGAGAAGTGTAGAGAAAAGAGAAAAAAAGGTGAAAGTATGTAGGTGGAGATACAGGACGGTGGATACAGGCAAATAGGTTTTACAGGGACCGTCAGCAGGGAGAAAACCGGGCCCAAGAGAAAAGAGGACACAGTAGTTCCTACAGGACATATGAGTAATGAATGGAATTTCTTTATTTTATGCTGTTGTTCTGTGAAACTATGCTTGTTGAACACAGCAATATTCAGAGATTGAACATTTGGGACTCCAGGCTCACAGGGTGATGCATGCTGATGTCCTCAGTCTGCAGGTTTCAAGAGGGGCGGTGGGAGTTCAGGATGTATTTGCCCTGATTGACTAATTTTCCAGTTAGCCAGGCAAGGGCCTGGCAGTTCTTCTCTGATTCTGAGCCATCTTCCCCACCACCTCATGGGCACCATCTTTCTCATTCCAGAAATATCTCCCACAAAGATGCCTAAAACTCAGAACCCTGTTTGAATACAAACAGATTCTTCTGATTGTATGTTTATGTTTGACACTTTGTATTCCTTTTGTCCTTCCCAGCCTCTTCCTTCATATGCCATCCACTAACCTGCACCCCTTCCCACTGCTTGGAGGGCCTTTTACCCATTATGGATGTTTCAGGATGTCTTCGTTAGGGTACACTGGGCTTTGCTCCGGCAATAAATAAACCCTTAATTTTCAGTGGGTTAACAATAAAAGTTTACCTCTTGCTTACACAAGTCCTGCATGGATGGTGCTGGTCACACAGCTCTCCTGGGTAGCTCCTACAAATGGTAGTTTAGGGACTAGCCGCTTGCCCCTTGTGGCTGCAAAGTTAGCAGGTCACAAGGGTGGCTATGGGGAGAGGAGAGAGGAGAATGAAGAATCTCATGGAAATTAAGAACCAGACCTGGCAGTGGCAAATATCATACCCATATCCCATTGGCCAGAGTGAGTCACACAGCCCCGCTTAGCTGCAAGACACTGAAAACTCTGGAAGAAAATGAAATGGGCCGAGCGCGGTGGCTTTAGCCTGTAATCCCAACAATTTGGGAGGCCGAGGCAGGCAGATCACTTGAGTCTGGGAGTTTGAGACCAGCCTGGGTGACATGGTAAAACCCTGTCTCTACAAAAAATACAAAAATTAGCCAGGTATGGTGGCCTGTAGTCCAAGCTACGTGGGAGGTGGGAGGATGACTTGAGCCTGGGAGACAGAGGTTGCATTGAGCCCACATCATGCCACTGTACTCCAGCCTGGGTGATAGAGTGAGACCTTGTGTCACACACACTCACACACACACACACAAAAGAAAAGTAAAGAAAAAATAAAAAGAGAAACAAAGAAAGAAAATGAAATGAACATAGAGCATTATCTGTCACACAGTGATAAAATCAAGAAATGTTGAACCCACACAAGAAAAAAAGAAGTGATGCCATATCACACCTGCCACCTGCCTTGACTTGAAGGCAGTGCCTGCCACTTGCCTTGACTTGAAGTTTTCTTTTTTTTTTTTTTTTTTTTGTGACAGAGTCTTGCTCTGTCACCCAGGCTGGAGTGCAGTGGCGGGATCTCAGCTCACTGCAAGCTCTGCCTCCTGGGTTCACACCCTTCTCCTGCCTCAGCCTCCCAAGTAGCTGGGACTACAGGCGCCCGCCACCACGCCCGGCTAATTTTTTGTATTTTTAGTAGAGATGGGGTTTCACCGTGTCAGCCAGGATGGTCCTGATCTCCTGACCTCGTGATCTGCCTGCCTCGGCCTCCCAAAGTGCTGAGATTACAGGCGTTAGCCACCATGCCCGGCCGACTTGAAGTTTTCTTAGAGTGTCCTACTTCTCTTTACCCCACTCCAACCCAGACGTTGAAATATTTCCTACCATCAATGCCAGCCTCTTGGTTTCTTTGCAGATATCAAGAAAAGAACTCGTGTGGTGGAAGGGAATGATCCCGTGTGGAATGAGGTAGACAACAGGGCAAGCCCAGAAGAGGAAATAACAACCCCAACAGCAAGGGGGCAAGGGTGGGGTCCAGGAAGGTGCTCAGAGGTCTAGGGAGAGGACGTGCAACCTCACAGGCTTTCCTCAAGGCTGGGCATCTTGGCCTGGGAGTAGCAGCCTCTGACCCGACAAGGCTGTGAAGGCCACACCTGCCCACGACTGTTCGTGGCCCTTCTCCCCCACTCCGAGGATGGACCATGGTATGGCCTATCAACCATCCAGCTGGGCCATCTTGATGTTCCTAGAAGCCTGAAGCAGAGTGAAGGCTCCCTGTGCATGACTCCCTCTCATCTGCCATCACTCCATGCTGCCCCTCACCCCATTCCTAGTCCCCAAACCCTTAATTCCCAACAGGCCAATGATACTGCAGTTCAAGTCACAGAAGCCGAGTGGGATGCCCACACCTTGGTGAAAGGTAGCAAACGCCATCTCCTGAGGAAATTAGACATGAGGGAGGTTCCTCAGTCTTAGAGAAATGCAGTGCCAGCCCGTTCCCCACGTCTTTCCTCATTTCCTAGAAACATGGGATGGGAAGGGCAGAGGGAGGATGCTGACCTCTCTATGCCCCCCACAGACCCTAATCTGGCACCTCTGGAACCGCCCCCTGGAAAATGACTCCTTCCTGCAAGTCACCCTTCAGGACATGGGCTCACAAAAGAAAGAAAGGTGAGGCAGAGAGAGGCAGGAGGAGCCTAGCTCCTGACCAACGCAGCAGCAAGTTATGTGATCCTTGTCTCTAATCCATAACTCACTCAGATGAAGGAATGGAACCCACTCCAGCCAGCTAAAAAGAAAAAAGAGGGGTGGGTACTGAAAGGGTAGCCAGGGCAAGACTGCAAATCAGCTGGGACAGGAACTTGGGAACCCAGCAGCAGCTCTGTCCATCTGAAGCCACGTATCTCAAATTTCTGCTTCTCTCTGCCCAACCCCGGCTTCTTATCACAGCCTCATCTAGTGCCCAGCTGAGACTCACATGCCCTGAGACTGAGGCTATGCCATCCCAGGTCAAAATTCCTAAGACAGAGAATCCTATTGGCCCAGCTCTAGCCAGGTGTCCATCCCTGGTCCAATCAACTGTTACTTGCCTCGGAGCCCCAAGACAGTTCTCAGAGCCAGAAGCCCTGTGCCCTGTCATGGATACCCAGCCCCACTGCATTCTTCTCCAGCCTCTCTCTGAGGACAGCACAGCCCTGGGAGGAAACCGTCTCTAGCTAAAGCCCTGCCCGGGAGAGAAGAGGACACTCTTTCCCCTGGCTCAGGATCTCACATCTGCTCCTTGTCTCCCCAGATTCATTGGCCTGGCCACAGTACTGCTCAAGCCATTGTTGAAACAACCAAGTGAGGTCCTTTTTGTGAAGGACTTGACCCTGCTCAACCATTCCATGAAGCCCACAGATGTGAGTCAGGCCCAGGAAGGCCCAGGCAGGGTGGCTGGAGGAATGAGGGGAGCTGGTGAAGCGGCCCACACCACAAGAGTGCTTCCTGCTTGGGGGGCCCCATCACACTGCCTTCCTCTCCTGACCACCTCCCTTGCCATCATCTGCGCCCCCCTCCCCAACGCATCTATTTAGATGAATTGACCGCCTTGCATTGGGAGTCAACCACTGTGCCAGGCCCTGTGGTACAAAATTGCCTTAAGCCCATGGTCTGTTGGAGTAGGCTCCACTCACAGTGACAGGCGCTCCAGCACCCGTGAGACAAGGTTCAGTAAAGCAAGGCCACTGGCTCAGGTCAGGAGGGAGTGAACAATTTGTCTCAGGAGGTCATGGACAGATTTACAGAGGGGGTGATGTTTAAGACATTGGAAATGTAGGGAGACCATCCAAATGAGAACAAGCAAAGGCTATTTTTTCAGAGCTTGTGCTAGCAAGGGACTCGGTCATCGTCATTTGTGTTTTGGCAGAGACTCAGAGGCAGCCAGGGGAGCGGGAGAGCTTCACAGTGGAAAGAAGGGAAGGCTGCAGATGTGCCCTGATTGGAGGCTACGGGGGAGCCCAAGGCGGGCCTCCCATGTGATTGGTTAGAGGGGCATGTTTGGCTCTCTCTGGTTGGTCCTAAGTTGGAAGTGGGGACAAAAATTAAGGCAGCTGCCAGTTATTAATCAAGGCCTGGCCATTTGGAGCTGATTGTTATTGTTTGGCTTCCTGGATTATTGCTAGAGACAGCAGTCTGACCTCCTACAAGTCTGACTTAGAGCAGGCTGGCTTCCTGGGCTGGTTACTGTAGATAACAGGTTGGTTCCCTGGGCTGGTTGCTGCAGATGGTGGATCTGAGTCTTATTTTCTATGTGGTTTGGCCATTGTCCATTTGTATGCAGACAGTCTGTGACTTACAATGGATGGACACACAATATTGTTGACTTACAATGCGTTTATCGGGATGTGATCCCATCATAAAGTCAAGGCACATTCAGTCTGTCAGTTGAGTTGTAAGAAGAGGCTTGAGTTTTCCCAATGGACAGGAGTGGAAGACCAGCCCAGGCAGGGGCATAAAGTGGGTGGAGCAGGAGGCAGGGTGAGGGAGGGTGTACTGCACTTTTGTCACACGGTGGGGGGGTGGGGTGGAGGTGGGAGAGCTTAGGTTGCATAAGTGACCAAGGGCTAGAGGTCAAGGGCCTTGTGGTCCACGCTGGTGAATTGTGACTTAACTTTGATCATTTAGACACTTGGGGTGTTCAGGGGGCCATCCTGGTGATGGTCTGGAGGCTGGGATGGTAATGGGAGCATATGAAGGAAGGAGCTCAGTTAGAAGGGAGGAGTGTGCAGGGCCTCCCACATGAGTTCATGAGATGTTGGGCTAGGGGAAGAGCTGCTAGCATCTGTGTTCTGGGCTCAAGTCACCTCTCCCTCTCCTCCCCACCCTCCTGCATCCTTTTCTGCCACCATCACCACCATGTGGCTGCTTTAATCTACAAACATCCCCTCCACTGTAACCCATTGCTCTCTCCTCACCCATTTATAACCTCCCTCACCCAGACTGTGCAGATGCCCATGGTGTGGCCCCATCCCATGACTAGCATCACGGCCCCCACCAGGAGGACCAGGTGTGAACCCAACCAGGCTGTGCAGGGCTTGGGTGCTGTGTCCAAGGATGGCAGGGTCTGGCTTACAGCTCCCTTGCCTTTGTCTTGCAGTGTACTGTCACCCTACAGGTGGCCCACATGAGCAACCAGGATATTGAGAAGACAGGTATGTCCTTCCCTGGAGCTTACCCTTAAGGGCCTACCCTGCCTTTCTGCATGCACAGCTGGATGGGTTCTTGGGGACCTTCAAAACCCAGCCCTTGAGGCCTACAGAAGGAATGTGACCAGGCTAGGGTCCCTGGAAGCTACAGGGTCTAGATGCCAGATCTCCAGACATCTGGCTGAGGCCATCCCAATATGCCTATTTGTCATCTCTAGACATAAGACCCATGAGATATAAGACATAAGTCTCCAAGGGGCTGCAGAGAGACAAGGATGGTCATCTCCAAGAGCCCCAGTGTGTGGAGCAGGGTCCAGGGATCCATAGTTCCTGAGCATGAAGGGGCCCATGGTAATGTTCTGGGGAGGACATATGTCACTGTTGGGGCCTCTTGGCCATGCTTTTAGTCAGGAGATGGTCACTGGGGACAGAATGATGGAATGGGGAAAATACCTCAAACCTCCTGGGCCCCAGGCCTCTGACCCCACCCTGCACTGTGTCTCCCCAGGAGCTGAAGACCACCTGGGCATAACGGCAAGAGAGGCAGCCAGTCAGAAACTGATGGTCCCTGGCTCCACTGCGCACAGGGCTCTGTCCTCAAAGCCTCAGCACTTTCAGGTGAGGACCTTCCAGGTTGCAAGTTCATGGGACTCACCTGACACTCTTGTTTGCTGTGTTCCCAGGCCACCTCACCCCTCCCCAAGGTCATGGTAGAAGGGCAGAGCTTCAGACCCAGCTTCTGGCCCTCAGATCCTTGCCACATGCCCTGCTCCTCCCATGGCCGTTCTGGAAACTTCTGCCTGTAGCTGAAGCCACAGAGCTCCAGTGAGGTAGTAGGAGAGCCAGCTGTGCACTGGCAGGCCCTGGTACCTGCTGGGGAAGCAGCGCAGATGAGAGAGATCCTGCCCTCTCAGAGTCCTCAGGTTGTTGGCAAAACAAAGTGGGGCACAGGCAAAGTTAAATTAACTGTACAGGAGAGGCTGGGGAGTGTCTGATCTGAGGGGACCTATGGAAAGGTCCACATTTCCATGTGAATTCAGGAACCCTCATCCCATGGCTTATCAACTTCCCTCTGGCTTCTAGCCCGTGGCCTAACATTCCTGCCGTGGTTTTACCTGCTCCCCAGCCTGCTCCTCGCGCAGCAGCTGGGAGTCTCCTGGACCACTCCTCTTCCTGCACCCAAGCAGTGGCCAAGTCCTAGCTCTTAACGTCACCCACTGCTCCCATTTCCCCCTCGCCACTTCTGTTCCCTGGCCTGAGCCACCACCACCTCTTCCCTGGACCACATCAGAAGGCTTCTCCTGAACCCCCCAGCCTCCAGCTCTCTCCTGTCCATTCTCCAACCAAAGTGTCCTTTCAAAGATGTCACTCTTATCATGCCAAGCACCTTCTTCAAAAGCCCCAGTGTCTTCCACACAAGATCACAAGATCCAGTTCCTTTTGCAATGGCTTCCCGGGCCCTTGATAACTCAAGCCTGTGTCTCCAAGTCCATCTCCTCCTAGCCTTCTCCCAGTGGATTGTCTGTCTCCACTGTGGCTAGGGCTACAACTTTCTTTCTTTCTTTCTCTTTCTTTCTTTCTTTCTTTCTTTCTTTCTTTCTTTCTTTCTTTCTTTCTTTCTTTCTTTCTTCTTTCCTTCCTTCCTTCTTTCTCTCTTTCTTTCTTTCCTTCTTTCTTTCTTTTTCTTTCTTTCCTTCCTTCCTTCTTTCCTTTCTTTTCCTTCCTCCCTCCCTTCTTTCTTTCTTTCTTTTCCTTCCTTCCTCCCTCCCTTCTTTCTTTCTTTCTTTTCCTTCCTCCGTCCCTCCCTCCCTCCCTTCTTTCTTTCTTTCTGTCTTTCTTCTCTTTTTTGAGATGGAGTCTTGCTCTGTTGCCCAGGCTGGAGTGCAGTGGCACGATCACAGCTCACTACAGTCTAGACCTCTGGGCTCAGGTGATCCTCCCACCTCAGCCTCCTGAGTAGCTGGGATTACAGGCATGCACCACCAAGCTCAGCTAATTTTTTTGTAATTTTTGTAGAGACGGGGTTTTGCCATGTTGCCCAGTCAATCTGGTCTCGAACTCCTGGGCTCAAGCGATTCTCCCACCTCGGCCTCCCAAAGTGCTGGGATTACAGGCATGAGCCACTCATTGCACCTGGCCTAGAATGTTTTCTTATCAGAACAATGTTGTCCCAGCTACAGAAGGCCCTCAATATCAGCTCCCCATGTGTTCCGCCCTTAGGTTCGAGTGAAGGTGTTTGAAGCCCGACAGCTCATGGGCAACAACATCAAACCAGTGGTGAAGGTGTCCATCGCAGGCCAGCAGCACCAGACACGCATCAAGATGGGAAACAACCCTTTCTTTAATGAGGTGGGCTGAACGGGGCACATCAGGCAAGGAGCCAGCCAAGGGCTGGGCATCCCCGGTGGGCAGCCGGCAAGCTTGCTCCTTGACTAGGGTGTCTTCATGTGTTTGTTCCACAAGCATTTACTGAGTGTCTACTGAGGGCCAAGCACTGAAAATACAGAACAGTATAACTCAGAGCCCTGTATCTGAGGAGCTGGTGGGCTGGTGGGGGCACAACTCATGAATCCGTAAACAATTACAACAGAGCAGATCCTGGTTTACAGAGGTCTGGGAGTATTGCTATTGGAGGTTCGAAGCACAGACCCAGACCATGTATGTCTCATTGCTGCTGGAGCCCCAAATTGTAGCACTGTGCCTGATACACAGTAGGTGCTCCATAAATACTTGTTGAATTAATTAGTAAATGAACAAATAAAAGATAAAAGCACAGTGGAAGCTGGAAGGAGTAAGTGAGTAATGAGGCTGGGGGTGGCGGAGAGGACTCAGAAGGGCTCCAGCAACCCTGAAGGAAGATTTTACCAGGGAAAGACAGACAGGATGGGAAAAGATAATTCAGGAAAAAGTCATGGTGTTTTCAAAGGCCTGGAACCAAGCAAGCCGCAGACTTGACAGCAGAACTATAGCTATGGGTGTGGCTGGAGGAGACTGGCTGGAGGGGAGCCTACAGTGTGGGCTGGGGTCCCATCCTGGACACTACTCAGGAGCCATGGAGGACTTAAGCAGAGGAGTGACAGGCCTAGGTTTGCATTTGGGAAAGAAGTTTCTGGCTGCCACGGGGAGCAGGGACAGAGTGGACTGGCAGGGCAACCTAGAAGGAGGTGTGGGCTCAAATCTCCATCCTGGGCAGCTAGCTGGGCCCTGAGTTCTCCAGGAATCTCCTACCATTCCCCATTCTGGGCAGAAAACCCTCCAGGAGGCTGGGCTTGGTGGCTCATGCCTGTAATTCCAGAACTTTGGGAGACCGTGGTGAGTGGATCACCTGAGGTCCGGAGTTCGAAACCATCCTGACCAATATGGTGAAACCCTGTCTCTTTTGTAAAAATACAAAAATTAGCCACATGCAGTGGCAGGTGCCTGTAATCCCATCTACTCAGGAGGCTGAGGCAGGAGAATCGTTTGAACCCGAGGTTGCAGTGAGTTGAGATTGCACCACCACACTCCAGCCTAGGTGACAGAGCGAGACTCCGCCTAAAAATAGGAAACCCTCTAGGAGCCCGGGAGGCCTCTGCTTCTGGGGGAGCATGAGAGAAGTGGCACAAGTTGAGTATCCCTTACCCAAAATGCATGGTATCAGAAGTGTTTTGGATTTCAGATTTTTTTTGGGAATCTGGAATATTTGCATTGTACCAGTTCAGCATTCGTAATAATGAAAATCTGAAACCCAGAATGCTCCAGTGAGCATTTCCTTTGAGGGTCATGTTGGCACTCAGAAAGTTTCAGATTTTGGAGCATTTTTTATTTCAGATTTTTGGATTAGGAATACTCAGCCTGTACTTGTAAACCCATTGAAATGGGTAAAGTTGTGGAAAGAAGCACATTATTCTGAGCTTTCAGGTTTACTGAGTGCTTGGGTGAAGTGGCGGAAGAAATCATCCACTCTACCCCAATTCTCTTTGCCTCAGATCTTCTTCCAGAATTTTCATGAGGTTCCTGCAAAGTTCTTTGATGAGACCATCTTAATCCAGGTGAGGAGCCAAACTGGTCCCCAGCAAGGTGGGTTTCTTGTCCCACTTCAATACTGGGAAGCACTACAGCTCCAGCCCCCACCCTTAGAGCCAGGGGCACTTCAGATTGTCTTCCTGATCCCCACCACTTTCTTCACCCCCTGGCACCCAGATTATTCATTCATTTACTCATTTATTCAACAAATGTTGTGGATTGCCAACTGCCAGGCCCTGAACTGGGCGCCAAGGTGAACAAGGCAGCCCCTTCCCATGTGCCAGGATTTTCAAGCCACCAAAGGCCCCTCCAAGTAGAATACTCCATTCCCTAACCAAAGGGAGCCAGTAACAATGTGGAACATGTGGTTATCAGGTGCCTACTATGTGCCCAGCACAGGGCTAAGGAGAACAAAGAGGCCTCTTCCTTTGAAGAATTTACTGTTCTTGGGAACAAAGGCACAGAGGAAACAACCAGGAGAGCATGTAATGGATAACGTTGAGTGCAACACCTTGCTTTGTGTTGACTTGGGGCAAGGAAATTGACCTCTCTGATCAATTTCCTCATCAGTAAAATGGAATTAAAAATCTGAACCTCACAGGGTTCCTCTGAGAGTGAAATGAGAACACCCATGTGCAAGTGTCTGCCCCATTAGGAAGCATTCAATACGTCAGGAGGATCCT
The DNA here is from genome assembly GCF_000001405.40 of Homo sapiens. NCBI lineage: Eukaryota > Metazoa > Chordata > Mammalia > Primates > Hominidae > Homo > Homo sapiens. The sequence goes on from NC_000002.12 coordinate 96,654,360, forward strand.
GGTTGTGCCTTTGCTATACCTCTTACAGGGGCTGAGGGAAATTGGGATTGTGAATAATTAAAATATTTCTGGGAACTCCCTTGCAGGTGGTGAACTCCTCAGCAATGAGATACAAAGCAGAGATCGGGAGATTTCAAGTGAGTACTGTACATGGGAGGAGGTTCAGTGAAACAGTTATTAAAACAGAGACCCATGCTGGGCTCCATGCCCAAGTCTAGGGAAAAGGACTTGGATTTTCACACAGAAAGATCCAGACTTGGCCGGGTGCAGTGGCTCGCACCTGTAATCCCAGCACTTTGGGAGGCCGAGGCCGGTGGATCACGAGGTCAGGAGATCGAGACCATCGTGGCTAACACAGTGAAACCCTGTCTCTACTAGAAATACAAAAAATTAGCGGGGTGAGGTGGCGGGTGCCTGTAGTCCCAGCTACTCAGGAGGCTGAGGCAGGAGAATTGCTTGAACCCAGGAGGCGGAGCTTGCAGTGAGCCGAGACCGCACCACTGCACTCCAGCCTGGGCGACAGGGTGAGACTCCATCTCAAAAAAAAAAAAAAAAAAAAGAAGAAGAAAGATCCAGGCTTGTATCCACCTACCAACTGGGTGACTTAAACAAGTTATTCTGAACCTCTACTTCCTCATCTTTAAAAGGGAGATGATAATATACTCGATCTGGGGGGTGATTGTGAGGATTAAAGTATATATAACGTTTATGAAAGCTCAGGGCGCCATGTTGAATTCCACACTCCCATGATACTGTGGACACAGTTCAAATCTCTGCCTCCAGGAAGTAGAAGCAGAGGATCCAAAAGGTCAGCCTACATGTTAGGGAAACTCAGAGAAATATTGCTGCCTGTGAGGACAGAGTGAAAAGATGTGATTTGGGAAGACAGGCTGAGAGATTAGGAGAGTTTACAGTCATGATGGGCTAAACTAAGATTCTCCAAATCCAAAAAGATCAGGAAAAGGTAGGTTGCTAGGTTAAATACAGGATGCCTGGTTACATTTAATCTTAGATAAACAAAAAATACATTTTAAATATAAGTATGTCCCAAATATTACATGGCTTCTCACCAAATATTGCAGGGGACGTATGTGTATTAAGAAAGTAGTCATTGTTCATCTGAAATTTTAATTTAAGTGGGCATCTTCTGTTTTTGTTTACTAAATCTACAATGTTAGGAAACGGGCACCACCCTTGGAAAAAAACATAGAGAGACAGAGATTCTAGAAATGTTAGATGGTAGGAGGTGAAAAATGTTGTGCTCTTGACAAAGGCCACCGCATGATTTCTAGACAGTGACCAATGACATAAGCTAAGTTATAGAGGTCAGAGAAAACCTGAGTTTAACCAAGCTTCTTCTTTTTTTTTGAGACGTGATCTTGCTTTGTCACCCAGGCTGGATTGCAGTGGTGCAATCCCGGCTCACTGCAGCCTTGAACTCCTGGGCTCAAGCAATCCTCCCACCTCAGCCTCCCGAGTAGCTTGGACTACAGGTGTGCACCACTGCACCTGGCTAATTTTTAAAAATTTTTTGTAGCGAATGGGTCTCACTATGTTACCCAGGCTAGTCTAGAACTCCTGGGCTTAAGCCGTCCTCCCACCTCAGCCTTCCAAAGTGCTGGGATTACAGGCGTGTGTCCACCACACCCAGCCGAGCTTATTTTTTTATTTCTTTTTATTTTGGTATCATGAACTCCCATATCCTCATCACTCATCTTCATCAATTCACAGTCAATTGTGTTTTACCTACACCTAGCCCCCTTCGCCTTCACCGCTGGATTATTTTGAATCAAATCTCAAGCATCACATCATTTTATCTTTCTACATTTCAGTATGTATTGCAAAAACATAAGGATTTTATTAAGCATAGCCACATACAATTATCACATCTAAAAACTTTTATAATTCCTAGGTAGCATTAAATACCTAGTCAATGTTCAAATTCCCCTAATTGTTTTACATATTTCTTTTACAGTTTTTCAAATAAGGATTCCAGGCTGGGAACGGTGGCTCACGCCTGTAATCCCAGCACTTTGGGAGGTCAAGGCAGGCGGATCACCTGAAGTCAGGAGTTCAAGACCAGTCTGGCCAACATGGCCATCTCTACTAAAAATACAGAAATTAGCTGGGTGTGGTGGCACATGCCTGTAATCCCAGCTACTCATGAGGCTGAGGCAGGTGAATCATTTGAACCCAGATGGTAGAGGTTGCAGTGAGCCAAGATTTTGCCACTGCACTCCAGTCTGAGCAAAAGAGAGAGACTCTGTCTCAAAAAAACAAAAACAAAAAACAAATCAGGATTCTAAACCAGGTCCACTCATTGCAAGTGGTTAATATGCATTTTAGTTTCCTTTTATTCTGTTGGTCCTCTCTGCTCCCCCACTTCCTCTTTTTTTTTTTTTTTTAATTTGCAACTTATTTGTTAAGGAAACTGGGTAGTTGGACCTGTAGTGTTTTCTCTGGTCTGGGTTTTGCTGATTTCATCTTCAGGGAATCATTTTGCATTCCCCCACCCCATTTCCCTATCTAGAGTTTAGATTAGTCTGAACCAATTTGTTGGCAAAGTGACTTTAGCAGAAGGCACAGAATGTCTGCTGGTCTCTCATTTTATGTTGTTAACAGCTAATGATGATCATTGCCTGGATCTGTTGCTTCATTGGGAGTGACTGAATTTCTATTCTGTTTTTTTATTTTTATTTTTTAATTTATATATATATATATATAGTTTTTTTTGAGACAGAGTCTTGCTCTGTCACCCAGGCTTGAATGCTGTGGCACGATCTTGGCTCATGCATCCTCTGCCTCCCAGGTTCAAGCAATTCTCATGCCTAAGCCCCCCAGGATAGCTGGAACCACAGGCACGTGCCACCATGCCCAGCGAATTTTTGTATTTTTAGTGGAGATGGGGTTTCACCATGTCGGCCAGGCTGGTCTCAAACTCCTGGCTTCAAGTGATCCGCCCGCCTCAGCCTCCCAAAGTGCTGGGATTACAGGCATGAGCCACCATGCCTTGCCCTGTTTTTTTTATGTTATGGTTTTATTGAGGTGTCATTGACATACAATTAATGGTACATATTTAAAATGTACAATTTGATATATTAAAAATATGTGCACACCCAGAAGAAAACATCATCACAATTAAGATAATGAATATACTCATCACATCTGTCACCTCCAAAAGTTGTCTGATGGACCTTGGGAATCACTCCGTCTCATTCCCATCCCACCCCCTCCATCCGCAGACAACCACTGATCTGCTTTCTGTTATTATATGAACATTTCTTTCCTAGAGTTCTTATTAATAGATAAGTATTTCCTAGAGTTCATATCAATAGAATCATACATTCTCTATCCTTTTGTGTCTGCTTTCTTTCCCTCAGCATTGCTGTTCTGAGATTCATCCATGTTGTTGCACTTGTCAGCAGTTCATTCCTTTTTATTGCTGAGTAATAGTCCAGCATATGGATGTACTATAGTTTAATTATCCATTCCCTTGTTAATGGACATTTAGATTGCTTCCAGTCTGAGGCTGCTATATTGGGGCCGTGTAAACATTTGTGTACAAATCTGAGTGTGGAAGTTTTAATTTCTCTTGGGAAAATATGTAGAAGCAGAATGACTAAATCATATGGTAGGTATATGTGGTATATGTTTAACTTTCTTTTTTTTTTTTTTGAGATGGAGTCTTGCCCTGTTGCCCAGGCTGGAGTGCAATGGCGTGATCTCGGCTCACTGCAACCTCCCCCTCCTGGGTTCACATGATTTTCCTGCCTCAGACTCCCGAGTAGCTGGGATTACAGGCACCTGCTACTACGTGTGGGCTAATTTTCGTATTTTTAGTAGAGACAGGTTTTCACCATGTTGGCCAGGCTGGTCTTGAACTCCTGACCTTGTGAGCGGCCCACCTTGGCCTCCCAAAGTGCTGGGATTACATGCGTGAGCCAACGCACCTGGCCAACTTTTTTTTTTTTTTTTGAGACAGAGTCTTGCTCTGTCATCAAGGTTGGAGTGCAGTGGCGCGATCTCAGCTCACTGCAGCCTCTGCCTCCCGGGTTCAAGTGATTCTCCTGCCTCAGCCTCCCGAGTAGCTGGGATTACAGGTGCACGCCACCATGTCTGGCTAATTTTTGTATTAGCCCGCCTCGGCCTCCCAAAGTGCTGGGATTACAGGTGTGAGCCACTGCACCCGGACGTGTATGTTAAACTTTTTAAGGAAAATTTCTAAAAGTTTTTTTTCCAAAATTCCAAACAGGTTCTGCCACTGTACATGCCCACCAGTAGTGTATTAGAGTTTCAGTTGCCCCACATTCTCCACAATACTTGATCTAGTCCATCTTTTTTATTTTAGCCATTCTAATGGTGTGTAGTAATATTTCACTGTGATTGTAATTTAAACCTTCCTAACGACTAACGATGTTGAGCATCTTTTCATGTGCCTGTCATCTGTATATCTTCTTTGGTGAAGTGACTGTTCAAATCTTTAGTTTGTTTTCCTTGGATTGTTTGTTTTCTAACTATTGATATATGATTTGCAAATATTTTCTTCCAGAGGATGACAGCCCATTCATTTTCTGTTTTGTTTTTGTTTTTGTTTTTGTTTTTTTGGGACGGAGTCTCTCTCTGTCACCCAGGCTGGAGTGCAGTGGTGTGATCTCCGCTCACTGCAAGCTCCACCCCCTGGGTTCATGCCATTCTCCTGCCTCAGCCTCCTACAGGCGCCCACCACCACACCCGGCTAATATTTTTTGTATTTTCAGTAGAGACGGGATTTCACCGTGTTAGCCAGGATGGTCTCGATCTCCTGACCTCGTGATCCGCCTGCCTCAGCCTCCCAAAGTGCTGGGATTACAGGCGTGAGCCACTGTCATTTTCTTAACAGTGTCTTTCAAAAGCAGACTTTTTCATTTTGATGAAGTCCAATTTATCAAGCTTTCCTTCCTTCCTTCCTTCCTTCCTTCCTTCCTTCCTTCCTTCCTTCCTTCCTTCCTTCCTTCCTTCCTTCCTTCTTTCTTTCTTTCTTTCTTTCTTTCTTTCTTTCTTTCTTTCTTTCTTTCTTTCTTTCTTTCTTTCTTTCTTTCTTTCTTTCTTTCTTTCTTTCTTTCTTTCTTTCTTTCTTTCTTTCTTTCTTTCTTTCTTTCTTTCTTTCTTTCGAGACAGAGTCTCGCTCTGTCGCCCAGGCTGGAGAGCAGTGGCGCAATCTCGGCTCATTGCAAGTTCCGCCTCCCGGGTTCACACCATTCTCCTGCCTGAACCTCCCTAGTAGCTGAGACTACAGGGGCCCGCCACCACGCCCGGCTAATTTTTTGTATTTTTAGTAGAGACAAGGTTTCACTGCGTTAGCCAGGATGGTCTCGATCTCCTGACCTCTTGATCCGCCTGCCTCAGCCTCCCAAAGTGCTGGGATTACAGGCGTGAGCCACTGCGTCCGGCCAATCAAGCTTTTCTTTGATGGGTTGTGCTGTGTTGCTGTATCTAAGAACACATTATGGGTGGCCATAATGTTCTGTGGCAGCTTGCCCCACATATGTCACCTTCCATCCTGAACCACATTCCTCAAACCTCTGTGTCAGAAACTATCTCCAAGGGGAAAGAGAAAACCCGTAGTTTCTTTGTCAACTCCTACCTCTTACCTTAACCATCCTCTTCCCCAGGACCGGTGAGCCCTTCCCTGACCCAGGAGTAGGGTAGAGTTGGGCTGCTTTGGCCGAGAGGGTGGCACAGTGCAGTGTTGAGGAGCTTTTCCATGCAGGCTTTCTCACTGACTGGTTGTAAGACTTTGGGCACCTCTCTCAAACTCAGTATCTTCCTCTGCAGAGTAGAGGTAATAATGGGCCTACCTCTCAGGCTGCTGTAAAGATGAAAGGAGTTAGGGCAGAGAACATACTGAAGCCCCAACAGCTAGCAGTTGGGTCAGGTTAGTTGGTATTACAAATCTTGGCTGCAGGCCCTAACTAATCCTCACCCCACTGTTGTCTTTTCAGACAGATATTGGGTTTATCTACCATTCTCCAGGTAGGTAATACTTATGGCAAATATGTATGTCTTCTGAGAAAAATCAGGCCAAGGGTCAGAATATCTTAAAATCCCCATATGTCCAACACATGGGTGGAGGGGAGTATTAGAGATTGTAAATTATTTTCTGTATTTGGTAATATTTCACTGTACATTGTGGTATTTTATTTTACCTTATTTTTTAATTTAATTTTATTTTTTGAGATGGAGTCTCACTCTGTTGCCCAGGCTGGAGTGCAGTGGCTCAATCTTGGCTCACTGCTATCTCTGCCTACTGGCTTCAAGCAATTCTCCTGCTTCAGCCTCCCAAGTAGCTGGGATTACAGGCATGTGCCACCACACCCAGCTAATTTTTTATTTTTAGTAGAGATGGGGTTTCACCATGTTAGCCAGGCTGGTCTCGAACTCTTGACCTCAGGTGATCCACCCGCTTCAGCTTCCCAAAGTGCTGGGATTATAGGCATGAGCCACCACACCTGGCCTATTTTAATTTATAGTAATAGCATTTTTCTCTGAAAAACTCAGGGCATCCCTTTGGGTCAAGTGCTAGCCTTATATTACAATCCTGGGTTAGATTTCTATTTTTTGAGGCCAGTATTGGAAGATTAAAGTTTGAGAGGAAATTTCCACCTTACCTGGCTATAACATACACTAGGTTGAGGAAAATGCTTGCCTCTACAGTGCCTGGTTCCAGACCAGGCCACAGTGAGAACAGTAGGTTCCCAAGGCATAAACAGGGGTCCCTGTTTCCTAGAGGCAACAGCTGGCAGCCTTGTGAGCACGCTATCATTGCTTCGTGGTACGAGTGACTCCCCTTTTCCTCTGCCACTGGATAGAAAGCAGGATGCCTGAGACCTATTTCCACCTTCCCCTCCTGCTAAAACAAAGGCTGGTTTCAGGGGAGAAGGAAGGAGGCTGCAGGCAGATCTCCCATGGCCTTTCTGCCTCTCTAGGTCACACACTCCTAAGGAAATGGCTAGGCCTCTGCCAGCCAAATAACCCTGGCAGTGGTGTGACAGGCTACCTGAAAGTCACCATCTATGCCCTCGGTGTGGGAGACCAGGCCCTGGTGAGCTGCCCCTAACCCCGGAAACTTTCCTATCCTGGCTGCCTCCTGGGGGCACCCCTGGGCCTCACCCTGGATATTGACCATCACATCTCTCCTTTGTCCGCTGCGTCACTGCAGGGTTGTCCCATCCCCCCTGCACCAAGTGGGAAGTTGGAGAAGCAAAGTCTGGTGTCCTTGCCTGTGACCTCCCCATTACCTTGACTATATCAGCTCTCTGGTCTCTCCAGATAGATCAAAAGCTGCTCTATGGCACCGATGACACCGATATTCAGATCTTCAAGTCAGCGGTAGTCCCGATCAACATGGCTTACTTACAGCTCTTCATCTACTGCGCAGAGGACCTTCACCTCAGTTAGAGTCTGGGTGCAGGGGAGGGAGCAGCCCTGAGATTCCCTACACGGTGATACCCTGGATCCTCATGGAGTTTCCTCATTCCTTTTGGCACTAAACTACTGTTTGGGGTAGGGGGGACAGGGTGAGACTGGAATTGCTCCCAGACTTGTCCTGTGGAGGTGCCATGGACACCCTTTCAAACGGGTCTCACACCCCCAGCCTGTCTATGATGGCCAGATGCAAACTCAAGGCTCCCTATGTCCCCCCACCCCATGCCATTGTGTGGAAGAAGAAGGGGCATGGTGGGAACTGGAGACAGGTCTGCCCAGGGGGCACCCCTCTAAATTATAGGGGAGGGTTTTCAGTTGTTCTGTCGCCACCCTATTTCCTCCTCCTGAAAAATGCTGCTGGCTCAGATATCTTTTAACTTGTTGTTCATAGAGAAACACCAGTCAGTGAATCCTCAGTTGGAGGTGGAACTAATTGGGGAAAAGGTAAGTGTAGAAATATTCTGAGACCCAGAGAGATTGGCATCTAGAGAAAGTAGTTTGGAGAGGAGGGTGGCCTGGTGGGCAAGACCACAGGAATCATCTCCCAGTCACCCACTGAGAGAAGTATGCACCCCTGCACCTGGAACTCTGTGCAGGCGGAGGCCACGTCTTATTCTCTGCATGCCAGATGCCCCCCAAAAACCAAATACACGTGGAAGAATGAGTGCGTGAATGAAACATGCCAATGAGTGAACACCATCGAAACTGTCGCCACCCCTCAGTTTCTTCATGTGTAAACGAAGGTTCTGGGCAAGAGAGTTGCTGACATTCCATGAACCTCTATGAATACGGAATAGCATTTTCCAAAGTGTGCTGATGGGTGTCATGGGTAAAAAAGGGTCCTATGTTCAAATTCGGACAATGCTAGGTTACAGTTAAACAGATATTTTCCATATTTGCCAAGCAGAATTTCTACCATATTCTATTTGTTGCAAGCAAGTCGTTAAATCCAGCCCACACATAAGCGGAGAGAAAATAATGTCTATCTTTTGAAGGGAGGAGTACCAAAGAATTTGTGAACATATTTAAAACCACCATACTGAGTATTTCCCAGTGAGTGGTTGGGTACCCCCAAAGCTAGGTGAAACGTTCTCAGGTGGTAAGTGACACGCAGTTCTCAAAAATTTTGATACTTCTGTGTTCATCTTAGTGTACCTTAAAAAGTTTAATAAGGCCAAGTAACACTTGATTCCACAGATACCACTGCTTACACATAAACTCAACTGACGGTTTTAAAACAGGCATGCTGCTGCCATTAGCTGTGTTTTTGCCCATTTTTCTTTTGGGATCTCAGAATTTATCTAGCAAAATATATGTCTATACACTCATATAGTAAGGTCAGTAGCCTTATATCTATTTAAAAATGAAGTCTATTGAAAGCTGACTTAAGGAAAAATATGAGGAATCTGAATCTGGCAAACACCTCGGGTAAGTACACAAAGGACTGGCGCTGTTGCTGCTGAGAAGTTGTGCAGGTGTCTTGAGAGCAGGGATTAGCCCAAGCACCTCTGTGCTGTGGTGTCCACTGGGAGGCTGGACAGGAAGAGCTGGAAGGTGAGGTCAGTGGAGGGAGGAGGGGGCAGGCTGGCACCAACACTGCTTTGGGACATTCCAGCTCAGGACACACATGCAGACCCAAACCGACAACCCGATATGGAACCAGATCCTGACCTTCCGGATTCAGGTATGGCTCCTCCATCATGCCCACCCTTCTCCCACATCCCCTAACATAGAAGGGAAGTTTGGATGATTGTGTGGGGGTGAAGACAGAGGGTGGGGGCCAAAAAGCATGGCAAGGGGGACTCTGCCTGATAGGGAGCATGAGGAAGCCCAGGACATATTATGGAAAACTTTACCTTTTACAGCTTACTGAGTTATCATTGACGTACCTATGTCAATGGTATGTATGACTTGTAGATATTTAAAATGTACAATTTGGCTGGGCACGGTGGCTTACACCTGTAATCCCAGCACTTTCGGAGGCTGACGTGGGCAGATCACTTGAGCTCCAGAGTTTGAGACCAGCCTGGACAACAGTGGCGAAACCAGACTCTACTAAAAAGATAAAAATTAGTCGGGCGTGGTGACATGCGCCTGTAGTTCCAGCTACTCGGGAGGGTGAGGCAGGAGAGTTGCTTGAACCCCGGAGGTGGAAGTTGCAGTGAGCTGAGCCGAGGTAGTATCACCTACTTATTTGAGCAAACACTTCAGCTAAGTAGGTGATAACAACCTGTTGCCCAAGCCAAGCCACTGCACTCCAGCCTGCACAACAGAGGGAGACTCAGTCTCAGGAAAATATAAAAGAAAAAAGAAAAGAGAGAGAGAGAGAGGAAGGAGAGAGGGAGGGAAGGAGGGATGGAAGGGGAGGGAAGGAAGGAAGGAAGAAAGGAAATGTACAATTTGATACATTTTAAAATATGTACACATCCAGGAAACCCATCATACAATCAACATAATGAATATATCTATCACCTCCAAAAGTTGCCTAATGCCTCTTGGGAATCCCTCCCTGTGATTCCTATTCCACCCCCTCCCATCCCCAGGCAACCAACAATCTGCTTTCTGTTACTACGTATTAGCTTGCATTTCCTAGTGTTTCATAGAAATGGAATCGTTCAGTAAGTACCCTTATTTGTCTGACTTCTTTCACTCAGCATAATTATTGTGAAATTCATTCATGCCATTGCTGTGTATCAGTGGTTTATTCCTTTTTGTTGCTAAGTAATATTCCATTGTATGGATGTACCACAGTTTGCTTATCCCTTTCCTTGTTTATGAACATTTCCGGTTTGGGGCTGTTACAATGAAGCTGTAAACACTTGTGTACAACCCTTAGCATAGACATATGCTTTCATTTCTCTTAGGTAAATATGTAGATGCAGAATGACTAGATTCTATGGTAGATGTATTAAGCAATGAGTGGGTCATACAACTGAACTTTCCAGAGAACTTAAATGTGCCCTTTCACCCACATATAAAAACAAAACAAATCCCTTTAAAGACACATTTTAAATGATAATATACATTTTCTTATCTTCTCAGCAACTTTGCCCTGAATATAATTAGAGCTTTTTGTTGATGGCCTGGAGCCATTATGGGAACATAGTTATTATCCTGGGCTATCTGCAGTACCGGGCTACTTGTTCCTGCACTAAATGGCTCTGAGATGCTTTCTTTTTGGGGTTCTGTAGTCTGATTTTGATCGCCTTTCAATCTGTCTCCGTCACCTATCAGCTGTTGTGGATGACAGTTCTCTTGAAGGCGGAGTCTTACTGGCCTTTTGACTCTAAGTCAGGCTTCTAAGAGCAGTGTGTAAAATAAGAACACAGTTCTGAGAGAGAACTTGAGCTGAGAGATAACTTGAGCTCTCTCATAAGTGCAGGCACACAGGAATTTGTGTGACATGGACTTGGCAACCCAGAGAATGTTTTGTTTCCTCATACCTTACATTGTGAAATACAAAATTAGCTAATGCGCTCCCCTTCTCCCTCCTGTGAACTCCCCTCCTTGCTGCTTCTAGTAGCTACCCAGTCTGCCTTCCTGTGAGTCATCACTTTCAACCATTCCTCATAATCCCTGCCTCCTTGGATGATTTTATAGACTCTGAAAGTAGGAAGACATTTCAGAGGAGGCCTAGTCCATCCCCCATCCTTGCCAAGCTCCCTCCCACCTTTTCCGGCCTGTGATGAGGGCACAGGGCTGGGATCCTCAGATGTTCTGTGGCTGTTCAGAGCCTTGGGAAATCTTCTTTTTTCATCTTCTGTTCATCTTCTTTGTTCATCTTTTTTTTTTTTTTCTGAGACAGAGTTTCATTCTTGTCACCCAGGCTGGAGTGCAATGGCGCGATCTCGGCTCACTGCAACTTCTGCCTCCTGGGTTTAAGCTATGAGTAGCTGGGGCTACAGGTGCCTACCACCAAGCCTGGCTAATTTTCATATTTTTAGTAGAGACGAGGTTTCACCATGTTGGCCAGGCTGGTCTCGAACACCTGACCTCAGGTGATCCACCTGCCTTGGCCTCCTACAGTGCTGGGATTACAGGTGTGAGCCACCATGCCCGGCCCTGTTCATCTTCTTACAGGCTCAGAACCAATGGCACAGGCCAGGCCCTCCCTCATCCCTGAGAGAGGCCTTCCAACATTTGAAGATGTTCAAACACCCCTGGAACCTCATCCATTTTCCCCAGAACACAGTCTCCAGGGTGGGGCCCTTTGGATACTGGCCTGATTGCCTTTAGCCCTTTGGAAATGCAGCAGGCAGGTGTGAACCTCTCTCTGAAGAGGCAGAACAGCCAGCCACACAGATGGCAGCATCTGAGGCCAGGTGGTCAGAAGGGGAGCAGAGCCCAGGGCACTGCAGAAAACTGGCCTGTACCAATGGTCAGTCCGAGGGCCCCAGGGCAGAAGGGGAGGCAGCACACTAGATGAGGAACCAAGAAGCAGGAGGAGAATTATTAGCAGGATGGATGGAAAGGTGGTTCCGCCATAAATCTGAACTTGGAGGACTCCTAACTTTGGAAGACCTGGATGCCTTCTGGTGCCGATCTCTCCCCTTCCAATGTCCTTCCTTAACCTGGGCAATTTCCTCCTTTCTTACTGACTAGCTGCTCACCTGGAAAGCCCTTTCCTCTTCTCCTTGGCCCCTTAGCTGTCAGGACCCAGGGAGAATGGGATGAAGAAAATGGAAAGCTGGGAGGTTCCCAGCCACATCCCAAGAACTGCTGTAAGGAGAAGAGGCCCCAGCTGAGAGGATTGAGGATTTGGGGTCCCACTCTGGCCTCAACCCAGCAGCTCTATTTTACACATGGACACATGGATTTTTTTCTTTTATTTATTTATTTTTTTTTTTTAGACAGTCTTGCTCTGTTGCCCAGGCTAGACTGCAGTGACGCAATCTCAGCTCACTGCAACCTCCACCTCCTGGGTTCAAGCAATTCTTGTGCCTCAGCCTCCTGAGTAGCTGGGACTACATGCATGAGCCACCATGCCCAGCTGATTTTTTGTATTTTTGGTAGAGATGGGGGTCTCAATATGTTGTCCAGGCTGGTCTTGAACTCCTGGCCTCAAGTGATCCTCCCACTTCAGCCTCCCAAGTACTGGGATTACAGGCATTAGCCACCGCATCTGGCCTCTTTTCTTTCTTTCTTTTTAAAAATAATTGAGGAAACCATAATGCAGAGTGGAGATGGGACACAGAAGCTTGGGTAGGAATCCTGACTCCACCCCTTACTATGTGACCTTGAGCAAGTCCCTCTGCCTCTCTAGGCCTGATTCCCCATCTCTTTATAGGGACAATCACAGTCCTCAAGGGGTTACAGCAGAGTGGTTTTGGCAACTGCATGTAGCATGAGAACTTCAGGAACTCAACCTCTCTGATCTCAGCTTTCCCATATGAAAATGGGAATAATAATAGCACCTGGTTCATGAGGTTTTTAGGAGAGCCCACTCAGCTGGTCTATGGAATTTGTTTAGCACAAGCCAGGGGCAACAGAAACCTCCTAAAGAGGCAGCTATTATTATTTATTCTTTTTTTTTTTTTTTTTGAGACGGAGTTTCGCTCTTGTTGCCTAGGCTGGAGTGCAATGGCACGATCTCAGCTCACTGCAACCTCCTCTTCCCGGGTTCAAGTGATTCTCCTGCCTCAGCCTCCCGAGTAGCTGGGATTACAGGCATGCGCCACCACACCCGGCTAATTTTGTATTTTTAGTAGAGACAGGGTTTCTCCATGTTGGCCAGGCTGATCTTGAACTCCTGACCTCAGGTGATCTGCCCGCCTCGGCCTCCCAAAGTGCTGGGATTACAGGCATGTGCCACCATGCCTGGTTTATTATTTATTCTTTGAGGAGACAGATATACTGCTGTTTAAAAAGTTGATGGCTAGACATGATGAAGACATTCTAGGCCCACGGCCTCTCCATGAGATGGTTTGGTGAATGTGCATTCAGACTGCGAGGGGCTGTATGAGGACAGTAATATCTACCAGCCCACAGTCAGGGCAGACTCAGGTGTCAGAGGGGCCTGAAGCTTATGCAATTAGGGGACTTTTTTTTCTTTTTTGAAACAAGGTCTCACTCTGTCACCCAGGTTGGAGTGCAGTGGCACGATCATGGTTCACTGTAGCCTCAACCTCACGGGCTCAAGCAATCCTCCCACCTCAGCCTCCTGAGTAGCTGGGACTATAGGTGAGTGCCACCACACCCAGCTAATTTTTGTATTTTTTGTAGAGAGAGGATTTCATCATGTTGCCCAGGCTGCTCAAGTGATCTGCCCGCTTCAGCCCCCCAAAGTGCTGGGATTACAGGTGTGAGCCACCATGCTTGTCCAGAGGGCCATTTTAAAGACAAAAATACAAAACGATCATGTGACAAGTTCCAGGCCCCTCTCAGGACCTTGCAAGGGGCCTATTCAAATGGGAGGCCCAGCTGGGCGAGGTGGCTCACACCTCTAATCCCAACATTTTGAGAGCCCTACGCAGGAGGATTGCTTTTGCCCAGGAGTTCGAGACCAGCTTGGGCAACATAGTAAGGCACCTGTCTCTACAAAAAAAAAAAAATTGTTTTTAATTACCTGGGCCTGATGGCAGGTGCCTGTAGTCCCAGCTACTCAGGAGGCTGAGGCGGGAGGATCGTTTGAGCCTGAGAGGTGTAGGCTGTAGTGAGCTATGATCATGCCACTGCACTCCAGTCTAGGTGACAGAGCAGCACCCTGTCTGAAACAAAACAAAGCAAACCCCCAGAAAACAAGAGGCCCTAAAGCCAAAGCTCGATTCGCTTGGTTCAAAATCCAGCTTTTCTATGATGAAGTGGCTCACTGGTAACTGAGCCAGGACTTGCTCCCAGACCCGCGACTCCCTACCTGTTCTTAAAATCTCCACGAGGGCCAGACCATCCCAATGTGTACCCACCGCACCTCTCTCCTTCCCTCCACAGCTACCCTGCCTCTCCAGCTACATCAAGTTCAGAGTCTTGGACTGGTGAGCAACCTGGTGGAGGCTGAAGCACACAGGGAAGGAAGAAATGAGAGCTGGGCCGGGGGCTCAGCCTGAGGAGTGTGTTTCTCTCTAGCCGCAAGAAGGACTGCCCGGATGAGATTGGGACTGCCAGCCTGTCCCTCAACCAGATCTCGTCCACCGGAGAAGAGATAGAAGGCAAGCAAAGCCTCGAGCCCACTTCCTACACCCCTCGTCCTGCGCCCGACCCTTCTCACTCTCTCTCCTTCCAGGAGTGTACTCCGGCTTCCTGCCCTGCTTTGGCCCCAGCTTCCTGACTCTGCATGGGGGTAAAAAGGCCCCTTTCAGGATCCAGGAAGAAGGCGCTGTAAGCTTCTCACATCAGCTCTAGGGTACAGTGGAGGTAGAGCTTCCCCATGTAAAGCACTAGGGCCTGGGACGTGCCCCGAGGCCCCGGCCCTGGTTTCTGTCCCTCGGGGTCTTGTGGAGGACGTGAAGCCTGTCCATGAGCAGCCACGTGCATGTGGGACAGGCGTGGGGGCACAAGAAAGGAGCAAGCGGAAGCTCTGGGCTTTCCCTGAGGAAGGGGCTTTGAGAGGAGACCATGGTAAGATTTTCAGCAGGTGGGAAGGGCGCGAAGGACGGAGGACACAGCACAGGCAAGTGTGAGGAAGCATGAGGTTATTCAGGAATGGCGGTAAATGCCAGAAACCCGACTCGAACAGGCTTAAACCCAGGGAAAAACAAGAGCCCTGTCCGCCCGGATCTACTGTGGATCCCAGTTTCTGACTGTGCAAAGAGGCCCTGGGAAGGAACGAGGCAGGGAAGGATGCTGAGGAAGAACCACAGGCATTGGTCCTCAAGGCCACTAGGAGGTCCTCACTCTCCTTCCCCCCTGCCTCATTCCCTCCTGCCTCAGTCAGACTTCCCGGCTGGGAACCTCACCACACAGCCTCCAGCAGGGAAGGCCAGGGAAGCATTCTAATTGTCCTCCTTAGGTCATGTGTGCTCCCCGTGGCTCACAGTTGCCAAGGAGGCAGGGCAGGCTCTGATTGGCCAGGCGGGTAGTGCAAACTCAGTGGTAATCACAGTTACCACCCAGCCTGAAGCATGGTGGGAGCACGGTATTCCATGGGGCAGGCAGGATCCCAGGGTGCAGAAGAGGGCTCAATGCCCAGAGGTTTCCCGGCGTGGAGGTTTCTGGAATTCTTCTCCGGGATTGTGGTTGCAGTAAGCCCCGGGCAGGCAGTGACTGGACAACCTTGTCTTTGCCTCAGGGGTTTCAAAGGAGATTGGCCTGTTCTTTTTCTCTCACCCCTTTTCTCCGTTTTCCTCTCGCTTGCCCTAGTGTATTCCCGACTCTGTTAGGGATGGTTTAGCTTATCGAGGCCGAGTCTTCCTGGAGTTAATCACCCAAATCAAGTCCTATCAAGACTCCACGATAAAGGATCTCTCCCATGAAGTGACCAGGATAGAGGTAACTGCGGGAAACAGGTAACCCAGGGAAAAACAAGAGCCCTGTCTGCCCCGGATCTACTGTGGATCCCAGTTTCTGACCGTGTAGAGAGGCCCTGGCCACTGGCTGTTGAGTGTGTAAGGATGCCTGATCAATCGGCCTGATTATTTACTAAGGCCCTGCTAGTGGCTTCATGCTGCACCAAATCCCGGTGGTTGGGGGACCCTGATGGAAAAGATAAGGTTTCAGTTTAAGAAATGCCTAATCTGGGCAAGGTGCGGTGGCTCACGCCTGTAATCCCAGCACTTTGGGAGACCGAGGAGGGAGGATCACTTGAGTCCAGGAGTTTCAGACCAGCCTGGGCAACATGGTGAAACGCTGTCTCTACTAAAAATACAAAAAAAAAAAATGTAGCTGGGCATGGTGGTGCACGCCTGTAGTCCCAGCTACTAGGGAGGCTGAGGCAGGAGAATCACTTGAACCTGGGAGGCGGAGGTTGCAGTGGGCAGAGATTGTGCCACTGCACTCCAGGCTGGGCAACAAAGCAAGACTCCGTCTGAAAAAAATAAAAAATAAAAAATAAAATGCCTAATCTGTGCCGGGCACGATGACTCACACCTGTAATCCCAGCACTTTGGGAGGCTCAGGCGGGCAGATCACTTGGGGTCAGGAGTTTGAGACCAGCCTGGCCAATATGGCGAAACCTCATCTCTACCAAAAAAATACAAAAATTACCCAGGCATGGTGGCTTGCGCCTGTAGTCCCAGCTACTTCGGAGGCTGAGGCAGGAGGATTTCTTGAACCCAGGAGGTGGAGGTTGCAGTGAGCCAGGATCATGCCACTGCACTCCAGCCTGGGTGACAGAGTGAGACTCCATCTCAAAAAAAAAAAAAAAAAAAAAAGGAATCCCTGATATGGTTAAGGAGAAATTGTGTTAATTCGTGACCTAGTTTCTCAGGGCTTTGTAAAACAATCTAAGGGATTTGGGTTTCTTCCTGAAGCCAGTGGAGGGCTACTTACTGAGGCAGGAAGGGGCAGGAGGAGCAGTAGCAATGGACTGGAGGAGAGTAAGTTGGGGTCACCCAGTCAAGAGAAACAGGAATACAGCCTTGCTGGCAGAGAGCTAGAGAGGAGGTGGGTAGGTTTCAGAGACCCTTTGGAAACAGAATGGCCAGAGCCAGTGACCAACAGAACGTAAGTGAGGCTGACTCCCCTTACTGAGGCCCATTTTCTGCCATGGGTGACGAGGTGGTCAGGGGTGCAATGCACCAAGGTGGGCTCTCTAAAGAAGGAGCAGATATGAGGGAAATGATGAAACCCATCTCTGACATGTGATGTAAGACATCCACATAGACCAGCTCTGGAGCCTACTAGACACAGGGATGTGACATCAACACACCAAGGTTTGAACCTGTGGTAGTGGAAGAAATTGCCTGAGGAGAGTAGGTGGAATGAAAGGAGAGGGAAGCTATGAGGATGCCACAGTCTAAGAGGCAGGTGAAAGAGGAGAAGGGATTTGCAGAAGCGGTTGGACAGGAGCCTGCAGAGGCGGACTCAGGAGTGGAGATTTGCAGAAAGGAGTGACCAGCAATCTTGAATGTGGCAGAGAGAAAGGGCGAGGACTGAGAGATATCTGCTGGTTATTAGGAAGATGTCAGTAGCCTTAGGTCAGGAGAGAAGCTGGGCTGCCATAGATGGGAGGGAGAGGTAGGAGCCAGTGCACAGAGACAAACCTTCTAAGAAACCTGATTGAAAAGCTGGGCTTGGGAGGCTGAGATAGGAGGATTACTTGAGCCCCAGGAGTTTGAGACCAGCCTGGGTAACATAGTGAAACCACATCTCTAAAAAAAAAGTAAAAAAATTTTTTTTGAGATGGAGTTTTGCTCTTGTTGCCCAGGCTGGAGTGCAATGGGGCGATCTCAGCTCACCACAACCTCCACCTCCTGGGTTCAAGCAATTCTCTTGCCTCAGCCTCCTGAGTATCTGGGATTATAGGCATCCACCACCACGCCCGGCTAATTTTGTATTTTTAGTAGAGATGGGGTTTCACCACATTGGCCAGGATGGTCTTGATCTCTTGACCTTGTGATCCGCCCGCCTCAGCCTCCCAAACTGCTGGGATTACAGGCATGAGCCACCACGCCTGGCCTCAAAAGTAAATTTTTTTAACGTGAAAGGAAATGAGAACAGGTGGTAGCTAAATAGGGGTTCAGATGGGAGAAGGAAAGTTATTTTTTTTCAATAGGGGAAACCTGAGCTAGTGAACAGACCGGGGGAATGCAAGAATGGGGCAGAGGTTGGCAACAGAAACAAGAGGGGCTGATACAATGGACAGGAGGCCCAAGAAAGCACTTGGTGAGAACAGCCGAAGTTGGGGGCATAGTGGGCAGCTGGAGCAGGAAGTGGGAAGGTTCAACCTTTCTGGGAGTATGAATGTGTGTGTGTGTGTGTGTGTGTGTGTAAAACCTCAGCCCTACACCCCTATCCACATTGTGTCTTCTGGGGGAAAGGGTTTAGGCAAAAAGGAGGAAGCATCTCTACTTGGAATGGGGATGGGGTGGCCCAACTCAGAGCCTACCCTAACAAGGGAGGAGACCACCCCCCTCCCCAGCCACCTGATTTCAGGAAGGGAGGGAGCCAGGGCTGGCTGGGTGGAGGGGCCAGATGATGGAAGTCCTGGAGGAACTGCCCTGGATCAGCAGGGTGCGAGGGAGCCTCTGAAGGCCTTTGAGAGGGAGAGAAGGGAAGATGGCTTTGAAAGAAAGATACCTCATCCTTGCCTCCCTGCCTGTCAATATAACCCTTGGCTTATGTACTGGGTATGGGGGGTGGGGGCGGTTATTGTTTCAGAAGCACCAGAACCGCCAAAAGTATGGGCTGTGCGTCATCTTCCTTTCCTGTACCATGATGCCCAACTTTAAAGAGCTGATCCATTTCGAGGTCAGCATCGGTCACTATGGGAACAAGATGGACCTGAATTACAAGCCTCTAGTCTCAAGCACACCGTACAGCCCAGTGATATATGATGGTAATTGTCAGATTCAGGCAATAAGTAGAGAGCAGCCACTGCATGCCAGGCCCTGTGCTAGGCTCTCTCAGGGGTATTAGCTCATGGAAGATTCATAGGCATTATTTACCTATATTTCACACATGAAAAAATGAGGTTCAGGGAGGTGAAGTCATTTGCCAAACTATAGCTAGCAGGTGGTGAACCCATGAGTTGAAACTAGGTCTTGACATGAAGTCCTTCTCTACACTGCTTTCCACACTACAACTTCACCAACCCCATCTTTTCCCCTACTCTGAACCACCTCTCATCCATCCATCCTCCACCCACCAATTCACGCATCCATCTATTTTTTATCCATCCATTCAGCCACTCAACTCCCACCCACCCACTTACCCCAACATCCAACCAACTACCCCTCCAGCCGTTCATTCACTCATCCAATATATACTTATTGCACACCTATATTGGGCACTATAGAGCAGCGGCTCTCAGAGAGCAAGCCCTGGGCCAGCAGCATCCGCATCACCTGGAAACTTGTTAGAAATGCAGATTCTTGACCCCACGCTAGCCCTAGAGAATCCAATAACCTGGGGAAGAGGCCCCACAGTCTGTGTTTTATCAGGCCCTGCAGGTGACTGGGGTGCATGCTCCAGTTTGAGTACCACTGCTGCAGAGCACTGCTGTCTCACTTTCATCTTTTTCATCTTTACTGTCTCATCACCCATTCTGAGCCTTTCTGGGCATCCCACTTCCCTACCTGTCTTTTAAAAAAGCTTTATTGAGATATAATTCACAAGCCATACAATTTGCCCATTTCAGTTTGTACAATAGTTTCTTAGTATATTCACAGAGTCGTACAACCATCACCACAATCAATTTTAGAACATTTCCTCATCCGGAAAAGGAACCCTATGCCCATTGGCAGTCACCCCCCATTTATCTCCCACCTCCCCAGCCCTAGGCAACCACTAATCTTTCTTCTGTTTTTTGTTTTGTTTTGTTTTGAGACAGAATGTCTCTCTGTTGCCCAGGCTGGAGTGCAGTGGTGCGATCTCGGCTCACTGCAACCTCCGCCTCCCGGGTTCAAGCGATTCTCCTGCCCCAGCCTCCCGAGTAGCTGGGACTACAGGCACATGCCACCACGCCTGGCTAATGTTTTGTATTTTTAGTAGAGACGGGATTTCACCATGTTAGCCAGGATGGTCTAGATCTCCTGACCTCAGGTGATCCACCCATCTCGGTCTCCCAAAGTGCTGGGATTACAGGCGTGAGCCACCGCACCCGGGCATCTACTTTCTGTGATTGTAGATGTTCCTATTCCAGACATATCATATATGGAACATATAATATGTGGTTCTTTGTCAATGGCTTTCACTTAGCATGTCTACTTGATTTTAGTATTATGAAATATTTAAAAAAAAGCATATGAAATGTGTATGTATAGTTTAAAGAAGAATAATAAAATGAGGGAGGCTGAAGTGGGAGGATCACCTGAGCCTGGGAGGCAGAGGTTGCAGTGAGCCAAGATCGCACCACTGCACTCCAGCCTGGGTGACAGAGTGAGACCCTGTTTAACCAAAAACTAAAAAAAAATAATAAAATGAGTACCCATGAACTCACCACCCAGCTTAAAATATAGAAAACTATCAGCATCTTAGAAAGGGTCCCTGTTTGCTCTTCCCAGATTCCTTCACCCAACAAGTAACCATGACCCTGACTCTTGTATTAATCACCTTCTTGCTTTTCTTTTTAATTCTTCACCTGTGAATGAAATCCTAAACATGATACTGTTTTTATATTTTACATAAATGGACTCTTTCGGTCTGTATTCATCTGTCTTAAATCTTCTGCTCAACATTAAACTTTGTATGTGGGTATGTGTACTGCAGTTCATTTTCACTTCTGCATAAATTCCACTGTGTGATTATACCACAAAGTGTGTGCTATATGTAGGCATTTAGGTTGTATCTTTTTTTGCTATTATAATAATTTTGTTATAAACATTCTTGTGCATGTCTCCTGGTTACAAGTGCAAGACTTCCTCTAAATTATATACCTATGGGTGGAAAAGAAACTCAAAGCAAAAGTGATTATACCAAATTACACTCTCCTCAGCATGGTATGAGAGTTCCTATTACTCTACCTTCTCACCAGTACTTGATATTGCCCAGCCTTTTTTAAAAAAATAATTAATTAATTAATTTTTTTGAAATGGAATCTTGTTCTGTTGTCCAGGAGGGAGTGCAATGGTACAATCTCAGCTCACTGCAACCTCTACCTCCCAGGTTCAACCAATTTTCCTGCCTCAGCCTCCCAAGTAGCTGGGATTACAGGCGCCTGCCACCATGCCCGGCTAATTTTTGTATTTTTAGTAGTGATGGGGTTTTGCCATGTTGGCCAGGCTGGCCTTGAACTCCTGACCTCAAGTGATCTGTCCGCCTTGGCCTCCCAAAGTGCTAGGATTACAGGCGTGAGACACTGTGCCCAGCCTATTTTTAAAATTGTTTATGGAGACAGGGTCTCACCATGTGGCCCAGGCTAGCACCACTACGCCCAGCTAATTTTTCATACAGGTGGGATTTCACCATGTTGCCCAGGCTGGTCTCAAACTCCCGAGCTCAAGCAGTCCACCCCACTTGGCCTCCCAAAGTGCTGGTATTACAAGTGTGAGCCACTGCGCTCAGCCCGGTTGATTATCAATTTTATAGTTAGTAGATTATGTGGTCTAAGAAATATCTGTCTATCTCAAGATCATGAAAATTGTCTCCTCTGTTTCATTCTACAAGCTTTATCGTTTTATCTTTTTTGTTTGGGTTTATGATCCAATTTGACTTAATTTTTGCATATGGTATGAGGGAGGAATTGAGATTATTTTTCTCTATACAGATAACCAGTGGAGCACCATTTGCCTGAAAGTAATTCAGTAATTCAGTCCCACATTGAATTACTTTGCCACCTTTGTTGAAAATCAGTTAACCATATTATTGATCTATTTGCCTATCCTTATCCACCACAACCTCCGCCTCCTGGGTTCAAGCAATTCTCCTGCCTCAGCCTCCCAAGTAGCTGGGATTACAGGCATGCGCCACCATGCCTAATTTTGTATTTTTAGTAGAGATGGAGTTTCTCCATGTTGATCAGGCTGGTCTCAAACTCCCGACCTCAGGTGATCTGCCCACCTCAGCCTCCCAAAGTGCTGGAATTACAAGCGTGAGCCGCTGGGCCCGGCCTAGTTGTTCTTTTACAAAATAATTTTGGCTATTGTACAAGTCTTTGGGTTGGACTTTTGTTGAAAATGGGTTACTTCCCATTTTCCTATTTTAGCATAAGCTCAACAATTTCTACAAAAAAGGCCACTGGAATTTCCTGTGTTCGTTTTCATCAGGTATTTTTTGTTTTTTTTTTTTTTTAGTATTACATTCTATCTATTGACAATATGTATCTTTGGATTATTTTTAGTGGTTGCTCAAGGAATTACAATATTGACCCTTAACTCATCATAGTCTACTTTGAGTTAATAATATGCCACCTCACAGAAATAATTGTTTTATTATATGTAATATACCATGCAATTAATTACAGTATAATTGCATTGATACCTTACATTATCTTTGTTATACCTTTTTTTAAATATTTTTGGGACGGAGTCTCACTCTGTCGCCCAGGCCGGAGTGCGGCGGTCTGCCTCTTGGGTTCCCGGGTTCAAGTGATACTCCTGCTTCAGCCTCCCCAGTAGCTGGGATTACAGGAGTGTGCCACCACGCCCAGCTAATTTTTGTATTTTTAGTAGAGATAGGGTTTCGCCACGTTGGCCAGGCTGGTCTCGAACTCCTGACCTCAGGTCATCCGCTCGCCTCAGCTTCCTAAAGTGCTGGGATTACAGGCGTGGGCCACGATGCCCGTCCTATCTTTGTTATACATTCTGGAATTGGCTTGCTAATATTTTGTTGAGGCTTTTGCATCTATGTTGATGAGTAAAATCTTATTTTGTTAGTAATCTATTTAATGATGTAATTTACATACCACAGAATTCTCTTGCTTTGTAGTGACTCCCCTGTCCCCACCCCCAGGTCCACACAACTATTAATCTACTTTTGTCTCTGCATATTTACTTTTCCTGGATGTTTCATATAAATGAAATTATACAATATGTCATCTTTTGCATCTGGCTTCCTTCACTTGGCGTAATGTTTTCCAGGTTTATCCATGATGCAGTGTGTATCAGTTCTCCATTCCTTTTCATTGCCAAATAGTATTCCATCGTATGGGTGTACCATCCATCATTTGTTAATCCATTCATCAGTTGATGGGCATTGTTCCCACCTCTTAGCTATTAAGAATAAAGCTGCCCGGGCACGGTGGCTCACTCCTGTAATCCTAGCACTTTGGGAGGCTGAGGCGGGTGGATCACCTGAGGTCGGGAGTTCGAGACCAGCCTGACCAACATGGTGAAACCCCGTCTCTACTAAAAATACAAAATTACCCGGGCATGGTGGCACATGCCTGTAATCCCAGCTACTCAGGAGGCTGAGGCAGGAGAATTGCTTGAACCCAGGAGGCGGAGGTTGCAGTGAGCTGAGATCACACCATTGCACTCCAGCCTGGGCAACAAGAGCGAAACTCCGTCTCAAAAAAAAAAAAAAAGAATAAAGCTGCTGTGAACATTCGTATACAAGTCTTTAAGTGGAATGGCTTTTTAAGAAACTGCCAAGCTTTTCCAAAGTGGCCACACCATTTTATATTCTCCTAGAAATGTAAGATGATTTCAGTTTCTCATTTATCATCTGTCTTTATTTAGTATAGTAGGCACACAGTGGCAGCTCATCGTTGTGTTAATCTGCATTTCATGTAATGACACTGAGCACCTTTTTTTTTTTAATTTTTATTATTTATTGATTTATTTTTTGAGACCGAATCTCGCTCTGACACCCAGGCTGGAGTGCAGTGGGGCAATCCCAGCTCACTGCAACCTCCGCCCGCCCCCCGGGTTCAAGCAATTCTCTTTCCTCAGCCCCACCAAGTAGCTGGGACTACAGGCATGTGCCACCACGCCCGGCTAGATTTTGTATTTTTCGTAGAGACAGGGTTTCACCATGTTGCCCAGCCTGGTCTCAAAACTCCTGGGCTCAAGCAATCCACCCACCTCGGCCTCCCAAAGTGCTGGGATTACAGGTGTGAGCCACTGCACTCAGCCTATTTTTATTTTCTATTCTTTGAGACAGGGTCTCGCTCTGACACCCAAGCTGGAGTGCAGTGGTGCAATCACGGGCTCATGGCAACCTGTGCTTCCAGGGCTCAGGTGATCCTCCCACCTGACTCCCAAGTAGCTGGGACTACAGGCACGCACCACCACACCTGGCTAATTTTTGTATTTTTAGTAGAGACGGAGTTTCTCCATTTTGTCCAGGCTGTTCTTGAACTCCTGGGCTCAAGCAATCCACCCACCTTGGCCTCCCAAAGTGCTGGGATTACAGGCATGAGCCATTGTGCCTGGCCACATCTTTTCATGTGCTCATTAACCATTCATTTATCTTCTTTAGTGATATGTCTAT
The DNA here is from genome assembly GCF_000001405.40 of Homo sapiens. NCBI lineage: Eukaryota > Metazoa > Chordata > Mammalia > Primates > Hominidae > Homo > Homo sapiens. Next base: position 96,678,789 of record NC_000002.12, read on the forward strand.
TCAAATGTGTTGCCTGTTTTTAAATTGCATTGTTTCTCTTATTATTGAGTTGCAATAATTCATTATATATTCTGCATACAAGTCCTGTACCAGATATGTGATTTGCAAATTGTCTGTGGCTTGTCTTTTCATTTTCTTAGTAGTGTCTTTTGAAGTGCCAACATTTTTAATTTGATAAAATCCAATTTATTTTTTCTTTTATGGTGTTATAGCTAAGAACTCTTTGGTTAACTCATGATTGTGAAGATTTTTCTCCTATTTTTTCTTCTAAGTTTTCTAGTTTTGGCTGGGTGTGGTGGCTCACGCCTGTAATCCCAACACTTTGGGAGGCTGAGGCAGATCACTTGAGCCCAGGAGTTCAAGACCAGCCTGGGCAACATGGCGAGATCCTACAGAAATTTTTTAAAAAATTAGCTGGGCATGGCGACACACACCTATAGTTTTTTTTTTTTTTGAGATGGCGTCTCGCTCCCTCACCAGGCTGGAGTGCAGTGGCACAATCTCGGCTCACTGCAACCTCCACTTCCCAGGTTCAAGCAATTCTCCTGCCTCAGCCTCCTGAGTAGCTGAGATTACAGGCGCGTGTCACCACGCCCAGCTAATTTTTCTATTTTTAGTAGAGACGGGGTTTCACCATGTTGGTCAGGCTGGTCTCGATCTCGTGACCTCGTGATCCACCCGCTTCAGCCTCCCAAAGTGCTGGGATTACAGGCGTGAGCCACCGCACCCGGCCACACCTGTAGTTTTTACAGTTTTACCTCTTACACTTATCTGTATGATTCATTTTGAATTAATTTGCATGTGAATATCCAGTTGTTCAAGCAACATTTGTTAAAAAGACCATCCTTTCCTCATGTGTTTTCCTAGGTTACATGTTAAAATACTTACTCTGTTCCATTGTTTAATTTTCTACATCAGAGGCTCCATTTATGGGTTTAGTGATTCTCCTTGGTTTTATCTGTATCTGTCATTTTCTCCCTGATCCTTTTTTGACCTATTCTTTCCATTTCATTTCGGTTACTTTTCTTATTTCTATCCTTATTTCCATGCCCCTCACTGAATTGTCTGCAGCATCTAATCTCCCGTGGACTACTTATGTTACCTTCCCATCTCTGTTTTTGTTTTTTCTTCTACTTGTTTTCTGAAGTTTACGGGCTCACATTGCCTCATAAGCTCCTGAGCTCCTTCAGGGAGTGTGTTTTTGCTGGCACTTTCTGCAATCTGCCCCTACTCAGCATGCTTCCCGCTGTCTGTCTTGCTAGTCGTGTCCCGCAGGTGGCTGCTGCTGCTGCGCTTCACCCCTTGGCTTCGGTGGCGGTCACAGTTGCTTTTGGCAGTCCTTACGTGTATTTTGAGTCTGCAGATTATATCTGTCTCCTTGGTTTGCTGAAAACTGAGTTATTTTCCTTCTGCTTGTTGCTTTTGTAAGTTCTCCAAGAGTAGGAGAGGAAAATTGCTGTTGTGTATCCTCACACTGAGAGCCCCAGGCATGCATCTCTGCTTATTTATCATTCCAGTCTTTCACTCAAAGGCCAGGGTCTGAAACTAGTGTCTTCCAAAAATCCCGGAAAACTATATTTTCCCTTTGAAAATTACCTCTTCCCCACTGTATCTCCTTCCGGAACTCACTCTGTCCTCTGTGGACCTTCTCATTCTGTCCTTCATATTTTTAAATCTCTTCCATATTTTTCATCTTGTCCTCTCTCTGGGCTGCATTCTAGATGATTTCTTCTAGATCTTCATAGAAAGTCCTTAGGTGACCATTCTATTTAAATTACTCGGCATCTCCCTTTTTCCCTTCCCCACTTATCTCCTTAGCATTTTCCATCTTTGACACACTGTATTTTACATACTGATTTTGGGTGTTTTGCCCCACTGTTTTTTAATTTCTTAAGTAAACTTTCAAGTAGAACATACCTATGGAAAAGTACACAAACCAAAGTGTCAAGCTCAGTGAATTATCACAAAGCAAACATGCCCTTGTAATAGCACTCAGATCACGGATCTGGAGCACTCCAGAGGCCCCTGTGCCCACCCCACCCCACCAAGGCCCTCTAGATCATTTGGATCAAAAGGAACAAGTATCAAGCACACATAAATGCAGCCCAAAACACTTTGCTTAACTACAGCCACTCCTCACCTCCATGGCATGACCATAGTTCACTGCAGCCTTGAACTCCTGGCCTCAGCCTCCCAAAGCATTGGGATTGCAGGCGTGAGCCGCCGTTGCCCTGCCTCTTTAAAAAATAATTATTATTATTATATTAAAAATCATATGGTGTATTCTTTTGATATCATGGTTTGTATATATATGTAGCCTGTGTAGCCTGAAGAGTGTCCAACAAAAAATTTAATTTAAAGTGGTCTCAGGTAGTTTGTTACCAGCCTGGGTAACACAGAGAGACCCTGTCTCTAATTAGCCAACCATGGTGGCTCATACCTGTAGTCCTAGCTACTCAGGAGGCTGGGGTGGGCTTGAGCCCAGGGGTTTGAGGCTACAATGAGCCGTGATCATGCCACTGCATTGCAGCCTGGGTGACAGAGTGAGACCGTGTCTCAACCAATCAATAAAACAAAGTGGTCATAAATAAATAAATAAAAATAAAGTGGTCCCTGCTTGGCAGTGTCCCAGGTAACTGGAAGAAGCAAGCCAATCCTCTCTGGAGAATGAAACTTTAGCCAGACCTCAGAGAATGCCTACGAAGTTCCAAGAAAGTGAGCAGCTGAGAACCAGTGTTCTCTTTAAAAAATAATAATTATTATTTTTTAAAGATAATTTGTACATTTGATATATGGTTTTGATATGATATAAAAAATCATATCGTGGTTTCTTTTGCTCACTGTTCTATTTGTGCAGTGTGTTCATAGATCCAGATGACATAGGGTATAGTCATAGCTCATTCACTGACTGCTGTGTATTATTCTATTGTGTGAACATACCATAATTTATCCTTTCTACTACTGAGAGATTTTTGAGAGATTATTTTATTTATTTATTTATTTATTTATTTATTTATTTGAGAAGGAGTCTCACTTTGTTGCCCAGGCTGGAGTGCAGTGGCGTTATCTCGGCTCACTGCACCACCTCTCGGGTTCAAGCAATTCTCCTGCCTCAGCCTCCAAAGTAGCTGGGATTACAGGTGCACACCACCACTCCTGGCTAATTTTCATATTTGTAATAGAGACGGGGTTTCACCATGTTGCTCAGCCTGGTCTTGAACTCCTAACCTCAGGTAATCTGCCCACCTCGGCCTCCCAAAATGCTGGGATTACAGGTGTGAGCCACCATGCCTGGCCCTTTTTTGTTGCTGTTTTCGAGGTGGAGTCTGGCTCTGTTGCCCAGGCTGGAGTGCAGTGGTGCAATCTCGGCTCACTGCAACCTGTGCCTCTTGGGTTCAAGTGATTCTCCTGCCTCAGCCTCCCAGGTAGCTGGGATTACAGCTGCCCACCATCACACTCGGCTAATTCTTTTTTTATATTTTTAGTAGAGACAGAGTTTCGCCATGTTGGCCAGGCTGGTCTCAAACTCCAGACCTCAGGTGATCCTCCCGCCTTGGCCTCCCAAAGTGCTGGGATTACAGGCGTGAGCCACCGCACCCGGCCAAGAGATTTTTTGAGAGATATTTTGGCTGTTTCCAACTTTTGGCTATTATGATGAGAGCTGCTATGAACATTTTCTCCATGTGTCTCACTGATGCTGTATATGCCCTTCTGTTGGGCATATACAGGAGCGGAGTTGATGGGTTAGGACTATGTACACTGGTTCTCAGCTGCTCACTTTCTTGGAACTTTGTGGGCATTCTCTGAGGTCTGGCTAAAGTTTCATTCTCCAGAGAGGATTGGCTTGCTTCTTCCAGTTACCTGGGACACTGCCAAGCAGGGACCACTTTATTTTTATTTATTTATTTATGACCACTTTGTTTTATTGATTGGTTGAGACACGGTCTCACTCTGTCACCCAGGCTGCAATGCAGTGGCATGATCATGGCTCATTGTAGCCTCAAACTCCTGGGCTCAAGCCCACCCCAGCCTCCTGAGTAGCTAGGACTACAGGTATGAGCCACCATGGTTGGCTAATTAGAGACAGGGTCTCTCTGTGTTACCCAGGCTGGTAACAAACTACTTGAGACCACTTTAAATTAAATTTTTTGTTGGACACTCTTCAGGCTACACAGATAACATAAGCACCGAATGCCAACATCCGTGAGGCCCCACTTGCTACAACTTTTGGGGAAGATTTTCTTCCCCTTCACCCAGAGAGCCACACTGGAGACAGGCAAGCTTCCCCACTGTCCCCTCCTGTGTGATGGGTCAGTTCTCATTCCCCGGCCCCAACGGCTTAGGGTTTGGAGTTCGTGATCTGCATGGTGTATGACTGCTATAACAAAGTACTACAAGCCAGGTGGTTTTAGACAACAGAAACTCATTCTTTCATAGGTCTGGAGGCCAGAAGTTCAAAGTCAGGGTGTCAGTGTTGACCCCTGCCGAGGGCTCTGAGGGAGAATCTGGCCATTGGTTTCTGGCGGTTGCTGTGGTCCTTGGTGTTCCTGGGCTCACAGCTGCATCCTGCCTCTGCTCTCGCACAGTGTCTCCCTGTGTCTGTCCTCACTCAACTGCCATCTCTCTGTCTCCCTTCTTATAAGGACCCCAGTCCTTAAGGGCCCACCCTGCTCCAGTATGACCTCATCCTAACACATTACATCTGCAAAGCCCCCACCCCCCGCCCAAATAAGGCCAGATGCTAAGGTCCTGGGGTTTGGGACTTGAGTATGCCTTTCCGGGGGGGACACAGCCAGTCTGTAGCACATGGGTCCCTGTTAGACTGCCCACCTGGTCAGCCCTAGGCTTTCTCTTCTGCCCCCCATTCCTCCCATAGTCGCCAAAGAAAAGCACAAGTTCTCCAAGAACTTTCCAGAAATTTGGAGAACAAAAGTCAGCTTTGGCTTTCGCTTGCCTCACAGATTTTCTGCATGTTAAATGTTCGTTTTCTGTGGATTTCTGCCTCTAAGGCCAACTCGGCAGCAGTGCGGTTCAGAATCCTCTACGTTTGGTCTCACTTCCACCTCATTTCAATAAGGAACATGGCAAGGGAACCCAGTCTGTGGCACCCATCGGGGGTGTTTATCTGTACTTGTTCCCCCTGCCCCCGTCCCACCCAGAGGCGTGCCCCGTGCCCCTACACCTGGCATCTCGCTTGAGGTTCAGAACCCAGGGCTCTGGAGCTAGGCGCCTGCGTTATGACCGCCTGGCTATGCCACCTCAGGGAAACTGCTTCCCATTGCTAGCCTGGATTTTCCCACTGGAAACTGGGGACTCTGGAAGGCCATGTGACAATGAAGGGTCAAAGTGCACACATTCTCACATTCTCAGTTGGGCCCCAGCCCAGCCTCCCAGCTGGAGGGCTCCAGTCAGCATTGTTAGCAGGTCACATCTTTGAGGGTGCAGTGGTCCAGAGAGGTCCTCGGAGGGAGCACAGTGAGAAGAGACCTCCCAGAATCCCCCAGACACCCCATCCCTCCATGTGTCTCTGTGTCTCAGGGAACATCTACCATTATGTGCCCTGGTACAACACCAAGCCTGTCGTGGCCGTGACCTCCAACTGGGAGGACGTCAGCTTCCGCATGAACTGCCTCAACCTCCTCCACTTCACTCGGGACCGCCTGGTGAGTGGTGCGGGAGCCGATGCTGGGAAGACACCTGTTTCAGAGTGTGGCTGGGAGACTTGGGAAACTGCATCACAGTGGCAGGAAACTGGTCACACAGCTCATTCATGCATTCATTCCACACTGTTGAGAAGAATGTGCCAGAAGCAGGGTAGGCACTGAAGACACAAAGATCATTAAACACAGTCCCTGTCCTCACTGTCTAGGGAAGTTAGACATGCAGGCAGTGACTGTGCAGTGCAACTAGGGCTATGATGGAGATGCAGGTACCAGGTGCTATAGGGTCAGAGAGAGAAGATGGGGAGAGGAGAGGAAGAGTGGATAGTCAGAGGAGGTGTGCACAAAGGAGATGACACATCAGCAGGGTTTTGAAGAATGCATAGGATTTTGTTGGGGGCTGGGTGGGGGTAGAAGGGAATAACCTGCAAAGCCGCGGCAATGTGCTGGTTTCTGAAGTTCGGCAGGATCTGGGGGAGGCATGGAGGTGACATGAAGATAAGACCATAGAAGCTGGAAGGAGTGAGATCAGAAACTGTCTCAAGTGCCTGTTGGGAGTGTAGTTCTCGGGAGCCACCTGGGGCTGGCACCTCTGGCATGACTTTCTCATGCCTATGTGGAGGTCAGGGCTCTGCACTGCTTTCCCAGTCTTACCCCATCCCGGCTTCTTGCCACCTGTTTCTTCTGTTGGGAAGCAGGAAGGATGTGGGGGGTTCCTAGCCTCGGAGTTGTGGACAACCTTGAACTGATATCACCAGGTTATCCCTCAAAGTTCCCAAGGTCGTGGCTGAAAACATCTTGGGCCAATCAGCCCTGTGGCCTGTCCAGCTGGGCTCCATGCTGAGGCGGGCTCTCTCACCATTTCTCTCCTGCTGGGCAGAAAGCCAACCTGGACACCCTGAAATCCACGCGGAATCCGAAGGATCCAGCTCTCCTCTACCAGTGGGAGAAACTGCTGAGGGAGCTGGCAGAGGACTGCAAGTAGGAGTAGGGGCACTCCGGGATACAGCTGGCCTGGAGCTGAGCCAGATCTGGGCCTGGGGACTCAGCGCAGTGCCCTGAACACCTCCCCCCGCCCTCCTCGGGGAGGAGCACTGCTCAGACCTCTCCCCAGCGGGAAACCCCAAGAGTCGCTTCTCCCTTCCCATTCAGGCCCCCTGACCGCCCCATCAGAATGGTCCCTGCTACCCCACACCCACACCCGAGGCTCCTCTTAAGCCAGCCTGTCCTCTTCCTCCAGACAAGCCCACATAGCCCCACCTCCCTGCAGGCCCTGGGAGGAAGGGAGAGGACTGGATGAGAACCCAGGGCTGGACACACAGCGAGCAGGCTTCCTATGGAGCAGTGGGAAGGGCTCCTGGGCCAGGCTAGCAGCAGATGGGGGCAGGATCTTGAGGCCAGGAGGGGCACGCTGGCCTAAGGCAGGGCAGGAATGGTGACACTGGGAGGCAGTAGAGAGGTCCAGCCCCTGCTACCCTGTCCTGGCCACAGGCGCCCTCTGCCCTGCATGACCTATCAGCCCAAAGCCACCAGCCTGGACAGGAAGAGGTGGCAGCTCCGCAGCCTCCTCCTGCAGGAACTGGCCCAAAAGGCCAAGCAAGCCAAGCCCAAGGACATGGTGGCCACAGCGGAGGACTGGCTGTACCGCCTCAACACCGTGCTCCCTGAGGTGGGTGCTGCACACACTGGCCTGCAGCAGGGCTGGGAGCCAGCCGCGCAGGGCCTGACATTCTCCCACCTCGGCAGCCCCAGATGGGCCTCCCTGACGTGATGATTTGGCTGGTGGCCAAGGAGCAGCGAGTGGCCTATGCACAGGTGCCTGCCCACTCCGTCCTCTTCTCCCCGGCAGGGGCTCTGCACTCCGGCAGGCTCTGTGGGAAGATACAGACACTCTTCCTACAGGTGGGAATCAGGGACTCCTCAGGGGAGGACAGGGCTGAGAAATGCCCCCAGGGGAGCCCCCTGAACTCGCAGGGCAGCCCCTATGGGGCCTGTTTTCCTGGTCCCTTAACCACATGGAATGGGGTTGAAACAGTCCCCAGAGGAAGAGAGGGGTCTGTGGCTGTCAGCATGTTGGGTGATGCCAAGTCCATGTACCTCCTAAATGTTCCCCAAATCCACCTCCTCGCTGGGCACGGTGGCTCACAGGTAATCCCAGCACTTTGGGAGGCTGAGGCGGGTGGATCACCTGAGGTCAGGAGTTTGAGACCCAGCCTGACCAACTTGGTGAAACCCCGTCTCCACTAAAAATACAAAAAAATTAGCTGGGCATGGTGGCGCATGCTTGTAATCCTAGCTACATGGGAGGCTGAGGCAGGAGAATCGCTTGAACCTGGGAGACGGAGGTTGCAGTGAGCTGAGATCGTGACACTGTTCCAGCCTGGGTGACAGAGCGAGACTCCGTCTCAAAAAAAAAAAAAAAAAAAAAAAACAGAAAACAAATCCACCTCCTCTATCATCCTCATGGCCACCATTTGGTCCAGCCCCTTGTCATCTCTTCCCTGGACCGTGACGGGGTGATCTCCAAAATATTTAATGTCTATAAGGTTTGGTACCAGCCCATCATATCAGATGCAAGCTATAAATAAGACTAAACACCCTGACCACCACCCCCACCCCTGGCTGTGACAGTGGCCTCCCTGCTTCTAATCCTCCCTGGGGGGACGTGGGGGCCACTCCCTCCCCCTTCAGAGACTCCCTGGCTCCCCACTGCCTCCTGGAGAAGGTGCCGCCTTGCCACCTGGCCCCTGGCCCCTGTTCCTGCATCCATTCTCTCTGGCCCATACTCTCAACAGTAAGGACACTCTGGGCTTTCCTGGCCCCAACTGTACCTGCCCTTTGCCCTCTCCACCAACACGCAAGGCTCCTTCCATGACCACCAGAGTCCTTCGCATCCCGCAAGAGCCCCTGAGACATGAATCCTGGCTCTGTGTGGCCCTAGGCCAACTCCTGGCCATGCCCAGCCCTCAGCATGCTGCTCTGTAGAATGGGCCTGGCAATCACCATGCCCTCTCATGGTGGGGTGTGAGGATCCAGGACTATGATGCACACTGGGCAACTGGCACAGTGCCAGCCCATAACAAGCACACAAGGAATGTCCATCAGTCCCATTGTCAACATCCCTGCTACTCCCTCTGTGAGGCACTCCCACCCTCTCTGCTTCATGGCTCCCAGGGTGGAGCCACCCCACTCTGGAGGGCAGAACAGAACTCCATGCCATTCACTTACAGCTCCAGCACTCAGCTCAGTGAGGGCCCCGCTCCCAGGGCTCAGGGGGGAAGGGGCAGGTACAGCCCACTTGGGGGGTGGCCGGGGTGGCGTTCAGGGTGTTTAGTGCCCCTGTGGGACCGATCGGCCTCTGGCTCAGTACCCAGAGGGTGAAGGACAGAAGGATGTGCTCCCAGCTCACCTCCGGGTCTGCATGTGGCTTGGCAATGTCACAGACAGCAAGGACCTGCAGCTGCTCCGCCAGGGTGACACAGCGGTGTACGCCGAGATGGTGAGTGGTGAGCGGCAGCCCAAGGCCAGGGCAGGCACGCGGGGGTGGGGGTAGGGTGGCCTCGTAGGGAAGAGATGGCCTCCCTGCAGGGGATTTGGCGTGAGAAGGGAGGGTGTAGCTGCAGTAGCCCTGCACTGAAGAGGAAGAAAAAATTCCTGACCGAAACTGAGGGCTAGGAGATAGTCTGCTGGAGGAGGCAGAGATTAAAGCAATCTCGGACACTGCCAGCTCTGGTCTCTTGTTGATGCTCCATACACGTGTGGAGACAAAGGGGGCGACTAAGTGACCTCCGGGGCCTGGTCCCCCTCTCCCTGATGCAGGTTTATTCCGAGCTTTCTCCTAGTTCATCAACAGCACGTGAAGTGAGCAAGGCTCTGACTTGCAGGGGCCTCACCCATCACCAACAGGGCAGCCCGGGACCCCTGCAGGCCCCAGTGGGGTCCCAGGAGGTGAAGGCCTAGAATGGTAGAGGAGTAGGATCTGAGGCATCTGCCCACAGAACCATCAACCTGGGGAGTGGGCGGGCGGTGGCCAGGGACTGCTCTAGAACCAGAGGAGGGGAGATGTCCTTGGCTCCCCGGGGGAAGGACATGGCTCAGGAAGCCACATGAACAGCAGAGGGGAAATAAGGTTTGAGCGTCAGGCTTTTTAACTTACTGAATTAAAACATACGTTTGCAGTGTCTAAGTTGCATGTGTAGATGGATACATCATAATATGTCTAACCAGCTCCGTAGGTCTTGGAGGCGCAGAGGTGGAGAGCAGTTCAGGGTGCGGGGCAGGGAGCAGGGCCTGCATGCTCAGCGGGCACCGGAGGACTGGGCTGGTGCCTTTGATGCCAGCTCCCTGCTCCCTCGTCACTGCAGACCCTGGGGAGCCTAGCCCTCCTGCACCACTTGACCACCATTGCTGCCTCTGGGCCTTTTCAACCACACTCTCCCTGCTGAGCACTCAGGCCCTGCTCCCTCCCCTTCACCCCAGACCCCTCTCCACCTCTGTGCCTCCAAGCACTACATAGATGTCTTATGATATCTCTGTCCACACATGCAGCATCCACCCCACTCTGCCAGCTGAATGATCCAGGGCAGGGTTGACCTCTGGGCCTCAGTGCCCTCACCTGTGCAATGGGGACATGGCCCTTTCTTGCCTGGCTACCACATTTTTAGGATGCCCCTGCAGCCCAGAGTCAGGGGGCCCAGGGGAGGCCCATGTCCCCGCACTTTGTGCTAGAGGAGGCGGCCGCCCTGACAAGCTTCCCTCCCCTAGTATGAGAATCAGGCCAAGTATAAAGACCAGTGGGGGCAGCAGGGGCTGTATCACTGCCCCAACTTCTCGGATGTCATGGGGAACAAGACCCTCCCCATGACGGATTTCCAACCACCCCTGGGATGGCACTGGCAGGACAGCTGGACAGTGGAACCTCAGAGAAGGTAAGGCCAGAGGGGGCAGGCCCCACCAGAGGGGACACTTCACCTGGGAGGGCCAGTCCGCGGCAGCCCAGAAAGATGGGTACCTAGCCCCTAAGCCTGGTGCCAGAGGGCCGAGGTGCACCAGGCCAAGGGCCCTGCCCACCACCCTGTCCTGCCCAGAGCAGGTGGGGATGGGATGCCAGGTATGGGAACGCTTGGCCAGCAGAAGACGGCCCTAGGGGCTGCTTGGGGAGTTGTGCTGGGAACTTGGGGTCTCATTACCCCCAGGCTCCTCCTGGACATAGACATCAACAAGAGCCAGGTGCTGGAGGAGGTATATGAGAACCAGGGCCGTGACACCAGAGGGGCCTGGGGGCCTGCCGCCATCCCAAACACAGACGTGGTGAGCAGGGCCGAAGCTGCCTCGGGTTAGGGGGCAAGCAAGGCCACCAGGCGGGGCGCCTTGGAAGCTGGGGGTCCCAGTGGAAAGGGTCTGAGCCCTATGCCCTGCACTATGTGTGGGGCCCCGGGTGAGCGCACCAGCCCTCAGGCACTCTCTCTCAGCACTGATGGGGTGAGGGGTTTGTAGAAATACCTTAAATAAGACTGAGAAACAACAAAAGGGAGGCAATGTTTCTTCCTAGGCCTCCTTCAAAGGTGCTGCTTACCCCGAAGGAGAGAATCTGCTTGGGGTAGGCTAACCCAGCACTGTCCAGTAGAACTTTCTGTGATGATGGAAATCTTCTATATCTGCACGTGTGGCTATTGAGTGCTTAAAATGGGGCACTAGTGAGATGAAGGAATTAAACTTTGAATTTTAACTCATTTAAGCTAGAGTAGCCCCAGGCGGCTGGTGGCTACTGTATTGGGTAGTGTGGGTTTAACTGATCTCAAAAGCATGCTAGTCTCCCCTTTACAATGAGGAGGAGCAGCTTCCAGCGCAGAAAGGCAGGTCCTTGGAGCATATTCAGTGATGGCTCTGGTGGTATGAGGTGTGGCAAGCACAGTCTGGCCTGGAGTGGGAGGCTGCTGCGGCCACAGCAGGCACGCACACAGGTGTGGGAAGAGGGAGGGAGGGCAGCCTCCTCCCAGCTCATGTGCCCCTCGCTCGCCCTCTCTGTCCACCTGCAGAATGGACAGCCCATGGAGGCCCGGGAGAACGTGAAGTGCCCCCAAGGCTGGCACTTTAAGAAGGACTGGGTGGTGGAGCTGAACCACGCAGTGGACAGTAAGGGTCAGTCGTTTGGTCAGGGTTGGGATCGGGAGAGACCAGGGCCTCAAAATAACGGCAGCCAGCAGGGTGGGATCAGAGCAGCCAAGCCCTCCATGGTATACGCCTAAATTCCTGGGGCCCCCTGGCCTCCAGAGCTGGGTCTCCAGCGTTTCCTTACACATAGGCCCCAGTTTTGAGACAGCACAGGCCCTCAGTGTGTCCTGAAGCCTGGCCCAGAGCAAGGCGTGGCAGATGCTGGTGAACAGGAGGCTATCACGTGATGGCTGAATTCACCCACAGCAGCTCCAGGGCAGGAATGATGATGGGCTGCAAGTCTCAAGGTCCGGGCTCAAGATGCAAGCTTTGCTGCTTATGGGCTGTGTGGCCTTGTGCGAGTCACAGGACTTCTCTGAGTCTCACCTGCTTCATTTGTAAGTTGGGCAGCTGGGCCCAGGCCACTCAGGTGACACAGTGTAGCCACACTCTCCTTTCCACACCTCAGGGCCAGAGACCTGGATGTGAGGGAAGTAATGCCCCTCTAGGGCCTGTCTCCCGGGTTTGTCCAGGCCTCCCAACCTGCGGGCACCTGAGGACTCAGAGGCCATGGTCCACCCACCGCAGGCTGGGAGTATGGAGTGGGGATCCCACCGTCGGGCCTGCCCCAGGTCTGGAGCCCGGTGGAGAAGACCTACCACTCGTGCCGCCGCCGGCGCTGGGCGCGTGTGCGCTTCAGGAACCATGGGGAGCTGAGCCACGAGCAGGAGACCCTCTCCTTCCTGCAGCTGGTGAGGGGTCGACGGGCGCCCTGGCTGGGACTGCGGGCAGGGCCGCCTTGGCTGCTGCAGGAACACAACCCTGCTCTCCTCCCCACCACAGGGCCTGGCCAAGGGCGAGGAGGAGGGCTGGGAGTATGACACCTTCGGCTCCAAGTTCCACCTCAACCCTCAGCCCCAGAGCCGGTTCCGCCGCCGCTGCTGGCGCCGCAGGCTGGCCCCCAACAAGGACAAGGGCATCGCGCCCATATTCCTCCTGGAGGGGTCCTTGGTAAAGCCTCACAGGCTGGGTGATGCCTGCCTGTAACCCCACCTCCCAGAGAAGCCAGGGCCTGGCCTGGCTGGGGCGCTGACTGCGGAGGAAGGGCCTCTGTTCCTCAGGCTTGCGAGGGTGGCAGTGTGAGGGAGGAGGGTGACTGGGCCTGGGCTAGAGGAAACAGGAGCAGCACCCAAGAGCCTCAGGGGAGACTGTCCTGGGTACAGGCTATGGATCTGAAATACCACGCTGGGAAGGAAGAGGACAGCAAGACATGGCCATGGGGTCTGGACAGACAGTTCAGGGACCCCCAGAGGCAGGACACCCGGCCCCCCAACTTGCCCTTCATCTACTGCACCTTCAATAGTAAGCACTGACTTGGGAGTCTACTTGAATGGCCCCAGAGGCCAGTACCCGAGGGCGGGGGGGGGGGACAGGGTGGGGGCAGTCAGAGGGAGCCGCTGGGGTCCTGGGGCAGGTGACAGGCATGGCTTCTCTTTCCCCAGAGCCCCACTACTACCAGCTCTTCTGCTACATCTACCAGGCCCGGAACCTGGTGTCCAATCAGATCCTGACATTCCAAGGTAGGTGGCAGGCAGCCTTGTCCCCAGCTGAGGACAAGGCCTCAGGGAGGAGAGCAGGGTTGTGTTCCTGCAGCAGCCAAGGCAGCCCTGCTTGCAGTCCCAGCCAGGGCCCCTGCCTGTCGGCCCCTCACCAGCTGCAAGCCTTGTCCCTGGGTCCTGGTGTCAGCTGCTCAGCAGTGTAAAGACAGGGGCATGGATGAGGGTGACAAAGACGCAGACCCCTCTCCCAAGCAGCTCATGGTCCTGGTTTGGGGAAAAGACACAAAACAAAGACTACGAGGCAGGGCTGCTCTTGAGGCGTGACCCCAGTGCTGTGGAATTAGAAGTGGGAGCTGAGAGGGCTCCATCCCAGTGGTGGCCACTTAGCTGGGCATGGAAGAGGGAGGAGCTTGTCTGGCAGTTACTAGTGGGGCATGAGGGCAAGAGAGAGGGCAGTATGCTTGGGAACCATGTATCACTCGTGTTTGGACAGAGGCGGAGGGGCCTGTGGGGAGGGCCTGTCCTTGGTCCTGTGAGGACGCCCCAGTGCAAGTTTCAGGAGACAAGCCATGTGCTCCAGCCTGGTCCTTATTGCTGTTTGTAGGGAGTGGGGACAGTAGGTGGCAGGGCTCCAAGGGAGCTGTGTCCCTTGGGCTTCACCACCCACATCGAGAGGCCCATGTGACGCTCCCTGATGCCAGGCCACTTGCTGCTGCCATGAAAGGGCAGCCACAGAGCTGGGCGCGGTGACTCACACCTGTAATTCCTGCACTTTGGGAGGCCAAGGTGGGCCGATCACGAGGTCAGGAATTCGAGACCAGCCTGGCCAACATGGTGAAACCCCGTCTCTACTAAAAATACAAAAATTAGCCGGGCGTGGTGGCGGGCGGCTGTAATCCCAGCTATTCGGGAGGCTGAGGCAGGAGGATTGCTTGAACCCAGGAGGCAGAGGTTGCAGTGAGCCGAGATGTGCCACTGCACTCCAGCCTGGGCGAAAGAGCGAAACTCTGACTCAAAAAAAAAAGAGAAAAAAAAAAAAGGGCAGTCACAAGTGGCCTCGTCCCTAGAACTCCTCCAGAGGATCCCCTGCCCTCCATCTCTGTGAGGCCCAGGCTTCAACCCTGGGAGGCATACAGAACTCGTGGATGGGACCAGATGATGCCTGGCCTCTGGTGACAGGCCCCGGTGCTCTGCAGCTGACTCTGAGGGGGCCTCTGGGAGGCCTCAGTGGCTGCCCTGCCTGACCCTCCTGGGCCCCACTGGGTCCAGTGGCTGCAGCAGCAGAGGAGAGGAAAGCCCCTCTTCCCAGCTCAAGACACTGCTACCTTCTCCTCTACCCCTCCAGGGCCCTTCATTCGGGTGGTCTTCCTGAACCACAGCCAGTGCACCCAAACCCTGAGGAGCTCTGCAGGCCCCACATGGGCCCAGACACTCATCTTCCAGCACCTCCTTCTGTACGAGAACCCACAGGACACCAAAGAGAGCCCACCGCTTGTGGTGCTGGAGCTGTGGCAGCGTGACTTCTGGGTAAGTTGGGCTGGGCAGAGCAAGGGGAAGAGGACCTACCTCACAGAGTGGCTGAGGGGATTTATTTTAGATGAAAATGTATGGAAAGTGCTCCCATGAGGCCTGACGTGCAGACAGCACCATGGAAATTCACCTGCCAGCTGTTGCCCTTGCCTTGAGAAGCCCAGACAGAGCTGGGCCCTGCCAGCATGGCCTCCATGCTTTGTGAACTTCCCCCCTCCAGGGCAAGGAGAGCTTGTGGGGACGGAGCGTGTGGCCCCCAATGGTCTGGCTGGATCTCCAGGACCGGATCCTGCCCCCCATGAGGTGGCATCCCCTTGTAAAGGAGTTGGGGAAGGAAGAGGGCGAGATCTTGGCATCCTGTGAGCTGATCCTCCAGACTGAGGTATTGGGAGAGAGGGCCTGGCTGGGAAGTGTGGCACTCAGTGCCCCTCCCCGTCCCACCCCCAGCCAGCGGGGGCCAACTCCACCCTGTCAGGAAATGCCTGGGGCCCAGGATCCCGAGCTGTGGGCTTGGTGACGCTGGCCTGACCAGCCTCTCCCCTAAGTCCCCCTGCCAGCCCCTACCCATGGGGCTCTGGGCTCGGTGAGGCCTCTGAGGGACCTGCTTGAGGTGAGGGTGAGGGCAGCAGGACCAGCCCAGAGGGCCTCATGCTCCCTGCCCTCCCCCAGAAGCTTGGAGAGAAGCAGCTGCCTATCTTAAGCGTTCCCTGGAAGAATGGGGCATACACACTCCCCAAGAGCATCCAGCCCACGATAAAGAGGATGGCCATTGAGGTGCTGGCGATGTGGGATGGGGACGGTGGGCAGGACAGGCGGGGGTGGTCTGGAGTGCGCTGCAGCCTTCTGCTGGTCCTCCCTGACTACTGGATCCAAAGCTCACACCCCGAAAAAGACTACCTGGGAGGTGGAGGGAGACAGGAGAGAAACGAAGAGGTTCTGGTGTAACACTGGAAATCATTTTACCACAAACCTCTGCAGTGAGGAGTAGGCAAAGGGCTGTAGCATGCATGATCACTTGTGGGACTCACGCTGCCCCTGCGCAGTAGCAACTACTTTGCAGAGAAGGAAATAGAGGCTCCAAGAGATAACACATTCCACGCACAGTGATGCAGGGACTAACTGACAGGGCCATTTAGGCCCAGCCCTGTCTGACTGCAGATGCCAGGATGTTGCTCACCTCTCTTCTGAGAGTAGCATGAGGGTCCTCATTCAGAAGCTGTGTGCCCTGCCGCAAATGTGGCAAAGAGCACAAGACGGTCAGGCCTCTGGGACTGAAGGCTTCCCCAAGATCAGGCAACTTGGCTGGTTCCCGCTTTAGGCCCCGAGGAGGCCCAAAGTCAGGGTGCAGCTATTTCCTGGCAGGATGCCAGGTCACTGAATGGCCATGGGGTCCTCAATGAGCTAGACGGCACAGGGGCCCTGAGAAATCCAGGCACTTCCTGCTTCTTCAGGCCTCAGAGGCAGTCGGCTTCAGGAACTCCTACCTGAGAACTGATGAGGCCAGACAAGGCAGCGGGTGAGGAGGGGCAATGCCTGCGGGCTATGGAGGTCAGTGGAGGATGCAGCCAGTGGCCAGAGGTCACCTCCCTCATGGGTTGGGGGACAGCGTCCCAGCCCCGAGGGCAAGCACTGATCCCTCACAGGACGGGGAAGCCTGTCCTTGTGCGCCTTCAGACACTGGCTCCTCTGCAGCCCCATTCCCTGGCCCTGCAGGCTCCTGCTGCACCGCTATTGCCCCTCAGCCCCCTTCTCTGGCCAGGACCCCATTACAGAGGCGCTGCCTGCCCCTTGTCCTGCCCTCCTTCTTTGTTCTGGTAGATCCTGGCCTGGGGCCTTCGGAACATGAAGAAGGCGAGCTCCCCCCAGCTCCTGGTGGAATTCGGGGAAGAGTCCCTGAGGACAGAACCCATCAGGGACTTTCAGACCAACCCCAACTTCCCCGAGTCTGAGTCTGTCCTAGTCCTCACAGTGGTAAGAGGCCCCAGGGCAGGGGCTGGGCAGCCCTCTTCTTCTGTGGGTCTCACGCTCCCCACGTCTCCTCGGGATTGCAGCTCATGCCGACGGAGGAGGCCTATGCACTGCCCCTCGTGGTGAAGGTGGTAGACAACTGGGCCTTCGGCCAGCAGACCGTGACGGGCCAGGCCAACATCGACTTCCTCCAGCCCTACTTCTGTGACCCCTGGGCTCAAGACTATATGCACCCAAAGCTTCCAAGTACGGCCCTTCCTCCGTGCCTTTCCCCAGGCCTCACAAGCGAGCCTGCACTGGGAGTGGGGCAGGCCCTGCTACCCCGTGGGGTTGGTGCTTCCTCCTCAGCCCTCTCCCCATCCTGAGACTCGTCCCTGCGCTCTCCCCGCACAGCGCTGTCTGAGAAGAAGCACCAAGACGTAAGTAAGGGCTGCAGGCCCACCTTCTCCCATACTGTTGACGGGGTATAACCCTTGGGCCTAAGGAGGGGTGTCCATTAAACAGTCTGGATACCCGTGCCCAACTGTGAGGCCCACCTCGCTCTGTAGGGTCCTCAGCCTATAGGGTCTCTGTAGGTCTCTAAGCCTGACTGCATGTTAGAATCATCTGAGAGTTTTTGATTTTTTTAAACTTTTCAATCTTTTTTTTTTTGAGACACAGTTTTGCTCTTGTTGCCCAGGCTGGAGTGCAGTGGCACAATCTTGGCTCACTGCAACCTCCGCCTCCCGGGTTCGAGAGGTTCTCCTGCCTCAGCCTCTTGAGCAGCTGGGATTACAGGTGCCCGCCACCACGCACGGCTAATTTTTTGTATTTTTAGTAGAGACAGGGTTTCATCATGTTGGCCAGGCTGGTCTCGAACTCTTGTCCTCAGGTGATGCACCCGCCTCGGCCTCCCAAAGTGTAGCAATTACAGGCGTGAGCCACCATGCCCGGCCTTAAATCTTAAAAAAAAATTTTTTTGGCTGGGTGCAGTGGCTCACATCTGTAATCCCAGCACTTTGGGAGGCTGAGGCGGGCATGTTACTTAAGGTCACGAGTTCAAGACCGGCCTGGCCAACACGGTGAAACCCCATCTCTACTAAAAATACAAAAAAAAATTAGCTGAGCATGCTGGTGCATACCTGTAATTCTAGCTACTATGGAGGCTGAGGCACAAGAATCGCTTGAACCCCAGAGGTGGAGGTTGCAGTGAATCAAGATCCCACCACTGCACTCCAGCCTAGGCAACAGAGTGAGACTTCCATCCCCCACTTAAAAAAAAATTTATAGAGACAGGGATCTTGCTATGTTGCCCAGGCTGTTCTTGAACTCCTTAGCTCAAGCGATCCTCCCACCTTGGCCTCCCAAAGTGCTGAGGTTACTCAGCCTCACCTGAGAGTTTTAAAACTCCTGAGGCCTAAGCCACTGATCTATCAGAATTGCTGAGGTAGGACCCAGGCATCAACATTTTTTCCAACCCCTTCCACACAGGTGATTCCAATGTGCTTTCAGGGTCCCCAACTATTGCTCTAAAGTGGCACTTGTCAAACCTGAATGTGCAGGAATCCTCCAGACATCGTCACCAAAAGCAGACTCTTAGTAGGTCAGGGTGGGGCTTGAGGTTCTGTATTTCTGAGCCCCTTCCAGAATCCAGAATCCAGAATCCAGAATCCAGTCTGCAGCTATGGGCAATGAGGACATTGAACTATCTGTCCCCTCCTTCTTGCTCCCTAGATCCCATTTCTAAAGACCCCTGAATTAAAAGGTCTATGTGAAAGGCAAGGGCAAGGGCACCAGGGAAGCTCTGGCCTCAACCCCCCTCTCCTCTCTGAAGTCAGAGCCCATGAGTGAGCTATGGCTTTCCCTTGCTCACCCTCTCCTTTTTCAGTTCCTAGGCTACCTCTACAGAAAGTTCTGGTTCAAGTCCAGTAAAGCAGAGGTGATGAAGGCTCAGCCCCATTCAGTGCAGGGAGGTGGGGGGCTGCCCCTGCCCGAGGCCAGAATGATCCTCTTCTCTGCCAGGATGAGTATGAGCATGAGGTGGACTGGTGGAGCAAGCTGTTCTGGGCCACAGATGAGCACAAGTCCCTGAAGTACAAGTACAAAGACTACCACACCCTCAAGGTTTGAAGGAGGGAAGAAATGGGATGGAATCAAATCTCCCACTGGAGGAGGCCAGCAGAGCTAGCCTTGATTCCTCTGGGAAGCCTCAAGTGGGAAGGTTCCCGCACTGTCTCCCAGAGACAGCTCCAGCTGCCACCCTGTCTGAAGCACACAGTGCTGGCCCCAGGGCCGCTGACTGCCAGATGCTTTGGAGTGAGACCTGGGAGCTGGTGGTCCCTCCATCTCCTAATCACGGGAACAGTCTCCACCAGCCAGGGTTCCACACACCTCTGCAGGTGTATGAGTGTGAGCTGGAGGCCGTGCCAGCCTTCCAGGGCCTGCAGGACTTCTGCCAGACCTTCAAACTCTACCAGGAGCAGCCCAAGTTGGACAGCCCCGTGGTAGGGGAGTTCAAGGTGTGTGTCCACCCCAGCTTAGCTGCCCCTGTCTCCTTGTGCACCTTCTGTCCCTGGAAAACGAATAAAAGCCCTGGCTCTATATGCTCATTGTGAAGATGGAGCAGGGCTTGAGAACGTTCTGGGAGTGGAGGAGCAGAGATTCGCCTCCACAGGAACTCGGGGAGCGCTCCCCTTCCCCTCCCCACCCTGGCCTATGCTGGCCTCCCAAGGCTGCAAAGCCACAGAGAACAAGCCCGAACCTGAAGGGATAGATGGGGTGGAATGAGTCCACAGCGGCACAGACGGGGAACTCACCTACTGACTGCGGTTCCTTTGCCAACACCCTGTTTCAACATAGTGGGCCCTGCTGAACACCTTCTGTACCTGCCTCCACTGTCCTCATGGCCTTCTATCCCTGCCACCCTCAGCCCAACCCTCTCTCTCCTGAACATGGGCTGGGGCACCTCCCAGAGGGCTTTACAGAGCTGGCCAGCACTGCCAGGCTGGGCCCCCAACACCCTCCCCCCGCCAGGGCCTTTTCCGCATCTACCCCTTTCCTGAGAATCCAGAAGCCCCAAAGCCCCCGCTGCAGTTCTTGGTTTGGCCAGAGAGAGAGGACTTCCCCCAGCCGTGCTTGGTGCGGGTGTACATGGTACGAGCCATCAACCTGCAGCCCCAGGACTACAATGGCCTGGTAAAGAACAGTACCTGCCCCACACAGGTGCCCCGCACGCTCCCCTCAACCCATCTCTGGGAGCCCCCTCCGACTGCTGACACACAGAATGCCAACTCCCCATAGGCTCCGTGTGGTGCGAGGGGCTTGTTTCCACCCTCCTCCCACCCTCCCTGACAAACCTGGACGGCCTCCCCAGTTCCTATCCTTCCCCCACTTGTATCTGACCCCAGTGTGACCCTTATGTGATCCTGAAACTGGGCAAGACAGAGCTTGGCAACCGGGACATGTACCAGCCCAACACTCTGGATCCCATCTTTGGCATGTGAGCTGCCCCAACCCCCAAGACCCCTTCTCCACTCCTATCCACACCACACTGGAAGTCGGCCGGAGAAGGCACAGAACTCTGGCACTCCTGTCCAGCCTCCAAGTTCCCACCACAGCGTCTTACATGCCCTGGTGCTCAACAGATAGAAGACAAATATATGGGTGGGCCGGTTCTACCCTGTTTCTCACTCTGGCTGGGAGGGGAGCTCAGAGCCCCACACCAGGCCTATCCAAAGTTATTTTCAACCATAACCAGGGGATGGCGATTGGCAGAAGGCAGCCTACCCCATGCTCTGCTCTCCACAATCTCCATGAACAAACAAGGGGCCTACGGGGCCGAGACACCGGTGAGGGAGGGGGGCACAGAGACATTGCCCACATCCTCTGCAGTCTCCAACACCTCACCCCTAGGATGTTTGAACTCACCTGCAACATACCCCTGGAGAAGGACCTAGAGATCCAGCTCTATGACTTCGACCTATTTTCACCTGATGATAAGATAGGAACCACAGTCATCGACCTTGAAAACCGACTCCTATCTGGCTTTGGAGCTCATTGTGGGCTCTCCAAATCCTACTGCCAGTGAGAGTGGGCCCGTCTGGGGGAAGGGAGTCAGGTGGGGTGGAAGAGTGAGCCTACAGCTCCCTTGGGAGAAGCCTGCATCCTGGGCGGGAACCAGGGCCCAGACCTGCCCAGTCTCCACCCAAGCTTCCACCCGTGGTCAACCTGCAGCTCACAGCAGTGTTCTTCAGGACCCAAACCTCCAGACCTCTTCCTCTCACATCCCCCACAGGTCAGGGCCCTTTAGATGGCGGGATCAGATGCCCCCAAGCTACCTCCTAGAACGCTATGCCAAGCGGAAAGGGCTACCTCCGCCTCTGTTCAGTCCTGAGGAAGATGCTGTTTTCTATAATGGGAAAAAGTTCAAGCTGCAAAGCTTTGGTGAGCAGCGCAGAACACTAGCAGAAAGCACAGACACAGGCCTCTGGAAGCTGTGAGGCTCCAGAATGGAAGAGCTGCAGACTTGGGGGAGAAAGGGGAGGACAAGGAAAGAGCTCCCTGGAGCCAAAGAGCAGCCCATCCCTTTCCCCTTCACTCCTACCCAGGCTGCGGTCGGGAGGGTAAGAGCCTACCTAGGAGATAGGAAGGCTAATGACCTCGCAATCCCCTCCTTCCATCCCCCTCCAATCCAGAGCCCAAAACCCCTACTGTTCATGGTTTGGGACCCAAGAAGGAACGCCTTGCACTGTACCTCCTGCACACCCAGGGGCTGGTACCTGAGCACGTGGAGACCCGCACACTGTACAGCCACAGCCAGCCAGGCATCGACCAGGTATGAGACTGGAGGGGCCACTCCTGGCTCCTACAGGAGGAGCTAGATCAGGAGACAGAGATGCCTGTCCACCCAGGACATAGTCCACGAGAGGAGAAGGACAGGCCAAACATTTAGTAATGTACATGCACAGAAGACAAGCATGCTGTGCACATTAATAAGCAAGAAGTTCTGGTGGTGTCACTTAGAATGGAGAATTTCAGAGCTGGAAAGGTCATCTACAAGAAACAGAGGCCATGCGCCAGCTGTGGGAGGCACCAGGGAGCCCTACCAGTCAATGTCTCCATTGCCTTAAGTCTCTCCCGAGGGGTGGGAAGGTGGCGCTCAGGTCAGACAGCGCAGACATGACAACGCGGGTTCTGGCTGTTAATTGTAGGCTGTGTCTTCTTCACAGCAAATAACCCCAAACAGAGAAATAAAAATCCCCAAACGCACCTAATTATCATTCACTCTGCAGCCACCATAATGGCTCATCTCATTCTCTAAACTTCTCAAGCTCATACCACATTCCAGACAGAAAGTCCTCTGCTGAGCAAAATTTTTAAAAAACCATTCCCACAGGCCAGGTGCAGTGGCTCACGCCTGTAATCCCAGCCTGTGGGAGGCTGAGGCGGGCAGATCACTTGAGGCCAGGAGTTTGAGACCACCCTGGCCAACATGGCAAAACCTCTTTACTAAAAATACAAAAATTAGCTGGGCATGGTGGTGGGTGCCTGTAATCCCAGCTACTCAGGAGGCTTAGGCACGAGAATCGCTTGAGCCTGAGAGGCAGAGGCTGCAGTGAGCTGAGATCATGCCACTGCACTGCAGCCTGGTGACAGAGGGAAACTCTGTTTCAAAAAACAAATAAAAAACCATTCCCATTAAACCTGTTTTCTCAAATGGGTCAACTTCAGAAGAATATAATGAGGTCAGGTGGTCTGAAAGGCAGAACGTATTTGTGTATTCTTCAATGTTGGCAGTTCTCCCCTTTTCTTTCCTTTTCTCCTCCTTCTCATCCCTTACCTTCTTTCCTCTGTATGTGTGGCTAGCTTAATACCCTTAGGTTGTAGTTCATAACATAAAATGACCTGAAAATCTGGACTGGTATCTAGTTTCCTCATACTCGAGGCTATCAAGCAACACCAAGCTGCTTGATAAATGATGCCCCAACTCCGATCTGGACCCCTGTCCAGACAGGCCATCTAGCATGACCTAGGGAGTGGCATTCACCCTCCAGACCTGTCGTAAGTGGAATCCCAGCACCATGCCATCAGCCCCAAAGCTACCGTGTCCCAATCTCCCTGCACTACTCTCTCAGCCAAAAGAAAGGGGGAAGCTGGTGCGTGGTCACCTGCGGCCTCACAGATATCTCTGTACCCCACCCCTCGGTGTTGGGAACACAACCTCAACAGACCTCAGAACCTGGGACAGGGAACCCCAGGCCAGCCTGCTGAGAACAGAGGCTAGCAACCCCCAACCAGTCAATGTATCCCGGCTCTAGGGAAAGGTGCAAATGTGGGTGGACATCTTCCCCAAGAAGCTGGGGCCTCCTGGCCCCCAAGTCAACATCAACCCCAGAAAGCCTAAACGGTGAGTGACAGCCCACTTCCCAACTGCTGCATTTCACAGTTCAGAACTCCCCCAGTGCAGGGCACCACTGTCCTCAGGTACTGAGCTGCAGTAATTCGTTTCTCTATTGGGAAGAGAGGAAGCTCTACTGGGAGCTTTCTTCCCCTGAATTCCCCACACTGAGCAAAAACACACAGGGCAGCCTCCCAGGCTTCTCTGCCCTCACTGAGGCTGCAGCTGGGGAGCTCCTCCTCAGCAAAGCCTCAGAGCACAGTGGCCACAGGTATGAGCTGCGATGCATCATCTGGAAGACTGCCAATGTGGACCTGGTGGATGACAATTTAAGTAGAGAGAAGACGAGCGACATCTACATCAAAGGGTAGGGAAGAGGAGTCAGGCTCCGGCAGAGCCCCTCAGTTCCCCAGTTCTGTCATCCTGCTGGCACGGCCCAGTCCTGAATGGGACACCTCTCCATCCAGCTCTGCCTGGCGTCGGCTGGGCAGCCCTTCCCATGGGGCTCCAGCTGGGGGATGGGGCCAATGCACATGAGCCACAGGTGATAGGACTCTGGCCCCAGGTGGTTATACGGGCTGGAGAAGGACATGCAGAAGACAGACATCCACTACCACTCGCTGACTGGGGAGGCCGACTTCAACTGGCGGTTCATCTTTACCATGGACTACCTGGCGGCGGAGCGCACGTGTGTCCAGAGCCAGAAGGTAACAGGCCTGGGGCGTGAGGGGCAACAGGCCACAACAAACAGACCCAGGCTCCTGGAGCTCCTCCCCCCACCCCTCCAGAGGCTTGCAATCTGTCCCAGAACATCAGAAACATGTCCTCAGGTGGAAACCCTCTTCCTTGATAGTCTATCACTGCTGGGTGGAGGGCCACTGAGGGGTGCAAGGGAAACGTCCAGGAGACAGGCCGGTAACACGCCCTTCCGCCATTTCCCCAGGATTACATATGGAGCCTGGATGCCACGTCCATGAAGTTCCCAGCCCGACTTATCATCCAGGTCTGGGACAATGACATCTTCTCCCCCGACGACTTCCTAGGTGAGGTCCTGACACAGGGCTTGTGACCACAGGACAGGGAGCTCCTTCTTGCTGATGTCATTTTTCTGGGCTCAGGGGTCCTGGAGCTGGATTTGTCTGACATGCCCCTCCCGGCTCGGCACGCCAAGCAGTGCTCCATCAGGATGATGGACGCCGACCCCAAGTGGCCCTATTTCATCCAATACAAGCACTTCTCCCTCTTTAAGAAGAAGACTGTGACTGGCTGGTGGCCTTGCCAGGTCCTCGATGGTGGCAAATGGCGCTTGTCGGTAGGAGCTGGGGAGTGTCTACTGATTAGGGCTGCTATGCCACATGTCCTGGCTCTAACAGACATCTAGGGACCTAGCTAAATCCCTTTTCCTTTCTTGATCCCGGGAAGAGGTCCTAAAACTACCCGGCTCCTGCTGTCTGCACTCAGCCTCCCCCTCACCCATGGTGTTCCTAGGGCAAGGTGAAGATGAGCCTGGAGATTCTGTCAGAGAAGGAAGCCTTAATCAAGCCAGCCGGGCGAGGCCAGTCGGAACCCAACCAGTACCCCACACTTCATCCTCCCCTGTAAGGGTCCTTGGGGCAAAAGCACCAGATCTTTCTTGCTCCTCAGTGTGTATGGGGTGGTGACCAGTGGGCCTATCATGGAGAGGTGGTAATTACCTCCCACCCCACAGCTCTGTGCTCAGTTACAATCAGCAAAGAACAGACTTGGGGTGAGGGTTGGAGTAAGCAAAAGTTGCCTTTTTTTTTTTTTTTTTTTTTTTGAGATAATTGTCTCACTCTGTCACCCAGGCTGGAGTGTGGTGGCACAATCTCTGCTCACTGCAACCTCTGCCTCCTGGGTTCAAGCGATTCTCCTGCCTCAGCCTCCTGAGTAGCTGGGATAACAGGCACATGCCACCATGCCCGGCTAATTTTTGTATTTTTAGTAGAGACGCGGTTTCACCATGTTGGCCAGGCTGGTCTCAAACTCCTGACCTCAGGTGATCCACTCACCTCGGCCTCCCAAAATGCTGGGATTACAGGCGTGAGACACTGTGCCTGGCCCAGTAGTTGCTTTTTTAAAAAAGAAAGCTCTTTGCATCAGATTACTTGACCTGAAGGTTCTCCCTGCCATTCTCTGACATCTCCCTGGCTCCTGGACAGACGCACCAACACCTCTTTCACGTGGCTGCGGTCACCAGTTCAAAACTTCTGCTATATTTTCTGGAAACGCTATCGCTTCAAACTCATAGCCTTTATGGTCATATCGATTATAGCACTTATGCTGTTTAACTTCATCTATTCAGCTCCGGTGAGTGGCAGCCATGGGGGCAAGGACAAAGGTGGTCTCGGGATGACTCTGGGGACAGCGTCTTCAGCTTGCCACCCCAGGCTAACTGTTGTCTGTTCTCTCTAGCACTATTTGGCCATGAGCTGGATCAAACCTCAACTTCAGCTGTATCCTCCCATTAAAATATTCAATATCATCAATTCACTAAACACCAGCAACGCCAGCTCTTCCATCCTTCCCACCCAGGATCCAAACCTAAAGCCTACAATAGACCATGAGTGGAAACTCCACCCAGGACCCACAAATCACCTGAGTGATATTTTCCCAGAACTTCCAGCCCCAGGAGACTAATTAGTCCATGCTGCCTGGCTTTCCTCCTGCTACCAACAGCCCTCCCCTTGGGCTGGCTACCAGTTCTTTGTTTCTATCTTCTAGAATATATGCAAGATGCTAGGAATATTCTGGCTATTGTGTTCAGAAATCACTTTCAACAAGACGAGCAGAGCTGTAATTTTCCACTGAAATAAACAAGTTCTATAACAGAGAGCCATCTTGTAATTTGGGGGCGCTGAAGACAACATGAAAGGCTGAAGATGCCAGCCCTTCAGACAAGACTCACAGGGACAGGGAGTGATGTCATCTTTATATACCACCTCTAGTCCACAGGGTCTCTTCATGCTAAGAGGCTCGGAATCAGAGGGCAATGGAGGGAAAGGGTGATTGTGAGAAGTGGCCCTTATGGGTAAGCAGCAAGCCGAAGCACTGGCTCTCACCCACAGCATGCATGTACAGAACAGCCCTACCACGGACCAGGCATCTCCCTCCTCTAGCACAGCTAGGATGACACTGCCCAGGACAACATTCCACCCATTCATGATGGGAAACATTTGTTTCTAGAACAAAAAGCAAGAACCAAAGCAGGGCATCCTATGCCAGGTCAGGTGGTTTTCTTGCACCATACATTTCTCTAAAGGACCCCAAGGCAGGTGGGGACTGCATTTCATGTCTTCCCTGCCCTCTTTAAAAAGCCTCAAGGTATTCATGAGCTGGAATCATACAAACCCTACAGGTTCCATCTCTCTCACTCTGCCCCTCCCCTCTGATGAGACCCCTTCCACCTGCACTGCTGCCTTGGCCATCTCAAGAGCCCACCTAGGTCCTCCCACGGGTCCATACAATCTCCCCTTCAACTCAAAAAAGACAAAACCACCATTTTCTTTTTCAGTTCTCCCTGCTCCAAGGCCAAGCTCTAGGTCAGTTTGTCCTCTGGCACCCTGGAGCCATTCTACTATTGTGGAGGGGAGGTGGGAGGAAGATGCCTCCACCTGAATCCCACCTGCAGGAGAGCACTATAGCCTGTGCTGTTTAAGTGCATGGGAAGGAAAGAAAGCCTGAAGAGACAGAGACCTCTGCCTAGCCAAGGTGACCCCCTTTCCTTCTGAGCTGAGCTGAGGGCTTTTCCAACCCAGGAGAAGGCAAAACAACGGTTGATGGGCTTGAAGCTCAAAAAAAAGGCCTGCTCAGAATAAAGGCCTGAACTTTCCCCAAACCCACTCCTAGAAGAAAGAACACAGTCAGAAGCTCATGTTTGGTTCCATCGGTGATTTTAAGAATTTCATTTAGGCTACAGAGGTTCATAGGAGGACTCAGAGTTCCAGGCCCTCCAAGGAGACTCTGGCCTGTAACTGATTTAATCCCAGGGCAGTAAGGTGAGCAGCATGTAACCCCTTGTCAAATAAGGCAGTGGAATAAGGGTTGACAGAGGCCAGCACTCAGGCTGTGCTGCTCAATGACAGTGAACTCTTCCAGGCACAGATGATGAGGGTCTGTTGCTCTCAGACTTGGAACATGAGAACAGCAACTGTCTCTTGTCCATTAAGAAAAAAAAAGCCAAATTTCTTCTCTGGGCAATATCCAAGCCCAAGGTGTAAGAAGAAAGCTTCCTTACACTTTCAGCACTCAAAGTGGGATTCCAAAAATCGTAACTACAAAACATGCAGCTAAGCAGGCTCTAGCAAGTCCAGAAACATCTCCACATGGTCAGACCACATGACAAATGTTGCTTTTGGTTTGATCAAACCTGGAGCTGGTCAGTTGCACAGCTAATCCATGGCATCCATGATGTCTTCCAGGCTTCTCTTGATTTTTACACCAACCTTTAGCCAAACTTCACTGAGGGCCTGAAGAGACTTGATTGGGAAGGCCATGGACATGCCAATAGACCCAAGACCCATGCTAGGGAACAGTGATCCAAAGCAGAAAGCCATCTCCCTAGGGCCACCTAATGAAGGCCAGTGAAACGCAGGTGTGTTCTGCAGCCCCAGGCCCCAACAGAGAGGCATCCAAATGCCTTTCCCAGCTCAGGTTGCACACAGAGAGGACAATGAATGGAGTGAAAGGAAGGTAAGGCAGGGAAGAAGTTTCCATCCTGGTTTCCAAAGAAAGCTCCTCAGGTAGGCAGAGGGTTGGGTCAAATGCAAAACCCAACGAATGGATGGTCAGAAAGCCTGTGGTGTTACCAGTTTTTAATTCTTTGTGGATTCAAAACTGAAGTAGAAGGGCCTTCTGAGTCAAACAACACGGCAGCCTGGGCTATGAAATTCTGTTCTGTGATTTTGGCATCACAACCACGTAAATTCTCTTCACACCTCTGCTCCCACATGGAAGGACTGCAGGGAAAGGCACATCACAGCAGCATTGCCCTGGGGTGGGTGGCTTCCCAGACCAGAGTTAGATGTCCCCATGCACAACCATGGGAATGCGGGGTCCCTGCATTCAAAACTCCAGTGACAGAATATAGTCCCCAACCAGCTGCTAGAGACAAGAACACTCTCCAGGCTGCATGCTCAGGCCAGTGCCTGCTCCTTCCATACCTCATGGGTGACAGTCACAAAAGTGGTGGCAGCAGGAGGGCTCAGTAGAAGCGCTTTCGGCTCTGTTCCTGCCATTTGTTGTAGAGTATGATACCAATGACTATGGCAAATACAGAAAACACCAGGGAGAAAAAGACGATGAGGAAGAGGGCCAGGCCACTCAGGGGCGGCAGTGGAGCTGTCACTGAGGAAGCAAGAGAGAAGCAAGTCAGAAAACAGGGAGCCCACCCAATAGGGAAGGATCAAACTATAGGCTGTCCGGCCCCCAGTTTCTGACACCTACTTCTGGGAAGCCAGAGCTTAGACCCCCTCTTTCCAACTGAGAAACAAAGCGGCCCTCCTGCTGCTCATCTGTAACTTGAAGGGGAAAGGCAGATGAAAGTGCTCCCTACCCTTCAGAAGAAGAACACAGAGCAGAGACCGCCCTGTGAGCTATGGGTACAGCACTGCAAGCTCCTCCCCAACTATGGGACCATTTCCCGCGGGCCCCTGTGCTCACTCTCAGGCAGCTTCATATTGTCCACTGAGGGCAAGAACACATCTCGATGGAGCTTTTCCTCTTCTGGGGTTCTCTCCACTGTCAGTTCAAACAACTTCAAGGAAATGACATCATGATTATCTGAAGAAAAATGGAAGAAGGATGACTTGTGCCACTTGAAAAAGAGGTATGTTTCTTGAAGTCAGTATCTTAGTTCAAGCCTCTGATCCACAGCTAACCAGCAGTGACCTTGAAAAAATAATTGAAACCTCTCCATTTTGCAACTAAAAATAAGGATGGGGAACAAGGCATATTCTATATCTTCTGTATTTAAGTTTTTATCAACAAGCATGCATTACCTGTATAGAAGATCGCTGACTTAAAATGGTTCGACTTACAATTTTCCAACTTTATGATGGTGTGAAAGTAATCTGCGCTTAGCAGAAACCATACTTCAAAATTTGAGTTTTGATCTTTTCCCAGGCTAGCGATGTGTAGTACAACACTCTGTACTGAGGCTGGGCAGCAGCAGTGAGCTGTAGCTCCCAGTGAGCCACACAATCACAAGGGTAAACAACCAGTACTGCATCGTGTACTGTATTCCATACGTTACATCAGACATTCAACACTTTGTTACAGAATAGGCTTTGTGTTAGATGATTTTGCCCAACTGTAGGCTAATGTAAATGTTCTAAGCACATTTAAGGTAGACTAGGCTAAGCTATGATGTTCAGTAGGGTAGGTGTATTGAATGCATTTTCAACTTACAATATCTACAACCTACAATGAGTTTATTGGGACATAACGCCATTGTATGTCAAGACGCATCTGTATAATTAAAAAATTTGGAGATAAAACCACAATTAAATCCCATATGTTAAACCTTCCAGCACAGTAAGAACAGACAAAGTAGGACTGCAGCTTCCCCGCTGGTGAAGACCACACACGTGCACACACACACACGTACAACAGGAAAAGGTCTCATGGCCGCTGTTTAATGGGCCATGGGCAGGGCACAGCTATGGGCATGGGATACACTGCCCTTCTAGACTATGCCTGTTTCTCTGTGGCTTCTTGTACTTGTGACTCTTAATCTCCCTAATAATTACCAGAGAGAAGATCAAGCAATTAGGGACTAGATTTCTCTCTTTAAAGTATCATTATAAACTCCTACATTTAACCATATCTGATGTGTTGCAATGCACTGAAGTTAGACTTTTTTTTTTTTTTTTTTTTTTTGAGACAGAGTTTTGCTCTTGTTGCCCAGGCTGGAGTGCAATGGCACGATCTCGGCTCACTGCAACCTCTGCCTCCCAGGTTCAAGCAATTCCCCTGCCTCAGCCTCCCAAGTAGCTGGGATTACAGGCATGCACCACCACGCCCGGCTAATTTTTTGTATTTTTTTTTTAGTAGAGATGGGGTTTCTCCATGTTGGTCAGGCTGGTCTCGAACTCCCAACCTCAGGTGATCCACCTGCCGTGGCCTCCCAAAGTGCTGGCATTACAGGCGTGAGCCACCGCGCCTGGCCTGAAGTTAGATTCTTATTGATGCTCAACTCACCTGTCTTTGTCAAGTAGGAGCCTATTCAGTTTGGCTCCTGCGTCTCTTTACATAAACCCAGAAGTTTTTTATAACTTCCTTGCTTTTCTGGGAAGTTCCAACTTATAGATTTCCTACCTCAAACCCTGCATCAGCCATTTCTCAAGGAAGCTGCAGTTCCTTTTAGGGGGAATTGGTATTTAGAGACCACAAATCTGAGTGCTAGGGGTGCTCATTGCTACTAGGTTGGTTACTGACTGGGGCCTGGATTTCTGGTCATTTATAAGGAGAGCATCCACAGCTGCTTGGACTGCTAGAATCTTTAGCAGATTCCCAGGTAGTGAAAAACTGGATTCATCTTCTGTTGGAAAAATGTTAACTGTCAGAGCTCAGTTTAAACCATGGGACAGGATAAAAGGCCAGGGCAATGCTCCTCATGCAATGCAGGGCATTAAAGCCTGGAACGGCTGGGAAACATCCTAACTTTCTCAGCAGTTTTCAACAACCTACTATACAACAAGTAAGAGGATGGCAACAAGAAAGACCTCAAAAGAAAGAAACAACTTGCATTTAGGGATACCCTATGGGCAGAGAACACAGACTTACTAACTTGGGTATTCTCACTAAAGACCTAGGGCAAAAAACTTAGACTAAACAAAAAATTATTCTCCCCTGCCATTTCTGACAGTTGGGGACTTTCCATTAAAAAGTACGTCAGGAGGTTAACCCAGAAACCTGTAAGCTCAAAGGAAAATGTGTAGTCATATAATGAGATTATATAGCAAAGATCTCCAGCCTATGCCTCCTATCCCCCTGCCGAGACTAAATTTTTCCCACAGGTCTGGCCTGCTCGGTACTTAGAACCTAATTGCCAAAACTAATCTCTCTGCATGACAGAAAGCAGATCAATGGTTGCCTGGAATCCAAGAAGGGGAGGAATACTGCAAAGGGGGATAATAAGGCTTTTGGCAGGTGATGGAAACATTCATATCTTAATTGTGATGGTGACTACATAGGTGTAAATATTTGTCAAAACTCTTCAAACTGTATTCTTCTGTTGTATGGAAAGCACACCTCAGTAAAGTTGATTTTAAAAAAATCAGATGCCAGAGTTTTAAAGATCAGCAGATTGCATTTTAAAAATCCAGATTATCCAGGCTGGGCTCAGTGGCTCATGCCTGTAATCCCAGCACTTTCGGAGGCCAAGGCGGGCGGATCACAAGGTCGAGATGGAGACCATCCTGGCCAACATGGTGAAACCCCGTTTCTACTAAAAATACAAAAATTAGCTGGGCGTGGTGGCGCGCCTGTAGTCCCAGCTACTTGGGAGGCTGAGGCAGGAGAATCGCTTGAATACAGGAGGTGGAGGTTGCAGTGAGCTGACATGGCGCCACTGCACCCCAGCCTGGCGACAGAGCGAGACTCCATATATATATATAAAAAAAAATCCAGAATTCCAACTGCTCTTGAAAAACTGGAAGATTTAGCCTCACTGAGCTGACATTTCCTTTTAGCTACAATGGCTGGAGCTCACTAGCTGTCGGCTTTTTCAGATGGGTATCTGCCTTTCTATTTTGCCACAAGAAACTTCTATTCCAAACTAGCTTTATCCAGAACAAATTATATTAATCAAAAGAAACAGAAGTTCAGTTCCTTTTCTCTTCCCAAAAGATGTTATGATTGGGGTTCAAGCAAAGAGAGTAAGTGTATAAACGAGAAGCTACGAATCAGGCATAAGTAGAAAAAGAAACAAGAGGAGATGGAAAAGTAAAAGAACCAGGTGCTGTTAATGTCACATAAGTCAAGAAGGCAAGAGTTTCAGGGTAATGGGTTAAATGAGCTGAGGAGGACAAAGGGTGAGAACGAGAATAGAGTACTGAATATGGCAAGGAAACAGAATGACCTTTCATGAGAATGGTGTTAGTGTACTAGCAAGATAGAGCACAGGTCTGAGTCAGCATGTTAAGGAGGTGGACAGCTAGGAAACAAAAGGATCTGTACACACAACACATTCAAAAGTCTCAGCAAAAGGAGAGTCTGGGGTCAGAAGAGGGACGGCAAAGTCAAGGAAAAGCTTTGTTAAGGAAGGGGAACGGGGAACATTAGTGGTTGGAAGGAGAGGAGCCTGACAGCAGAAATCAGAAAGCAAGGAACTCACGATACAGGCTAGAAGAGCCAGCTTAATGAAGGGACAAACACTGCTTTCTATTAGCACCAACCATCTTCTAGTGACAACTGTACTAGGAAAGCCTGGCGTGGGTTTTTAAGGAATGTGGATATAAGAATGCAGAAGGAGAAGCAGTCTTGAGGCACCTCCTTCCAGAGCACCGCTCCTCTGGCTCTCCCCTGTGAGAGGCCTCAATGAAGTGTGGGTATTGAGAAGAGGCCTCAGTCAGGGCAAACCAAGAGTGCGCGTGGCAGTACCTGAGAGATCCCCAGTGATGGAGGAGGTGCCGAAGTAGTAGCCGCGGGGCAGGCGGACTCCGGGCACTTCAATGCAGTCCCTCCACTCATGCTTGCCATCAATATCCATCATTATCTAGAATAAAAAGAGAGATAAATCAGGGTCAGGCCATGGGAGCAAGAGCGACACAGCCCACACCACCATCTGGTCCAGGACAAGGACTCTCACCGTCAAATGCCTCTTGACGTAGCGAATCACCAGGAAGGTGTCGTAATGAAGATTGCGGACAATGGCTGTGCAGCCTCCCAGCTCTGTAGGCCGCCCATCCCGCTCATGATCATAGCTGAGGGAGCCGTTGTTCACCATGGCTGAGATGTAGGGGAATACCCGCTGGAAAGCAGAGAGGGGGAAGCAGACACTAAGGAAGAGCACATAGGAACGCCTGTACAAACAGCAACAGGAATTCAGCACATACAAGTTGAGCCCCTTACAGCAGAATAGGCAGCCACTCGACCTCATTGTCAGCAGCCCCTGAGAGCCCACATTCAGATGGTCTCTCAAGGGAAATGGGCCCAGGAAGCGACTACACTTGGTATTTGCCTTCAGTAATTCTCTTGGCTCCTGAACTGGGGTGGGCCTGAAGTGGTCCTCCTAAGACGCTGGAGTCTGACTTGAATGCCCCAAGGTCACCATTTGGCACTTATGTGCCGCCTAATACCAGGGGTTTCCTTTTCGTGTATATGTACCTATCTCCCCAACTGCCACATAAGCTTCTTGAAGAAAAAATTCATTCATCACGTCTTCATATGTCTAAACTTCAGCCCCATCTCCTCCCAACCATGGTTCTGCACACAGCGGGTATTCTGAAAATACCTGTTTGAGCAGGGGAATCTTTCCATTCAGGATAGCTCTTTTCAATTCTAAAATTCTATAAGCATATAAGGCTAAATGGATTAGAACTCAGAACATGGAACGGGGTTGCTGGATGGGCTCAGCCAGCCACAATGACTGTCCTTAGTCAAAAGACTTTCCAGCCCACTTAAGCCTCCTCCACACGTAACTTCTCCGAATAATAATAAGAGGGCAAGGTTCTCCCTTAACAGGGAGAAAATTGCAAGTTTTCCCATAAGCCACTCATTTTCCCATCTATTTCAGGGGCCCTCTCTCCCCAGTAGAGTTGTAGGAGCAATTCTTCCTTAGAAATGGCGAACTAATCATTCCAGAACAAGCCCAATGCCAAGGCAGTGCAAAAAGGCAGGGTAGTGAGGTGGTGAAGGGGTAACATGAGGCATGCCACTCCTTTGGGGAGTATTTGTCCCTTTGTCCCAAATGGTTAACATGCAAGATGGAGATGCAGTCGAGACCAGAGACCGGGGACTCCTGAGACAACCACATGGACTTGAAACAGCAACAAATGTTGGATGGACACATGGGAATGAGGGATGCTCATGATGAGCCAAGAACTGAGTACCTGGACTCCTGGAGAATATCGCCTCTTCTGGGCCTGAGAGGGTCCAGCAGGTTATGATAAAAACAAGAGAGGGCACAGAAGACAGGAGACCAAGTCAGAAAGACACAGCCACAGAAGAGCTATGACCCAGCTGTGATGGATGAACAAACCAACTTAAATCCCCAAACAGAATTTTAGGGTCCCTGAAGGGCATCCGTGAAGTCTTTGCACCCTCAAGATGATAGGCAAAACCATATGCACGGGTGCTTGTACATTTTTCTGAGGAGAGGGTCTGTTACTATATCAGATTCTCAAAGGGGTCCCCTAGGAAGACCGCTCTAACCCATAGAGGGTCCTGAAGCTTTTGGAAGGCACTTTATAAAACACATAGCAGTACGCTGTCCAGGCACGCCGCACTTATGTCTCTGGGAGTCAGTCTCAAGTTTGTCTGTACCCAGCCTACTGTATTTCTATAGCAAGGGGAAAGAGGAGACAACAGGGCTAAATTCTTCCAAATTCAAGACATCCTTTACTATCCAGGATCTCAGGAAACAGCTCCTGCCCAGAAGACCAAAATCTTGCCACTTGAGAGACTATGAAACTAACTCTAATCCAAAGGGATCACTTACCCTCTAACTGAGCCTTATGGTCATATATTCCCAAATAACTATTGTCATTCTAACCTACCACACATAGGCAAGGAAGAAGCTCCATGGAGGCATTGCAGAATGACAGATTTAGAAAATCATCAGGCGTGAGGGTATTAAGCTCTGCTCCAGCAAACAGCTGCAGTTCTAAGCCATTAGCGACAAGAGGTACCTACACAAGCTCAGCTCAGCTCTGCCCTGTGGGACAGGTAGGCGAGGGTACAGAACTCAAACCCTTCACTCCTTTAATACGGTGAACACCTACTACAAGCCAGGTACTGTTCCAGATGCTGAGGGTCCAAAGAGAAACAAGACAGACAGGAATGGAATTAAGATCAGAGTGGAAGAAACAAACAACAAAGAAGCAAATAAAATTATTTCAGATAGTGAAAAATGCTATAAGGAAAATAAAATAGGTAATACAAGGGATGGGCAAGGGAACCTCTCCCTGAGGAGGCAATATCTGAGCTGAGACTCAAGTAATTAGAGGGAGTCCACCAAAAGATCTGAGGGCACAAGAAGCATGAGGGTGGCACATTCAAGGAACTGGAAACAGATCAGTCAGAATCACAGCTTGTGAGAAGAGGCTGCCATGAGGCAAGGCAGCACCCACGGCACTGGGCTCCATGGGCCACAGCCAGGAGTCCGAGGCTGCAGTGCAGATCCCCTGCCGTCCTCCTCTTAACACCACTGGCAGAATTCATACAGGACACAGAAAGGCATGACATCAATCCGTGGATGATTAAACTGGCATGAAGTTAATCTTCAACAACTACCATTTAGAACAAGGAAATGGTGAGCATGTTATCAAGCAGTTTACAGAAACTGGCATCTGAGAGTATGCTCATAATTTCAGTGACAATTAAGAAAAAGGGATTAAAAATGCCCTGTGGAGCTCTGATGAGCCCAAGGCTTCCTTCACTCATCACCTCTAGTAACCCTGATTAGAAGTTTAAGTTGCAACTTTAAAGAGATAGCAATCTCCTATGTTAGCTTGCTTAGAAAATAAACAAATAATAAAGAGACAGCAATCCTTAGCCTAAGGGTGCCTTACTCTTCCCAAGGCTGGTGTGGACCCAGTTCCAGGTAACAGCCAGAGGCATGCTGGACCTTGGGAGCACCTGAAGGAGCTTGTTAACTGCACGTATACATGGGTCCCTCAGTCAAAGAGTCTCATTCGTATGGCTAGAGTGGGGTGCAGGATTGTTTTTTGTTTGTTTTTTTGAGATGGAGTCTCACTCTGTCACCCAGGCTGGAGTGCAGTGGCGAAATCTTGGCTCACTGCAACCTCCACCTCCTGGGTTCAAGCAATTCTCCTGCCTCAGCCTTATGAGTAGGTGGGATTACAGGCGCTCGCCACCATGCCCAGCTAATTTTTGTATTTTTAGTAGAGATGGGGTTTCACCATGTTGGTCAGGCTGGTCTCGAACTCCTGATCTCGTGATCTGCCCGTCTTGGCCTCCCAAAGTGCTGGGATTACAGGCGTGAGCCACCGCACCCAGCCAGGATTATGTATTTTTAAAAAGCACCACAGAAGGCTGTGATGTGCAGCCAAATTGAAGAAACGCTGCACCAGACAGGGAGCCTCACAGCTTTGCAACTACAGAGAATCTGTCTACTTCGGCAACACGAGTTGGCCTTCAACTTTTAACCTCACATTAGTGTAAGTCACTAAATGCCATCTTATTTTCTACGCCTAGTCAAGAGTTCCTGGAAGTATTTCTTGGATAACCACTAATTTCACACAGGAGCAATTTTGTTTTTCCCCTAGAAAGCACTCTGTAAGTTAGAACCAAAGATTGAAGAATCACACTGGTTCAGGCAAGGTGGTAGTTTTATTCCTAATTTAAGAGTCACCAGAAAGGAGAAACTCTCACCTGTTTTATCATCCAAAGGACTGTTGTTTAAAGGGTGGAGAAATGTTTTCAACTTTTTGTACTACAAGACTACTTTTAAAAAAGTGTTTTTTGAAGACCTCTACGGGATAACTGTATCTTCAGCATATTTCGATGGAAAAGACACCCATTAGCTTGTGGATTTATGGATTCTAGGCTAAAATTCCAAATGGCCTCTGTAATTAGGGAGACCTGAGTTCTAACTGCAGTTATGTCACTTATAGCTGTGTAACCCTTCGGTGGATTACATCACCTCTTTGAGATTCTATTTCCTCACTGTAAACAGAACAATACAAAGCTCACAGGGTTCATTATGAAGATGAAATGAGATATGCGAAGCATTTAGTACAATGTCTTGGTGTTCAGGAGGGAGTCAATAAACATTCAATCAGTGACTAGTGTATTTCTAGATACAAATATCGTTCACAGGTACTCATATATATATAAACACAAAGCCAAACATACATCTTCTAAAGCACGAATTCCCAGACCACTGGCTGTGATCAACCATTAATATTTCCAAAAATATTTTGGAGAGTATTAGATTTGGCTTCTTTTTATTGCCTACTAAAAATATTAAAATACAATAATGACAGAACAATCATCTATAATAAACATCATTTTACAAAGGGACACTTTAACACCAAAAGATGAGAGAGAACAATGTAATTTCATAATGAAACAACTGAATACATTTAGCACTTAAGAAAAAGAACTTCATTATTATGATTCTTGCACCAGTGAAAACTCTGTTACCACACAACTGGAGTTCATACACTGGCATCTAGGAGCCACTCTTTTAGAGCAGTGTTTCCATCTCAAACCATACCATTGTCTAGTAAGCTGACCATTTGCTTTTGGGAACCCAGATGTGAAGAAGTGAAGGAGGGGAGAGGAAGAGAGAACAGAACTAAGATGTTTGCAAAATGTCCCTTAGGAATCCACTGAATGGTGTGAATAATAGCTGGTGTTTATTGAGCACTTAGTCTGTGCCAGGCACTGAACTCAGTAATGAGCCCTTCTGCATTTAATTCTCACAATCCTATGAGGTAGTATCAGTACTCCTCATTTCACAGGTAAAAAACTTGTCCAGGATAACACAGGCATTAAGTAGTGAAATCAGGATTTGAAACCAAGTATTCTGGCTCCAGAGCCCTGACTCAATCACTGGGATACACTGCTTTCAATATCTCTCAATATGGAAAAATGTTTCATATGTATTATTTTTTTAAAATCAGGTCTAAACAGTATGTACTCTGAAGCACAAAGAGAACGCTGAGAATAGTTCCAGATTAAAGGAGAGTAACAACTGAATACAACACAGGATCTGGGACTTTCTTTCATTATAAAGGACATATTGGGACAATAGGTGAAATATGAATAAGGCCTGCAGATTAGATAATGGTATTGTTACAAATGTTAACTTCCTGATTTTGATCACTGTGCTGTGGCTACATAAAATAACTTTTTTTTTTAAACACACACACACACACAAGTATTTAGGATTAAGGAGACATCATGAGAGCAATTTACTCTTAGTTCAGAAAAAAAGACACACAAGCACAAACATACACGCAAGACACATACACACAGACACACACACACAAAGAAAGAGGTTAAAGAAAAGGATGGCCAGGTGTGGTGGCTCACACCTATAATCCCAGCACTTTGGGAAATGAAGGTGGGAGGATTGCTTGACCCTAGGAGTTTGAGACCAACCTGGGCAACATGGCAAAACCCCATCTCTACAAAAAGATAGCTGGGCTTGGTGGCATGCACCTGTAGTCCCAGCTACTTGGGAGGCTGAGATGGGAGGCTCTATTGAGCCTGAGAAGTTGAGGCTACACTAAGCTGTGATTGTGCCACTGCACTCCACCCTGGGTGACAAAACCAAACCCTGTGTCGGAAAAAAAAAAAAAAAAAAAAGGACGGCCAGGCGCAGTAGCTCACACCTGTAACCCCAGCACTTTGTGAGGCCGAGGCAGGTGGATCACCTGAGGTCGGGAGTTCGAGACCAGCCTGACCAACACGGAGAAACCCCGTCCCTATTAAAAATACAAAATTAGACGGGCATGGTGTCATATGCCTGTAATCCCAGCTACTCAGGAGGCTGAGGCAGGAGAATCGCTTGAACCCAGGAGGCAGAGGCCACAGTGGGCCAAGATCGTGCCACTATACGCCAGTCTGGGCAACAAGAGCAAAACTCTGTCTCTAAAAAAAAAAAAAAAAATAGGGACAAAGCAAATGTAGTAAAACATTAACATTTTCGGAAATCTGGGTGAAGAACATTCCAAAATTCTCTTGTTATATTTTTTCCCCCTAAAGGACCAACTTTTTTTTCTTTTGAGATGAAGTCTCACTCTTGTCCTCCAGGCTGGAGTGCAATGGCGCGATCTCGGCTCACTGCAACCTCCACCTCCCGGGTTCAAGCGATTCTCCTGCCTCAGCCTCCCAACTAGCTGGGATTACAGGCACCTGCCACCAAGCCCGGCTAATTTTTGTATTTTTAGTACAGACAGGGTTTCACCATGTTGGCCAGGCTAGTCTCAAACTCCTGACCTCAGGTGATCCACCCGCCTTGGCTTCCCAAAGTGCTGGGATTACAGGCGTGAGCCACTGTGCGTGGCCGGTTGTATTCTTATAACTTAATCATAAGCACAAAATTATTATCAAATAAAGATTAATCTGAATCTAGTATTTACCATACAATTTTTCTGCTTTTCTCAATTTTTCTATATATCTGCAATTTTTTAAACATTTAAAAAGGTTTTAAAAACAGTATTTACAACATGATACAATGTCTTTGTTTTTAAAGATGTTTGTACGCTTTTGTTTTTTCAGCATTTTCTAATTCTCCTGTAATGTATATAAAAATAATTAACAAAACAAATGCCTTCTACTAGATGCTACTAAATGTGAAGCATCTCCCACCACACCTCCATTTCATCCTCCCTGGGATCACTAGCGGAACACACTGTCACTTACACACGTAGACCTGTCACTTTTTCAAAGCTGTATAAGCTGCTGGTCCTACAATAATCTTCATCTAGCCCTTTATGCAGAAATCCAGACAAAGAGGAGACAATACCCATCCTATTTAAAGTGAAAAGAAGATCAGTGAGATTCGTTACACATTACTAGGCAGCCTGAGAAGGCCCTTGCTCTGTAAGCCCCCAGACTCCCACAAAGCTATGCTAGGGACTCTGTCCCCAGGACTCACAGCTTCTCAACTGGAGGACACAGAAAAGTGGCACTTCCAGGTCTGGAAACCTTCATATAATTGAATATCATCACGCTCTCTTAAGAAACTCACGGAATGATCTCAATCTCATTTATCTTAGTCCTCAAATCAAGTAATTTGAGGACTTCAATAAAGAGTACTCCAAAATCAGGAGACTAAATTTGAGGTGTGCCCCAAGCACTGACCTTTATAACCTACCCACCCAGATTACAAGTACCAAGTTTCAGAATAGAGCCCATTATGTATGTCTTTATTTCACTGCTGACCATCATTCTGATAGTATGTCAATACTTCTTGTTAATGAGAAGAGCCATCAATTCTATAGAACAGGAGATCTTCAGATCTCCTAAAATCATGTCAACTCTTCTGTGTACATGCCTCTTTCTTGGGTCCAACACTTTAATCAGAGTCTCGAAAGGGTCAAAGCCCAAAGAAAAGAACTAACCCAGGAATAAGCATCCTCTGGAGCACTGGCCCTTGCTTTCTTCCTTTCTCCCTCTTTCACTGTCTCAGAAAAGAAACATGTTAAAATTCTCTCTGCCAACAGTAAAGAGACCACTTTGGGATCAGTGTCTTCATCAAGACAAAGACTTAAGGGGACTGAGTG
This sequence comes from Homo sapiens, assembly GCF_000001405.40. NCBI lineage: Eukaryota > Metazoa > Chordata > Mammalia > Primates > Hominidae > Homo > Homo sapiens. Next base: position 96,719,476 of record NC_000002.12, read on the forward strand.
TGGTGGCTCATGCCTGTAATCCTAGCACTTCGGGAGGCCAAGGGAGGAGGTCACTTGAGTCCAAGAGTTCAAGACCAGCCTTGAAAACATAGCAAGACCGTATCTCTACAAAAAAAAAAAAATTTTTTTTCTTTTTTTGACACAGAGTCTCACTCTGTTGCCCATGCTGGAGTGCAGTGGCGTAATCTCGGCTCACTGCAACCTCCGCCTCCCAGGTTCAAACAATTCTTCTGCCTCAGCCTCCCAAGAAGCTGGGATTATAGGCATGCGCCATATCCCAGCTAATTGTTGTATTCTTATTAGAGACAGGGTTTCACCATGTTGGCCAGGCTGGTCTCGAACTCCTGACCTCAAGTGCTGGGATTATAGGCATTGGCCACTGCACCTGGCCAAAAAAAGTAAAAATTAACCTGGCATGATGGCCACCTGTAGTCCCAGTTATTCAGAAGGCTGAGGCAGGAAGACTGCTTAAGCCTAGGAGTTCGAGGCTGCAGTGAGCTATCACTGTGCCACTGCACTCCATCCTGGGCGATAGAATGCAAGACTCAGTCTCAAAAGAAAAAAAAAAGACTTGAGGAAATGTTTTTTTAACTGGATGGCATGGTATTGTTAAATTTTCTTCCAGTTCAAAGGAGGAAAAAACAATCATCACATCAAAAAAAAGTATGAGGAGTATCTCAAAGTATGGGGAATACCTCAAAAACAACTCCCAAGCTCTTCTCCCCACTCTCTAGCTATTTCTGCCTCCCCAGGGGTGAGGCCCAAACATCTCACAGAAAAGAATGAAGGCCAAGACCGCAACGGTTACACTCTGTGCTCTCATTCCAGGAAGGCCTCTTCTCATTCATTACGCTCTGATTTCAACGGAAGCACATTGTAGCTCCAAGATTGCTACTGACTTCCCTGCAACTTTTCACCAACATCTGGGTAGGTTTGTGTGAGAAAGTGATGATCATCAGCTGATGACTTGATAGTGCAAGATAATCAGGTTATCTTTACCTTTTTTTTTTTTTTGATTTTTTGTAGAGATGAGGACTTGCTATGTTGCCTAGGCTGGTTTCAAACTCCTGGACTCAAGCTATCTTCCTGCCTTGGCTTCCCAAAGTGCTGGGATTATAGGCACGAGCTACTGTGCCTGCCCACTGGTGATCTTTTAATCAACATTAAAAAATAACTACAATACAGCCAGGCGCGGTGACTCACGCCTGTAATCCCAGTGCTTTGGGAGGCTGAGGCGGGCAAATCACAAGGTCAGGAGTTCGAGACCAGCCTGGGCAACATGGTGAAACCTCGTCTCTACTAAAAATACAAAAATTAGCCAGGCGTGGTGGCAGGCACCTGTAATCCCAGCTACTCGGAATGCTGAGGCAGGAGAATCACTTGAACCTGGGAGATGGACGTTGCAGTGAGCCAAGATCACGCCACTGCACTCCAACCTGGGCGACAGGGTGAGACTCAGTCTCAAAAAAAATAAATAAAATAAATAACTACAACACTGAGATATAATTCACAGTCCACACAATTCACTTAAAGTATATAATTCAATGGCATTTAGTATATTCAGAGTTAAGATTATGATTACCACAACCAATTTTAAAACATTTTCATCACCCCAAAAAAAAATCTCATGCCCACTAGTAGTCACTCTCCTCATCTCCACCCCACATTACCCCAGCCCTAGACAACCACTAATCTACTTTCTGTCTCTACAGATTTGCCTATTCTGGACATTTCATATGCATGGGATCATACAATGTGTGGGTCTTTTGTGACTGGCTTCTTCCACTTAGCATAGTGTTTTCATGGGTCATCCATGTTGGAGCACATATCGATACTTAATTTCTTTCAGTCTTTTTTTTTTTTTTTTTTTTTTTTGAGACAGGGTCTTGCTATGTCACCCAGGCTGGAGTGCAGTGGTGTGATCAAGGCTCATTGCAACCTCGAGGTCCTGGGCTCAAGTGATCCACTCACCTTGGTCTCCTAAAGTGCTAGAATTACAAGTGTAAGCCACTGTGCCTGGCAATTACTCCTACTTTGTTTTTTTTTTGAGACAGTCTTGCTCCATCGCCCAGGCTACAGTGCAGTGGCAATCATAGCTCACTACAGCCTTGACCTCCTGGACTCAAGCAATCCTCCTGCCTCAGCCTGCAAAGTAGCTGGGACCAGCTAATTTTTTTTGTTTTTTGTAAAGATGGGGTCTCCCTATGTTGCCCAAGCTGATCTAAAACTCCTAGACTCAAGCAATCCTTCCACCTTGGCCTCCCAAAGTGTTGGGATTATAGGCACGAGCCACCACACCCAGTGATACTTATTTTCATTGCTGATATTTCCATTATAACAATATATCACATTTTGTTTATCCTCTAATCCAGTAGTCCTCAACCTTTTTGGCACCAGGGACTGGTTTCCTGGAAGACAATTTTTCCATGAACCGGGGAGTTGGAGGGGGGGTGGTTTCGGGATGATTCAAGCACATTACATTTATTGTGTACTTTCTTTCTTTTTTTTTTGAGACGGAGTCTCACTCTGTTGCCCAGGCTGGAATCCAGTGGCGCGATCTTGGCTCACTGCAAGCTCCGCCTGCCAGGTTCACGCCATTCTCCTGCCTCAGCCTCCCGAGTAGCTGGGACCATAGGTGGCCGCCACCACGCCCGGCTAATTTTTTTGTATTTTTAGTAGAGACGGGGTTTCATCGTGTTAGCCAGAATGGCCTCAATCTCCTGACCTCGTGATCCGCCCACCTTGGCCTCCCAAAGTGTTGGGATTACAGGCGTGAGCCACCGCACCCGGCCTGTGTACTTTATTTCTATTATTATCACGTTATAATATATAATGAAATAATTATACAGCTCACCATGATGTAGAAATCAGCGGGAACCCTAAGCTTGTTTTCCTGCAACTAGATAGTCCCATCTGGGGGTGATGGGAGACAGTGACAGATCATCAGGCATTAAATTCTCCTAAGGAGAAAACTAGATCCCTCGCATGCTCAGTTCATAAGAGGGCTCCTGCTCCTATGAGAATCTAATGCCACCACTGATCTGAGAGGAGGCGGAGCTCAGGCAGTAATGAGAGCAATGGGGAGCAGCTGTAAATACAGATAATGCTTCACTTGCTCGCCCACCATTCACCTGCTGTGCAGCCTGGTTCCTAACAGGTTGGGGACCCCTGCTCTAATCAGTTGATGGACATTTAAGTTGTATCCATTTCTTGGCTATTATGAATAATGCTGCTATGAACATTCATATAAAAGTTTTTGTGTAGGCCGGGTGCAGTGGCTCATGCCTATAATCCCAGCACTTTGGGAGGCCAAGGCGGGCGGATAACTTGAGGTCAGGAGTTTGAGACTAGCCTGGCCAACATGGCAAAACCCGTATCTACTAAAAATGTAAAAATTAGCCAGGCGTGGTGGCAGGCGCCTGTAATCCCAGCTGCTTGGAAGTCTGAAGCAGGGGAATCACTTGAGCCCAGGAGGCAGAGGTTGCAGTGAGCTGAGATCACGCCACTGCACTTCATACTGGGCAACAGAGCAAGACTCCATCTCAAAAAAAAAAAAGTTTTGTGTAGATGTTTTCATTTCTCTTAGGTACACACCTATGAGTGGAATTGCTAGATCATGTAAAGTCTATGTTTAGTCATTTGAAGAAATGTCAAACTTTTCCAAAGCAACTACACCATTTTACATTCCCACCAGCAGTCTATGAGGGTTCCAATTACTCCATATCCTTGCCAACACTTCTAATCTTTTTTATTTTAGCCATTCTAGCGGGTGTAAAGTAGTGTCTTATGGTTTTAATTTGCATGTCCCTGATGGCTGATGATGCTCAGCCTCTTTTCAAGCTTCTTGGCCACTTGTATATCTCTTCTAGAGAAATACCTATTAAGATCTTTTGCCCATTTTCTAATTTGGTTGTCTTACTATTGAGTTGTAATAGTTCTTTACGTTTCAAACAAATCTCTAATAAGATATGATTTGCATATATCTTTTCCCATTCTGTAGGTTCTTTACATTTCCTTGATGATGTCCTATGAAACACGTAAGGTTTCAATTTTGATGAAGTTCAATTTATCCTTTTCTTTCGTTGCTTTTTCTTTTGGTGTCACATCTAACAACTGCCTGATCCAAAGTCAAGAAGAATCAATCCGATATTTTTTTTTTCTAAAAGTTTTATAGTTTTAATTTTTACATTTAGATCTTTCATCCATTTCGAGTTAAATTTTCTGTGTGGTGTGAAATAGGGAATAACTTCATTATTTTACACGTGGATAACTAGTTGTTGAAAAGATGATTCTTTCCCCATTGAATTATCTTGTGGAAAATTAATTGATTAGACCGGGCACGGTGGCTCACGCCTGTAATCCCAGCACACTGGGAGGCCGACGCGGGTGGATCACGAGATCAGGAGATCGAGACCATCCTGGCTAATATGGTGAAACCCCATCTCTACTAAAAACATATATATTAAAAAAAAAAATAGCCAGGCGTGGTGGCAGGCACCTGTAGTCCCAGCTACTCGGGAGGCTGAGGCAGGAGAATGGCGTGAACCCAGGAGGCAGAGCTTGCAGTGAGCCGAGATCGTGCCACTGCACTCCAGCCTGGGAGACAGAGCGAGACTCTGTCTCAAAAAAAAAAAAGAAAGAAAAAGAAAATTAATTGATTAAATGTGACGTTTTATTTCCAGACTCTCAGTTCTATTCCATTGATCTGTATGTCTACCCAGATGCCAGTAGCACACTGTCTTTATTATTGTAGCTTTGTAGTAAGTTTTGAAATCAGGAAGTGTGAGCATTCCAACTTCACTGTTTGTCAAGATTATTTTGGTTATTCTGAGTCCCTTGAATTTCCATATGGATGTTAAGATCAGCTTGTGAATTTTTGCCAAGAAGCCAGCTAAGTTTTTGAGAGGTAGGGACTGCATAGAGCAATGTGGGGAGTACTGCTATCTTAACAATACCAAGTCTTCCAATCCATGCCATAGAACATCTTTCCATTTACATGGATCTTCTTTAATTTCCTCCAATAATTTTTTTTACTTTATTTCATTTTTGAGACAGGGTCTTGCTCTGTTACTGAGGCTAGAGTGCAGCGATGCGATCGTGGCTCACTGTGGACTCACCCTCCTGAGCAAACCTCCACCTCAGCCTCCCGGGTAGCATGCATCACCCACCACACCAGGCTAATTTTTTTTGAGACAGAGTCTTGCTCTGTTGCCCAGGCTGGAGTGAAGTGGCGCAATCTCAGCTCACTGTAGCCTCCGCCTCCCAGGTTCAAGCAATTCTCCTGCCTCTGCCTCCCGAGTAGCTGGGACTACAGGCGCACACTGCGAAGCTCAGCTAATTTTTTTATTTTTATTTTTATTTATTTATTTTTTTTTTGATGGAGTCTTGCTCTGTCGCCCAGGCTGGAGTGCAGTGGCGCGATCTTGGCTCACTGCAAGCTCCGCTTCCCGGGTTCATGCCATTCTCCTGCCTCAGCCTCCCAAGTAGCTAGGACTACAGGCGCCGCCACCATGCCTGGCTAATTTTTTTGTATTTTTAGTAGAGACGGGGTTTCACCGTGTTACCCAGGATGGTCTCGATCTCCTGACCTCGTGATCCGCCTGCCTCAGCCTCCCAAAGTGCTGGGATTACAGGCGTGAGCCACAGCGCCCGGCCTATATTTTTAATAGAGACGGGGTTTCACCATCTTGGCCAGGATGGTCTTGATCTCCTGACCTCGTGATCTACCCGTCTCAGCCTCCCAAAATCCCTCCCCTGTTGGGATTACAGGTGTGAGCCACCACGCCTGGCCTAATTTTATTTTTTGTAGAGACAAGATCTTGCTGTGGTGCCCAGGCTCATTTCAAACACCTGGCCTAAGGTGATTCTCCCACTTCAGCCTCCCACAAGTGCTGGGATTATAGGTGTGAGCCACCACACCTGGCCCCAACAATATTTTGTAGTTGTCAAAGTTTTTCTATTAAATTTTCTTTTTTTTTTTTTTTTGAGACGGAGTCTCGTTCTGTCACCCAGGCTGGAGTGCAGTGGCGTAATCTTGGCTCACTGCAACCTCCACCTCCCAGGTTCACGCCATTCTCCTGCCTCAGCCTCCCAAGTAGCTGGGACTACAGGCGCCCGCCACCATGCCCGGCTGATTTTTTTGTATTTTTTTAGTAGAGACGGGGTTTTACCATGTTACCCAGGATGGTCTCGATCTCCTGACCTTGTCATCTGCCCGCCTCAGCCTCCCAAAGTGCTGGGATTACAGGCGTAAGCCACCGCACCCGGCCAAATTTACTTCTAAGTATTTTATTCTTTTTGATAACACTGCAAATGGAGTTGTTTTCTCATTTCATTTTCAGATTGTTCACTGAAAATATATAGAAATAAACCTGATTTGCCAGGCGCGGTACCTCACGCCTGTAATCCCAGCACTTTGGGAGGCCGAGGCAGGTGATCATGAGGTCAGGAGTTCAAGAACAGCCTGACCAACATGGTGAAACCCCATCTCTACTAAAAATACAGAAATTAGCCAGGCGTGGTAGCACGTGCCTGTAATCCCAGCTACTCTGGAGGCTGAGGCAGAAGAATCACTTGAACCCAGGAGGCGGAGGTGGCAATGAGCAGAGATCATGCCACTGCATGCCAACCTGTGTGACAGAGCAAGACTCCGTCTCAAAAAAGAAAAAAAAAAAGAAATAAACCTTTTTAATAATATTTTATAATATTTTTGCATATTTTATAATATTTTTGCATACTGATCTCGTATCCTTCAACCTTGCTAAATTCATTTAGTAGTTCTAATAGGTTTTTTTTTGTGGATTCCTTAGGATTTTCCATATTCTGTCATCTGCAAATAGAAATAGTTTTACTTCCTTTCCAATCTGAATGTCTTTTATTTCACTTTCATGTCTCTTGCCCTAGCTAGGTCCTCCAGTACAACGTTAAACAGAAGTGATAAGAGTGAATATCCTCATTTTATTCCTGATCTTAGAAGGAAAGAATTCAACTGTTTACCACTAAATATGTTAGCCGTGGGTTTTTCTAGCCAAGCACAGTAGCTCACGCCTGTAATCCCAGCACTTTGGGCGGCCGAGATGGGCAGATCACCTGAGGTCAGGAGTTTGAGACCAGCCTGGCAAACATGGCAAACTCCCGTCACTACTAAAAATACAAAAACTTAGCTGGGAGTGGTGGTGGGCGCCTGTAATCCCAGCTGCTCAGGAGGCTGGGGCAGGAGAATTGCTTGAACCCAGGAGGTGGAGATTGCAGTGGGCAGAGATCATGCCACTGCACTCCAGCCTGGGTGACAGAGCAAGATTCTGTCTCAAAAAAAATAAAAAGGTTGGGTGCAGTGGCTCACTCACACCTGTAATCCCAGCACTTTGGGAGGTCGAGGCGGGCAGATCACTTCAGGTCAGGAGTTCAAGACTAGCCTGATCAACATGGTGAAACCCCGTCTCCACTAAAAACACAAAAATTAACCAGGTGTGGTGGTGCACGTCTGTAATCTCACCTACTTGGGAGGCTGAGGCAGGAGAATTGCTTGAACCCGGGAGGCAGAGGTTGCAGTGAGCCAAGATCACGCCACTGCATTCCAGCTCAGGTGACAGAGCGAGACTCTATCTCAAAAAAACATAAAAATAAAAAATGTGTGTGTGACACACACACAAACACATATATATATATATTAGCTGTGGGTTTTTTCATAGATGCCCTTTATCAGGTTGAGGAAATCCTCTTCTATTCCTAATTTGTTGAGTGTTTTTATTATCAAGAGGTATGAAATTTTGTCACTTTTTCTCTATCTATTGAGATGATTATATGTTGTTTGTCCTTTAGTTTACTAATGTGGTATATTATACTAATTTTCAGATGTTAAACCACAGTTGAGGGGCCGGGTGCGGTGGCTCATGACTGTAATCCTAGCACCTTGGGGGGCCAAAGCAGGCAAAGCACTTGAGCATAGCAGTTTGAGACCAGCCTAGGCAACATGGCGGAACCCTGTCTCTACAAAAAATACAAAAATTAGCCAGGTGTGGTGGCGCATGCCTGTGGTCCCAGCTACTGGGAAGGAGGCTGAGGTAGGAGGATTGAGCCTATATACTGAAGTCTCTCACCCTCTTCTCAGATGCATTACTGGTTGCTATGATTTTCCCAATATTTTCTCATGAACAAATGTGGTAAGAGGTTGAGCAACAGGGTCATGTGGACTCTCGTGACAAGGAAACAAGAAACCAGAAAAATGTTTTTACCACTGTCTTGAGGAATTTCATGAATTGTTCCACACGCCCTCCTACCTGCTCCTTGTCTTCCTTGTCTAGGACATCTTCTGCACACATACCACGGTCATTTGTAAGTTCTCAAAAGGTACAGTATTTGTCACCCTCTTTTAATGAGCTCAAAATAATAAAGCAATAATAATCAGACTGGAGTCTCTGGAGTCAGACCCACTACGTGTGTGACACTAACAAGTTCTGTAACCTTTCTACATGCACTTCAGTTTCTTACCCACAAAATAGAGATAATACTATCATCTACCCCAAAAGGTTGTTATGATAAGTAAATAATGTATGTGAAAGTGCTTAGAACAATGCCTGGCGCCTTTATGTATATTGAAGTAAACCATGCCACTGACAAACACATTTGATTTTACCCTCTTAGATAGTTGTAGGGTGTTGGGATGTAGAAAGGAAGATACTTTCCATACTCTCTGGACTGAATATAAGATCTAAGAACTGAAATTGCACTGGCCAGGCGCGGTGGCTCACGCCTGTAATCCCAGCACTTTGGGAGACCGAGGCGGGCGGATCACGAGGTCAGGAGATCGAGAGGAGATCGAGACCATCCTGGCCAACACGGTGAAAACCCGTCTCTACTAAAAATACAAAAAATTAGCCGGGCGTGGTTGCAGGTGCCTGTAGTCCCAGCTACCCAGCTATTCCGGAGGCTGAGGCAGGAGAATGGCCTGAACCCAGGAGGCGGACCTTGCAGTGAGCTGAGATCGCACCACTGCACTCCAGCCTGGGCAACAGAGCAAGACTCCGTCTCAAAAAAAAAAAAAAAAAGAAATTGCACAGGACAGCATATGAACATAATATTAACAGGCTGGGTGCGGTGGTTCACGCTTGTAATCCTAGCAGTTTGGGAGGCCGAGGCGGGTAGATTACTTGAAGTCTGGAGTTTGAGACCAGCCTGGCCAACGCAGTGAAACGCCGCCTCTACTAGAAATACAAAAATTAGTCAGATGTGGTGGTGTGTGCCTGTAATCAGCCAGACTGGGTGGAGTGTGCCTGAAATCCCAGCTACCCCAAAGGCTAAGGCAGGAGAATCACTGAACCCAGGAGGCGGAGGTTGCAGTGAGCCGAGATCATGCCACTGCACTCCAGCCTGGGTAACAGAGCAAGACTCCATCTCGAAAAATAAAATAAAATAAGGCCAGGCGCAGTGGCTCACCCCTGTAATCTCAGCATTTTGGGAGGCTAAGGTGGGCAGATCACGAGGTCAGGAGATCAAGACCATCCTGGCTAACACGGTGAAACCCCATGTCTACTAAAAATATAAAAAATTAGCTGGGCGTGGTGGCAGGTACTTGTAGTCCCAGCTACTCAGGAGGCTGAAGCAGGAGAATGGCGTGAACCCGGGAGGCGGAGCTTGCAGTGAGCTGAGATCGCACCACTGCACTCCAGCCTGGGCGACAGAGCAAGACTCTGTCTCAAAAAAATAAATAAATAAAATAAAATAAAACAAAATAATAATAATAAATGTCTCTATTCTCAAGAAAGAAGTCAACCTGACAGAAAAAAAAAAGGATGGGAGCTGGTAGAACATCATAGATAAAAGCACAGCTTCTGGAATCTGGTGGACCTGTGCTTCACTTTATATCGACTATTACCTTGAAACAGACACTTAACTTCTCTAAGCCTGTTTACTCACTGGTAAAATGGGAAAAATACAGACTATAAGGAGGTTTGACGAGGATTAAGACAATATTTGCAAAGTACCTGGCACACAGCAGCCATCTAATAAACAGCAAGTGATTTTATTTTTTTTTTAATGGCTTTTTTTTTTGAGACAGAGTCTTGCTCTTGTCGCCCAGGCTGGAGTGCAAGGGCATGATCTTGGCTCACTGCAACCTCCGTCTCCCAGGTTCAAGTGATTCTCCTGCCTCAGCCTCCCAAGTAGCTGGGACTACAGGCGCCCGCCACCACACCTGGCTAATTTTGTATTTTTAGTAGAGACAGGGTTTCACTATGTTGGCCAGGCTGGTCTCGAACTCCTGACCTTGTGATCTGCCCGCCTCAGCCTCCCAAAGTGCTGGGATTACGGGTGTGAGCCACCGCGCCCGGCCTTAAATTTAGTTTTATAAGGATAAAAGGAACCCATGTTAGTCCAAGGGTTCTCAACCTCGGCTATACATGTGAATCTCCTGGAAAGCTTTAAAAGAGGAAGGCTGCCTAGACTGCACTTCAGACGAACTGAATCAGAAGCTCTGGGGTTGGGACTGGATGTCAATATTTTTAAAAGTTCTCCAGGGAATTACAATGTGCACTTGGAAGTAAGAACCACAATAGCTAGCCAGAAAAGATGTCTCAATTTTTACCATCTAAAATAAATTTTTTTTAATTAACATCTACAAAATCCTTACAAAATAAACCCAAGTCAGAATTTCTACTTTCTCAAACCAGAATTACTACTATCTCATGGTGAAATGGAAGCTAACAGAGTTTGAACAATTTGTTTCTGGAAGAAACAGAGAGACAAGTTTAAAACTCTTGTCAGGCCCTAAAGCTGATAACTCTTATTCAGATCCATTTCTAACTACCACTATTTCCTCAGCATGACTACAAATCCAGTCATGATCCTCTCTTCAATAAAATCCTTTAATGTACCTACCCCTTCAGAATCAAGTCCAGACTCCTCAACAGGAACACAATCCTTCAGAACTTGGCCCCAAGTGGTATATGGTGAGCATGAGTCACATACATTCAGTCTGCTCTGGCTCTCATCTAAACAGTTCAGCCACCAACCACCCAAGCAGATGCCAGTCAGTCTCAGCGGCTAGTTAACATGCCGAGGCTACAGTGTTAATATTGTAGAATGCAAGGTGAACAGCAGCCCTAGGAACTGTGCAACATAACAAGACTACTGGCCCTGCTTTTCATTCTAGCCTCATCTGTCTCTGATTCTACTTTATTTCCACACACTCATTATCCCCTCTCTCTCTCTTTTTTTTGAGATGGAGTTTCACTCTGTCGCCCAGGCTGGAGTGCAGTGGCGTGATCTCAGCTCACACTGCAACCTCCACCTTCCAGGTTCAAGCGATTCTCCTGCCTCAGCCTCCTGAGTAGCTGGGACTACAGAAGCATGCCACCACACCTGACTAATTTTTGTATTTTTAGTAGAGACGGGGTTTCGCCATGTTGGCCAGGATAGTCTCGGTCTCCTGACCTCGTGATCCACCCGCCTTGGCCTCCCAAAGTGCTGGGATTACAGGCATGAGCCACTGCACCCAGCCTCATCATCCCCTCTCTTAACCTTAGGACCTCGGCTTTTTTCCCTCTGCATGGGACACGGGTTCCTTACTCTGCAGACCTCAACCTAAAAGGCACTTCCTGGAAGAAGCCTTCCCCACTACCACCAACACTACTGCCCCACTTCAGGTTAGAAGCTCCTGCTGTGTCCTCCCATAGTGCCCCAGAGTTCCCCCATCAGCATTCTCAGTGCTACTGAGTACAAGGACCATGTTATCTTGCTCACTAATTCCCAGGGCCTGGCACCTAGAAAGTGGTTAATGTATGTGGAATGAAGAACAGCCCAGAAGGAACACAGAGAAGCAGCTGTAACTGATCCACAACAAAAGGTTATTCTCCTAACTCAGGTCTCACATTCCACCACCTTTAAAGTGAGCTCGCTGGGCACAGTGGCTCATACCTGTAACCCCACCACTTTGGGAGGCCAGGGTGGAGGAATCACCTGAGGTCAGGAGATGGAGACCATCCTGGCCAACATGGTGAAACCTTGTCTCTAAAAATACAAAAATTAGCTGGGCGTGGTGGCGTGTGCCTATAATCCCAGCTACTCAGGAGGCTGAGGCAGGAGAATGGCTTGAACCCAGGAGGTGTATGTAGGTTGCAGTGAGCCGAGATTGCACCACTGCACTCCAGCCTGGAGACGAGCGAGACTCCATCTCAAAAAATAAAAAAAATAAAAAATAAAAAGTGAGTTCTGTGGGAAATGTTAACAGCTGTTGAATCTAAGCATCACAGATACAATGATCATTCTCTATTCTTCTAATTTTTTTTGTTTATTTTGGTGACAGTCTTGCTCTGTTGCCCAGGCTGGAGTGCAGTGGTGTGATCTCAGCTCACTGCAACCTCCGCCTCCTGGGTTCAAGCCATTCTCCTGACTCAGCAACCTGAGTAGCTGGGATTACAGGCTGCAGTGCAATGGCGTGGTCTCAGCTCACTGCAACCTCCACCTCCCAGGTTCAAGTGACTCTCCCACCTCAGCCTCCCAAGTAGCTGGGACTACAGGTTAACACTAATACTAATAAAAATACTAATTTTTGTATTTTTAGTGGAGACAGGGTTTCATAATGTTGGCCAGGCTGGTCTCAAACTGCTAACCTCAAGTAATCTGCCCACCTCGGCCTCCCAAAGTGCTGGGATTACAGGCGTGAGCCACCATGCCTGGCCTTCTAATGTTTTTTAAGTTTGAAAATTTTCATAATAAACCTTTGAGGAAAAAAATAATGTGACCTTTGCCTCTATTTCTAATCCTGATTTCCTCGCTAGGTACTTAGCTACAGGATACCCAGCAACAACCTGTCATAATTTCCCACCATCTGATGGCAGTGCCGTAGGACATAGAGAGAGTACAAACCCACTGTCAATATAAGAAAGCAATAGCCGGGCATGGTGACTCACGCCTGTAATCCCAGCACTTTGGGAGGCCGAGACAGGCGGATCACGAGGTCAGGGGTTCGAGACCATCCTGACCAACATGGTGAAACCCCGTCTCTACTAAAAATACAAAAGTTAGCTGGGTGTGGTGGCATGCGCCTGTAGTCCCAGCTACGCGGGAGGCTGAGGCAGAAGAATAGCTTGAACCTGGGAGGCAGAGGTTGCAGTGAGCCGAGATCGCGCCACTGCACTCCAGCCTGGGCGACAGAGTGAGACTCTGTCTCAAAAAAAAAAAATTAAAAAAAAAAAAGAAAGCACTAAAAAACTCTTAGGTCAGGTAACAAAAAGGCCTGCCAACAGCCAGATACTAGGTTCCAACAAAATGCTGGGCTTTCATCAGTTTCCTTCTCGTTATAGCCTTTTCTTTCTTTCTTTTTTTTTTTTTTGAGACAAGAGTCTCACTCTGCTGCCCAGGGGGGAGTGCAATGGTGTGATTCTCTTGCCTCAGCCTCCCGAGTAGGTGGGATTACAGGCACCCACCACCACACCCATCTAATTTTTATATATTTAGTAGAGACGGGGTTTCACCATGTTGGCAAAGCTGGTCTCGAACTCCTGACCTCAGGTGATCTGCCCACCTCGGCCTCCCAAAGTGCTGGGCTTACAGGTGTTAGCCACCACACCTGGCCAATTATAGCCTTTTCTATAGGCGAGGAGAACTGTTCTTCAGGTCTGAGAAGAAGAAGAAGAAAAAGAAGCTGAAAAGTGTGTGCAAGTTGCAGAAGAGAGCACAGCACTGATGGATTAAAAGTCAGGGGAGGCTGAGTTACGTAAATTCAGCTTGCTCTGGTGCTGGTCTAGCAGCCAAATCACCAATCAACCAAACATGCTCAATTTTAGTGGCTATCTAATAGGCACAAGAGAGAACATGATTATCACTAAAGAAAAAGCCCCTGTTCAAGACAGCTATTCCCAAAAGACTGTGCACTCCTAAATAGTCCCTTTAGAAAAAAACACTGACAAGGACATTAACTTTCAAAGTTCAACAGATGAAGAACCCCTCACTTTCTATCTCCTTTGTTCCCTCCTGTACAACATTCCTGAGGCAAAGAACTGTGATGTCAGTGTAGCTGACCTAGGCTCTGACACTTGCCATTACCTCTTGCTGCTTCTCCTCATTGGGGTAGGTGTCTACAAATACTCCCAGCCCCACAAATTTGTCCATGTTTCCAAACACAGGCCCTAGAGAGAGAGAACAGATGATGAACAATGAAATAAAGCTAAGAGTTGATAAAGGAATAATATATCACTATGATGGAGGAAAAAGTAAAATTCAAATGACTCCCAAGCCTCTCTCAAGATGAGAAAACACATGTTTAAAAGTACCCAGCAAAGTGCATGGCCTGTAACAAGTGCCCAGTAAATATCTGTAATTGTTTGTTGTTGGAGGCAAGGGAAAGAGAGAAGGCCACTGCAACCTTATTTAGCACTCAGGCAGCTTCCTGATCCAAACTGGTTGCTAAGGTGCCCCTACAGAATTCTGCTTTACAAACAATTGGTAAAGACTATGCCCCCAAGAGAGAACTGAATTCCCTAGTTCTCCTTCTTGTTGCAAAAGAGATCAGGTCAAATCAGGTTGAGCCTGCCATCTACATGGAGCAATAATAGCTCTAACACAAGGAAAATAGATAACTCTTCTCTTGACTCAGCAGTGCTGAGATCATTCACTGTAAATGTTCAGAAGAAATCAGCTCACCCAATCGTCAGCGTTCAGGAGAGCCAGTGCTTTCATCCAGCCAACAGGCCAGGTAGTTTCACAAGGAAACTCAGAAAGAAGTAACAAGCAAGCAACTGCCTCAGGATGAGTCAAATTCAGCTGCTTATGAGGACTCAGACCCGTTCTAGAGACTAGAAGGGCCAGTGTTCATCCACATACATTAAGGGAGAGGGAAAACAGCTGGCACTGTGGGGAAGGAACCTTTTCAAAAAGAGGGCACATGAAAAATCAGGCTGTCACACCCACACAAGAGTAACACAGGCTCCCAATACCTGGCTGCATCCGATCCTTTGTGTACCAGATTGCCAAGCCATCCCCATGCAGATTCTTCTTTCCTTGTCCATGGATTTTGAAGTGCACCTGCAACTCCCAGTCTCTCAGGAAACATGGCTAAAGTGAGAAAGACATTAGAATCAATGAGGAGCATGAAATGCAAAACCCCTCAAGCCCACATCAGCAATCAACAGACTTGGAAAACACAAATGCAGGTAACACTAGACTAAGGGTTAAAACTTAAATCTAAGACTTGCTATGTGTTCATGTCATAAAATTAAACGGATTGAACCATTCAACTGTTTAGAGATTTAATATGAAAATGAATAAACCTCCCGATTATCTTCAACATTTCCCAACAGAAACAGGACAGAACTCCAAAGTTGGAAAAGACAAGAGTGTACCAAACTCCACTCCTGTGATCCTACACCCACCCAGCAAAGTAGCTCGGCTTTTAGAGTACAGATGGCTGAATTCATACTCATTTACAACTCAAGATCACCCCTCAGACAGAAAGACTCTGAAAAGCTGGATTTAAAGAAAGGTCAAAGCCTAATTTATTACAGTAGAAAAAGAAAAGCTAAGCTGTTATGCAAACGTTTCCAGGAATAATTAGCAGATACTACAAACAACTCTAATTAGCTAGACCTGGCCCTCTGCCAAGCTGAGGGGTAAGCCAGAATTCTCACAAGAAGAGCAAGTTACAGTCCCCAAACCCTCCCGTCCATGGCCAAGAAGCTTAAATGCACTTGAAGATGGATGCAAGTGGATGGTTAAGTGTTTTAAATAGTTGAACGGTTTCAAGAAAAAACCAGAGTGGGTAGTTGATTTAGGGAAGCTTCTGGTTAAAAGTCTACTGTGAAGAAAGAAGTGAAGGAAGAACAGACAGACCAGCTGGGTTCAGCCAAAGGCTCTCCAAATAGACTGTTCTGGGCAACTATTGCTAGATCATTTTCAGTTTTCATTCTTTATTTCTGGGATATTTTCCAACAGTGTTCATATTAGAAGTACACAGTCAAAATGAAAGGGGATTGGGTACTCCTGCATTGAGCAAGGGGCCTGAAATCTCCTACTCTATTGAGCCAGTCTCTGTCTTGTCACTCTGGATTCTTATCTCTCTGCTGTTTCATTACGATTTCAGAGAAACGGCCCAGCGCGGTGGCTCACGCCTGTAATCCCAGCACTTTGGGAGGCTGAGGTGGGCAGATCACAAGGTCAGGAGATCGAGACCATCCTGGCTAACACGGTGAAACCCCGTCTCTACTAAAAAATACAAAAAATTAGCCGGTGTGGTGGTGGGCGCCTGGAGTCCTAGCTACTCAGGAGGCTGAGGCAGGAGAATGGCGTGAACCCAGGAGGCAGAGCTTGCAGTGAGCTGAGATCATGCCACTACACTCCAGCCTGGGCGACAGAGCGAGACTCCATCTCAAAAAAAAAAAAAAAGATTTCAGAGAAAGGCCAGGCACAGTAGTTCACGCCAGTAATCAAAGCATTTTGAGAGGCTTTGGTGGAGGATCATTTGAGCCCAGGAGGTCCAGGCTGCAGTGAGCTGTGATAGTGCCACTGCACTCCAGCCTAGGCGACAGAGTGATGAGACCCTGTTTCAAAAAAATAGCTTTCAGAGAAAGAGTGAAATTCAGTGGGGCAGGAAGCTGCCAGGAGGTAGGTATTATGCCCCTGGGAAGAGGGCAGAGTCACAGAAGTTCCCAGTGAGCCAAGAGGTGTCTGTCACTGATTCCTGGCCTCCTACAGCACAATGCTATACTGTTTTGCTCAGGACCATGTCTAATTGTGGTTCTGAAATTCTGCCACACACTGGATTCACCTACGGAGTTTTAAAAAATCCCAATGGCCAAGCTGCACCCTATTCCAATTAGATCAGAATCTCTGGGGATGAGACCCAGGCATTGATTCCAATGGATAGCCAAATTTGAGAACCACTGCTGAAACAAATGCATCCTATTCAAATAACTCAGAAACAAGCCCATAGTCATGGTGATAGCCAGATAACAGCGAATACAGGTATCAGAAGTCGAAAAAGGGAAGAACTAGAGGCTATACTAGAACTGCTGCTACAAGTTATGTAGAGACAGACAGCCAGCAAGACAGCAGCAGAGTATCAAGCCTTGAACATAATCATCCGGTAACCCACAAGAGCCCCATCAACAAACCTGTAGAAGTGTAATAACATAACACATATTTCTATAACCATTTTAACTTGCCACAGTCTTTTCATGTCTATTGTCCTATTTTATTCTCACGACAACCCCAGTGGGCAAGTAAAACAGGTATTCTGAAGCTCATTTATCAGATAGAGAAACAGAACTAAGAAGTTAAATAATCTGCCTAGGGCTCACAGGAGGACTGTGACAGAGCTGGACCGAGAATCCCAGTCTTTCAACTGTCCTTTATCTCTGCTACGAAAACACAATGCTCTGTACTCTGTCCAAAAATGAGCTCGGCACTATGATCTAGGTTAAGGGGCCAGTTTGTGCAGATAGCTAATGTAGAAATTTCTCTTGCCCTCCTGAACAGGGAAAAGAAATCGTTCTCTTTTCTGAGATTCGCTTATCTACAACTAATGAGAAAAGCCACGTAAAAAAGTAAGTTCTTAGTTTAAGAGAATTCCAGAGAAAGTATCAAAGGATGCCAGAGTCATGCCCAAAAGTAAACTGGTCGTAAAAGATTTAGAAAGCCCTGGAAACAGAAAAGAAAGCATCATCTTACACTTGTACAAAATCACAGTGCAGCCACACCAGGAATACTGCATTCACTTCTTGTCGCCATACCTCAAGGAAGACAATGCAGCTAGAAAAGGTCCAGAGAAGGACAAATAAAATGACCAACAGCTCAGAGTGGCTTTCACATGAAAATAAAATTTTATATCAGACTCTTCAAATTGAAATAACAAGATGGGGATGCTGGGATAAGGTTTGGGATCAATTTAAGAGTACTCTCAACCAGGACCGGTGGCTCACACCTATAATCCCTGACCTTTGGGAGGCCAAGGCAGGAGGATTGTTTGAGACCAAGAGTTTGAGACCAGCCTGGGCAACATAGCAAGACCCCATCTCTACAAAAAACGTTTTAAAAATTAGCCAGGTGCAGTGGCACATGCCTGTAGTCTCAGCTACTCAGGAGGCTGAGGCAGGAGGAGCCCTTAAGCCCAGGAGTTTGAGGCTGCAGTGAGCTATGATTGTGCCACTGCACTCTGGTCTTCTTATAATCTTCTTACAAAGTGGTTAAGCAGGAGTTAAGTTATTATTAAACCCTAAGAAGTAGTACTATTGGGCCAATCAGGAATTAACGACATTTCAGGAAAAAAAAATGAATTATTTGCTATAATTAAATAGAGAGCATTTTCCTAAATACCTGATTTATTTATTATCAAGGTCAGAATAATCTCAAAAATAAAGATCCTTGATATCCACAGAAGATAGAATACCAGGGGGATAGACAGTAAAATTAAATCAGTATGCCACTGCTGAACTTTTTAGGCCTTTCTGGGTCACCAACACAGGAGGGAGAAAGATTCTTACCACCCGGTTCCACAAGGCACCCTGTTTACTTTGCATATCTGGGGTAAGGCGGATATACTGGGTCATCACCATGGCATTGCCCATCAGATTCCACAGTGAGGAACTGCCTGTGCCCACACCTACAGGAAGGAAGTAGATCAGTTCATACTTTTCAACACCAATCCATTCAGAAAGCAGCCACCACAGAGCCTCTGAAAGCTGAGCCATCATCTTTTTCCCCCTTTAATGTCACTCAATCTCCTATCTTCTCTCAGTCATGAATCTTACCATCTCTACAGCTTTCACAAGGCCTTTATCAGGTAAGGACCCCAAAGCACATCAGAACTCTCACTTTATGCATGTTACAGTAACCATAGCTCACATCCATTCTTCCCGTTTTATATGTGAGTAAACTTCAGCATCGTAAAAGAAAAAAATTTTCCTGAGTTATATCAAAAAGAGTTTGACAGGCCAGGTGCAGTGGCTCACCCATGTAATCCCCACACTTTGAGATGATGTGGAGGGAGGGCATCTTGAGGTCAGCAATTTGAGACCAGCCTGGGCAACATAGAAAGACCCTGTCTTTACCAAAAAAAAAATTAGCCAGGTGTGGTAGTCCTTGTCCATAGTCCTAGCTACTCAGGAGGCTGAGTTGGGAGCATCGCTTGAGCCCAGGAGATTGAAACTGCATGAGCCATGATTGTGCCACTGCACTCCAGCCTAGGCAACGGAACAAGACCTTGTCTCTAAAAATATATAAATATAAATAAAAAGAGTTTGACCCTCAGGCCTCCGGGGCTTAGTCACATTCTTCCTTTTTTTTTTTTCTTTGAGATGGAGTCTCGCTCTGTTGCCCAGGCTGAAGTGCAGTGGCATGACCTCGGCTCACTGTAAGCTCTGCCTCCCGGGTTCACGCCATTCTCCTGCCTCAGCCTCCTGAGTAGCTGGGACTACAGGCGCCCGCCACCACACCTGGCTAATTTTTTTGTATTTTCAGCAGAGATGGGGTTTCACCGTGTTAGCTAGGATGGTCTCAATCTCCTGACCTCGTGATCCGCCCACCTCGGCCTCCCAAAGTGCGGAGATTACAGGCGTGAGCCACCGCCCCAGCCGTCACATTCTTTCTTTAAACAATCCTTAAAGTGTGAAGCTACTCCCTGTACCCTCACCTATAAACTTCTTTAAGAATGAAAACTTTGTGTCTGCAAACCCATAAGCATTAGCAAAGAGACAGCACAGAGGCACTCCAGGCATGTAAGTGAATAAATGATTACCCTTAGTAGTAGAGTATACTCTTGCACTTTGAATTGTTTTCTGTCCCACTACCTACGCCTTAGTGGGGAAAGACTTGTGTTAGTTAAGCCATCTGCACTGGTTTGTCATCGTTTTGTGGCTAACTGCATTAATTTTCTGGCTGATAAGCTGTGCTTAGAGTTCTGTGAACCCTAACCTCTTTCACCAACAGGGCCCCTAGGCTGGAGAAGAGAAGGTGGTTCTACCCAGCAACATAAATTTATCATCTTCTCATTTCGTTCAAGTTCTACCCCAGTTCTTCCTCCTGCTTTATTTCTAGCACATCCACAGGTCCATCTGGAGACTGGCTCATTGCTAGTAGCCCTCAATCACTCCTCACCATTCTCAATTCTCTCCCCTTCCCAAACTCCTCCTGTCTAACTCCAGGCCTAGTACTAGTGGCACCCGACAGCCCTGCCTTTACCTACTGGAAACTTCCAGAGCTTGGCAGGCACACCTAACTCCTGCCTTTCAGACCTGTGGCTCCCAAACGCGGAGGGAGTCTCCGTGGGCCCCACCACCGCCAGCAGTTTCCTCCGGGCCACGAAGCCCTTCGCCGCCCCCGCCTCTACCCCTGAAATCAAGTCCCGAAGCCCGCCCCACTGCACGACCACCTCACCCTGGGCGCCTCACCCTGGTAGGGCTTCGACAGCGAGTGCTCCCGTTTCAAGTACTCGAACGTTTGACCCGCCCCGACTTGCTGTGGCCCCTGCCCAGACCCCAACAAAAGAAGAAGGAGTAACATCCTGGACCCATCCCGAGCCGACAAACATCGCCGCCACTGCTGCCACGACCCAAGGGGTCCCAGAGTCGCCGCCATCTTTCCCACCAACGACCCTTCATCAAAAGCCCGCCCCGTCGCCCAACCCATTGGCCCGAAGAGCCATCTGCCCTGCGTCCTATTGGCTTTCGTCAAGCCCCCGCCCCTGCAGGTGACTATATCACCGATTGGCTGGCTTCTGTATCAGTTGCCTTGCCAACCCAGAAAAGGGGCGTAGCCGAATGCCCAGCCCCCCCCCTTATTTGCATTTGCCCTGAGTTCCACTAGGCTTGCTGGGATACGTAGTTTATTTGTATTTTGTTTTCTGCGTACGAGAGTAAATTTAAAGAGATAAAACGTTTCTTCTGGTCCCAAACATTCTATCCTCTCTGCAATAGTACGCTCCTGACTGCAGCTCTCTGAATCAATTTGGAAGATATAGCAGTGAAAGGAGAAATAGACAAATCCGTAAAATAGCTGGAAAACTATCAATTTATAAAAGACTTGAACAGCACTACCAACTAACTTGACCTGATGATATTTATAGAAACTCCACCTAACAACTGCGGAAGACACATTCTCTTCAAATGCAAATGACTCCTTTGCCGTGATAGTCTGGGCCATCAAGCAACCTACAGATATAAAAGAACTGAAAGCACACAAATTAATTAATTCTAAAAGCCATCACCTCCTTTCCTCCCTTCCTCTTTTTTTTCTTTTTGGTTTGAGACGAGGTCTTGGCCAGGCGCGGTGGCTCACGCCTGTAATCCCAGCACTTTGGGAGGCCGAGGCAGGCGGATCACCTGAGGTTGGGAGTTCGAGACCAGCCTGACCAAGGTGGAGAAACCCCGTCTCTATTAAAAATAAAAAAAAAAATTAGCCAGGCGTGGTGGCACGTGCCTGTAATCCCAGCTACTGGGAGGCTGAGGCAGGAGAATCGCTTGAACCTGGGAGGCAGAGGTTGCAGTGAGCCGAGACCAAGCCATTGCACTCCAGCCTGGGCCACATAGAGCAAAACTCCATCTCAAAAAAAAAAAAAAAAAGAGAGACAAGGTCTTGCTCTGTTGCCCAGGCTGGAGTGCAGTGGCACAATCTCAGCTCCAGCCTCTCCCTCCCTGGCTGAAGTGATCCTGCCACCTTAGCCTCCTGAGTTACTGGGACTACAGGCACATCCCTTCGTCTTTATCCGGCACCACAACATGTGTCCAGACTGGTCTCCACGTAGCCACTAAAGTGATCCAAACTATCTAACCATGGTAAGTGTCAGGGTTAAATGAGTCAATATTGGTAAACCTCTTAGAACAGTGCCTTGCGTGTAGTAAGCACTATTTCTTTCTTTTTTCTTTTCTTTTTTTTTTTGTTTTTGTTTTTGTTTTTGTTTTTGAGACAGGGTCTCTCTCTGTCACCCAGGCTGGAGTGCAGTGGCATGACCACAGCCTCAACCTCCTGGACTCAAGGGATCTTCCCACTTCAGCCTCTCAAGTAGCTGGGACTACAGGTGTGTGCCACCTCACCTTGCTAATTTTTATTTTTTGTAGCTATGGGGTTGTGGGGGAGGTCTCACTAAGTTGCCCAGATTTGTCTCATACTTCTAGACTTCAGTGATCCTCTCTCCTCAGCCTCCCAAAGTGCTGGGATTAGAGGTGTAAGCCACCGCACCAAGCCATAAGCGCTATTTCATCATCATCATTCTTATTAACCGGGCCTTTGATGGCTCACCATCACCTGTGGGGAGGAGATTCAAGCCCCTCAATTTGGCACACAAAGCCCCCTGCCATCTGGCCCTGGCCTTATTGCCCATGACTCTTTTCCTCCATCTTTATGCTCCAGCTTCCCTTCCCTCTTTTTTTTTTCTGCAGTCCACTTCCTTCTGGAGGTCCTTCTCAAACCTCTCAGGCAGGGTAGATTCTCCTGTCTGAGCTCTCAAAGTGTTCCATGCACATCTCATATAGAGCAATTGACAGATCTGTGTTTATGTCTTCCCAATAGACTTAACCAAAGTTAACACTCTCTTGCTTTCCTGAGCATGAATATATTTAATAAGATAAACATAATTATGAGCCTACTTTACAGGGGATCAACTTTTTAAAATTAAAGCTGTCACAGCTATTTTTTTTAAAGAGATGGGGTCTTGGCTGGGCACGGTGGCTCAGGCCTGTAATCCCAGCACTTTGGGAGGCAGGCGGATCACCTGAGGTCAGGAGTTCAAGACCATCCTGGCCAACATGGTGAAACCCCATCTCTACTAAAAATACAAAAAATTAGCCAGCCGTGGTGGCACACGCCTGTAGTCCCAGCTACTCAGGAGGCTGAGGCAGGAGAATCACTTGAACCCAGAAGGCGGAGGTTGCAGTGAGCCGAGACCGCACCACAGCACTCCAGCCTGGGCAACACAGTGAGACTTCGTCTCGAAAAATATATATATACATATATATACAAAAATTAAATGGGCGTGGTGGCAGGTGCCTGTAATCCCAGATACTTGGAAGGCTGAGGCAGGAGAATCACTTGAACCCAGGAGGTAGAGGTTGCAGTGAGTCAAGAAGATCCCACCACCATACTCCAGCCTGAGCAGCAGATCCGTCTCAAAAAAACAAAAAAAAGAAGAAATGGGGTCTCAATCCATCAGGCTGGGGTGCAGTACTGTGATCATAGCTCACTACAGTCTCAAACTGCTGGGTGAGCCTCAGCTAATTTTTAAAATTTTTTCTAAAGATGGGGGTCTCTATGTTGCCCAGGCTGGTTTTGAACTTCTGGCCTTAAGCGATCCTCCCACCTCATCTCTCAAAGTGCTGAGATTACAGGTGTGAGCCATGGTGCCCAGCCTGTCACTGCCATCAGTCTTTGACACCCTACAATGTCAAATGTCTGGTGCTAAGACTTTAGGAATTGCAATGAATCTGTTCGTGTCATACACTGGCTTTAAAACCATTCATAACTCCCAATTACCAAAATCCAAAGTCCTTAGTGTAGCATTCAAAGCCCTTTGCATCCTGACTGAAATCAGGCGCTACGCATGTGTACTGTAATGTGTGTCACCTGGAATTATGGAGCTCAATTAACAGATTATGGGTTTGTCTCCGCAGCAAGGCTGGGAGCTCCAGGACCACAGGAAGCAGGTCTTACTCATTTCCTAACTCAGGCCCCACCCATTTCCCCAACCCCAACCTATCACCCAGCACATAGTAGGGGTTCTAATTGTTTTGAATAAATTATTTCCATTGCATTTCTCTGCAAGATGAATTTTTAATTGTAGTAAAATGCACATAAAGGCCGGGCGCGGTGGCTCACACCTGTAATCCCAGCACTTTGGGAGGCCGAGGTGGGTGGCTCATCTGAGGTCGGGAGTTCGAGACCAGCCTGACCAACATGAAGAAACCCCGTCTCTACTAAAAATACAAAATTAGCCGGGTGTGGTGGCGCATGCCTGTAATCCCAGCTAGTTGGGAGGCTGAGGCAGGAGAATCGCTTGAACCTGGGAAGTGGAGGTTGCGGTGAGCCAAGATCGCGCCACTGCACTCCAGCCTAGGCAACAAGAGTGAAACTCTGTCTCAAAAAAAAAAAAGAAAAAAAATACATAAAATACAGCGTATAATTTTTAAGTACAGATGGTCCTCAACTTACAATGGGGTTACCTACAGAAAAACTAAACCCATCCTAAAGTCTAAAAATCCTAAGTCAAACCATCATTAAGTCAGGACCATGTGTGTTCAGTTCAAAGGCATTAAATTCATTCGCAGTGTCATGCACCCTGTCAGCTGAATTTCTGATAGATTGACACAAGCAGAAATCTCATTGTAAAATTCTGTGTGATGAGGAAAAGGGGAATAAAGGAGAAGGGTGTGAAAGGTGAGATGCACTGGACTATAAATCAAATCATTTTGTTCAGACTGTTGCAATAGGAAGAATGCTTATTAATGAGGAATGTATCAAAGAAAAGGAAGAGCCAGGCCCGGTGGCTCATACCTGTAATCCCAGTACTTTGGGAGGCTGAGGCGGGTGGATCATGAGGTCAGGAGTTCGAGACCAGCCTGGCCAATATAGTGAAACCCCATCTCAACTAGAAATACAAAAATTAGCCAAGCGTGGTAGTGCACACCTGTAGTCCCAGCCACTCGGGAGGTTGAGGCAGGAGAATCGCTTGAACCCAGGAGGAAGAGGTTGCAGTGAGCCAAGATCATGCCACTGCACTCGAGCCTGAGCAACAGAGTGAGACTCCATCTCAAAAGAAAAAAAAAAGGAAAGGAAGGACAGGCGGGGCTCGGTGGCTCACACCTGCAATCCCAGCACTTTGGGAGGCCGAGGTGGGGGTGGAGGGCGGAATCATTTGAGGTCAGGAGTTCGAGACCAGCCTGGCCAACATGGTGAAACCCTGTCTCTACTAAAAATACAAAAATTAGCCAGGCATGGTGCCTGTAATCCCAGCTACTTGGAAGGCTGAGGCAGGAGAATTGCTTGAACCCAGGAGGCGGAGGTTGCAGTGAGCCGAGATCACGCCATTGCACTCCAGCCTGAGCAACAAGAGTGAAACTCCATCTCAAAGCAAAACAAAAGGAAGGAGACCTGGGGTAATCCAGGTAAACAAGGGATCTTTCGTGAGAGGAAGGATGGAGAGGGTCTTATCTGAGTCACTGAGGAAGGGTGGAAGTGGGTCTTATCTTGGGATATTCCAGAGCAGGGTAGTCCGTTAAGACAGCCATCTCTCAGCTGGGCGCAGTGGCTCATGCCTGTAATCCCAGCGCTTTGGGATGCTGAGGCGGACAGATCATATGTCAGGAGTTTAAGACCAGCCTGGCCAACAAACATGGTGAAACCCTGTCTCTACTAAAAATACATAAAAAATTTGCCGGGCATCATGGCACGTGTGTGTAATCCCAGCTACTTGGGAGGCTGAGATATGAGAATCTCTTGAGCCTGGGAGGCAGAGGTTGCAGTGAGCCAAGATCGCGCCACTATACTCCAGCCTGGACAACGGAGTCTACAAAGTGAGATGGAAGGAAGACAAAAGGATGGGGAATTTCTTTACTGTAGGTGCTTTTCAGAAGCACAAGCTTCAGCTAAGTTCAACACAGTCAAGGTGTTGAGGGGTGGTAGTGGGAAAGAGAACAAGTAGCCATGGCCCCTTCAACGCCACCTTTTACTCACACGCAGAGGCACCTCCGAAAGCTGGCTCAGGTCTTGCGCTACCATCCTTTCAGCTGCCTAGTGGTCCCCTTTTTCTCTGTGGAATCATCTATCTCCCACGATCTAGGGCTGCACAACTTCAGGGCCGGGGTATTCATATGCAATGTGAGTTGTGCATTCCAGCAGTTCTGCATGATTCCTCTACCTTCCTGTCTTCCAAACCAAAGAGCAGGGCTGGGCGCAGTGGCTCATGCCTGTAATTCTAGCACTTTGGGAGGATCGCTTGAGCCCAGGAGTTCAAGATCAGCCTGGGCAAGATGTTGAGACCCTGTCCCTTTTAAAAAATTAAAAACAACAACAACCAAAGAAGTACCTCCACTCAGGAGCACCTTGAAGCCTGATGCCCCTTCACCCCATGACAGAGGCTCCAGGGCAGCCTCTTGGCCTATTCTTTCCACTGCTTCTCACCCTTCTTTTACAAACCTTGCCATTCAATTCTGATCCACCCCCTCCCAGGACAGAAGCAGCCCTCCCTAGGCCAAGTACAACCATCCATCCATCCTCAGGTATCCAGTGTGTCAGGTCCATCTTCAGCCCAATAGTCACAGCTGACCGGGTCCTACCAACTGTACCTCCAGTTCCCCAGGTAGCCACTGAAGCATACAAGAGGATAGCAGCTCCAACACTAACTAGCTAGCTACTTCCCAGCGGTGACTTCTCAACATTGGACTCCTGAAAGCCACAGTCAAATATCCTGGGGTAGGTACCTTTGCCTGAGCCCTACTGCCAGACACGTGACTCAACAAGTGTAGGGATTTAGCTTTGAAGAAAAAAAAATAAAACCTGGAGAATTTAATTTTTTTTTTTGAGAGAGAGTCTCACTCTATCACCCAGTGGAGGGCAGTGGTGTGATCACAGCTCACTGCAACCTCTGCCTCCCAGGCTCAAGCCATCCTCCCACCTCAGCCTCCTGAGTAGCTGGGACCACAGGCACATGCCACCACACCCAGCTAAATTTTATATTTTTTGTAGAGACGGGGTTTCACCATGTTGGCCAGGCTGGTCTCGAACTCCTGGGTTCAAGCAATCCGCCCACTTCAGCGTCCCAAAGTACTGGGATTACAGGCGTGAGCCACCATGCCTGGCCTTTTTTTTTTTCTTTTAAGAGATGGGGTCTTGTTCTGTCACCCAGGCTAGAGTGCAGTGGTGTGAACTGCAGCCTCAAACTCCTGGGCTCAAGGGATTCTCCTGGCTCAAACTCCTGGGCTCAAGGGATCCTCCTGCCTTAGCCTTCTGAGTAGTTGGAATACAGTCAGGTGTCACCATGCCTGGCTATTATTTTATTTTTTGTAGAGATAATGTCTTGCTATTTGCCCAGGCTGGTCTTGAACTCCCGGGCTCGAGGCATCCTACTACCTTGGCCCTCGAAAGTGTTGGAATTATAGGCATGAGCCATCGTGCCCACCCCACCCTCCACCAGAGAATTTAATACGCAGCCCAGTTTTCAGAACTACAGCCCTTTCACATGCAGTATCTCATTTTGACCTCACAATGACTTGTTGTGGTAATCTTTAAGATTAGGACAGGCTGGGCTCAGTGGCTCACACCTGCAGTACGAGCACTTTGGAGGCCGAGGCAGGAGGATCACTTGAATTCAGGAGTTTGACACCAGCCTGGGCAACATAGTAAGACCCCGTCTCTAAAAAATACAAAAAATACAAAAAATTGTCTGGGTGTGCTAGTGTGCGCCGGTAGGCCCAGCTACTTGGGAGGCTGCGACATTTTACCCCGGGGGTCAAGGCTGTAGTGAGCCATGATCAGGCCACTCCACTCCAGCCTGGGTGACAGAGAAAGACCCTATCTCTTAAAAAAAAAAAATGACAAGAACAGTTCATAGAGGCTCCAACTCCTGAATTTAAAGATAAGAATTAAAGATTTGCTTTAAGATACTCTAGAGGAATATCGTGTGTGTGTGTTTAGAAGGGTAGGATGGATAAACAAAAAAAGCATCAGGATGTTGAGAACTGCTGCAGCTGAGATAGGGGTGCACAACACTCCCTCCAGCTTCATGGATGTGTGAGAGTTGCCGTAAGGAAAAGCTTCTCAAAGTCTCCCGTGGAGATGATGAGGAAATATGCTGGGTATGCATTTGTGGTGTTTTCTAAATTTCCCTGAGGGAAGGAAAACTGTAATTAACTATAATCTAGTAAAGTTCATTGTGACCCATCCAATATAATGTTGTCATAACTAAAGAGAGAGGCGTCTGCAATCTAGAAAAAGAACAGTCAAGGGATGAAAATAAGTCAGAGTTGTATCAGTTCTGTCCAGGAAAGAGAGTGCTTCTAAGCAGCCTGTGTTAGATCTCCATATAACTTTATTCAAATAAAGCCTATTTTCTGAGCGTATTTATAAAGACTTCCAGCCTAACGTTCTAATCCTCTTAGCAGTTTAATTTTTCTGTATAAATTAAGAAATTAGTGTGTATTTGGGTTTATCACTTAGTTATTAGTTTAGCCAGAGTGACTTAGCCCTCCCAGTCTGTTTATTTGCAGGGGAATTGATAAAAACCAGTATCCTGAGGACCAGATCTCAGATCTATGGTGGCTCTCCTTGCAGTGGCAGAGCTCCCACAATTCAGCAATGCCTCTGGGGATCCAGATGCTTGCTTCCCACAGAGTTAGGGCATAAGATTCGCCAAGGATCGTAGAATGGGGTGTGGTGAAGGAGGAGAACTCTGGCATATCTGATTGGAGTTGGAATGAAACTTCTGCCTTTTGAGACCCAGCTGTACTGTATGATCTCAGGAAAATTACGTAATCTCTCTGAGTCTCAGATCTTCTGTCTGTAAAATGAGTGTGATGAAACCCACCACACTGGACTTCTGAAAGCATGAAATGAAAGACTGGGCTAGGCACAGTGGCTCACACCTGTAATCCCAGCACTTTGGGAGGCCAAGACAGGCAGATGACCTGAGGTCAGGAGTTTGAGACCAGCCTGGCCAACACGGTGAAACTCCGTCTCTACTAAAAATACAAAAATTAGCCAGGCATGATGGCACGCATCTGTAATCCCAGTTACTTGTGGGGGCTGAGGCAGGAGAATCGCTTGAACCCAGGAGGTGGAGGTTGCAATGAGCCGAGATCACGCCACTATACTCCAGCCTGGGCGACAGAGCGAGACTCTGTCTCAAATAAATAAATAAAAGAGATGGAGAGTCTCTGGAAGGTTTTGAACAGAGGAGGTTGTAATCTAACCTATATTTTTAAAGGATCACTCTGGCTACTGACTTGAGGAGTGACTGTAGAGTAGAAAGGGTAGGAGCAAAGAGAATAAGCAGGCAGCTGTGCGGTTACCCAGTGGGAAAGGGAAGGGCTGGGGGCTGGGTGGGGCTACTGGATGGGTCTTAGATATATTTTCAAGGTACAGCCAGCAGGGTTTGCTGATGGGAAACACAGAGGTCTAAGAAAAGGAGAGGAATGGGCCAGGCACAGTGACTCACGCCTGTAAACAACACTTTGGGAGGCCCTGGCGGGCGGATCACCTGAGGTCAGGAGTTCAAGACCAGCCTGGCCAACATGGTGAAACCCC
The DNA here is from genome assembly GCF_000001405.40 of Homo sapiens. NCBI lineage: Eukaryota > Metazoa > Chordata > Mammalia > Primates > Hominidae > Homo > Homo sapiens. The sequence goes on from NC_000002.12 coordinate 96,748,693, forward strand.
ATCTCTACTAAAAATACAAAAATCAGCCAGGTGTGGTGGCACATGCCTGTAATCCCAGCTACTCGGGAGGCTGAGGCAGGAGAATTGCTTGAACCCGGGAGGCGGAGGTTGCAGTGAGCCGAGATCATACTACTCCATCATTCCAGCCTGTGTGGCAGAGCGAGACTCTGTCTCAAAAAAAAAAAAAAAAAAAAAAAAAAAAGAGAGAGAGAGAGAAGGAGAGGAGTGAAGGATGACTCCAAGATTTTGGGCCACAGCAACTGGAAAGATGGAATTGCCATATACTGATAGAAGGGAAATTATGGAAGATATGTCTTTATGGAGAAAAGATCAGTAGTTTCATTTTGGTGATAATAGGTTTATATTTCTATTGGACATCTAAGCAAAAAACAAGTCCTCAGAGCCATACCATCACCCCAGTAAGACCAAATTTTCAGTCTTTAAGAGAAGCTAGAAAGTCTCTCTAAGCCTTCTCTGGCTGAGGAGGCTGTCCAATTACAAAAAAGAGAGAGAGAAGCTGTTGGGTCAGGGAATGGTGGCTTACACCTGTAATCCCAGCACTTTGGGAGGCTGAGGAGGGAAGATGGCTTGAGGCCAGGAGTTCGAGAACAGCCTGGTCAATATAATGACACCCCATCACTACAAAAACATTGAAAAAATTAGCCAGGCATGGTGGTGAGCACCTGTAGTTCCAGCTACTCAGGAGGCTGAGGCCAGACGATCACTTGGGCCCAGGAGTTTGAGATTACAGTGAGCTATAAACGTGCCACTGCACTCCACCCTGGGTGATAGAATGAGACCCTGTCTAAAAAAGAGAGAGCGGGCCAGGCGTGGTGGCTCACGCCTGTAATCCCAGCACTTTGGGAGGCCAGGGCGGGTGGATTACCAGAGGTCAGGAGTTCGAGACCAGCCTGACCAACATGGAGAAACCCCATCTCTACTAAAAATACAAAATTAGCCGGGCATGGTGGCGCATGCCTGTAATCCCAGCTACTTGGGAGGCTGAGACAGGAGAATCTCTTGAACCTGGGAGGCAGAGGTTGCAGTGAGCCAAATTGCACCATTGTACACCAGCCTGGGCAACAAAAGCGAAACTCCATCCAAAAAAAATAAAAGAGAGAGACAGAGAGAAGCTGTTAGGGGTCAGGATGGCGGGAAATTTATCAGTGGATCAGTGCTCAGTAAAGAGAATTTTCCCTCACATCTTGTGATAGTCACTTCCAAGTGGCCCCCATGATTTCCCCTCCTGCTATTCATGCCCTTGTGTAGTTCTTTCCCACACGATATTAGGTTGGGTCTATGTGACCAATAGAATATGGAAGAAGCAGTGATATGGCATTTCTGAAGCTAAGTCATAAAAGACATTGCGGTCTCCACCTCAGTGTTTTTCTCCTCGGATCACTTACTCTAGGGAAAGCCAGCTACAATATTGTGAGCAGCCCTTCATGCAGGTCCTCATGGTGAGAAACTGAAGCCTCTTGCCAACAGCCACGAGAGTGAGGTTGGAGGTGGATCTTCCAGCCCCAATTAAAGCCTTCAGGTGATTGCAGCCCCAGCCAACATTGACTGCAACCCATGAGAGAGTCTGAGCCAGAACCACCCAGCTAAATTGCTTCCTAATTCCTCCCCACAGAAACTGTGACATAATAAATGCTTATTGTTTTAAGCCACTGAGTTTTGGGCATACTTTTTTATACATCAATAGATAACTCACGCCGGGCGCGGTGGCTCACACCTGTTATCCCAGCACTTTGGGAGGCTGAGGTGGGCGGATCACCTGAGGTCGGGAGATCGAGACCAGCCTGACCAACATGGAGAAACCTTGTCTCTACTAAAAATACAAAAATTAGCCGGGCGTGGTGGCACATGCCTGTAATCCCAGCTACTCGGGAGGCTGAGGCAGGAGAATTGCTTGAACCCAGGAGGTGGAGGTTGCGGTGAGCCAAGATCATGCCATTGCACTCCAGCCTGGGTAACAAGAGTGAAACTCTGTCTCAAAAAAAAAAAAAAAGATAACTCACATACCTTTCCAAGTCAAATGAAGGGGATGTTCCAAAACAATTTGGAGGCTCCTGCAAAGAAGGAAGACTGGCACCTCATGCCACAATCAGACCTCTGCTCAGGCAGTGAACTTGCTCTCCTGCCCTCCTCACTCTTAGAGCAGAGGGAGGAGAGAATTAGAGAGAGAGTTGGGCAGAAAGAGGGGTTGGTGGCAGGGTGCACTGGTGCATGCCTGTAGTTCCAGCTACTCGGGAGGCTGAGGTGGGAGGATCACTTGAGGCCAGGAGGTTGAGGCTGCAGTGAACCGAGATTGCACCACTGCGCTCTAGCCTGGGCAACAAAGCAAGCCCTGTCTCGAAAATTAAAAAAAAAAGAGGGGTTGGCCCTGGAGTGGTCTCTACTACAACCCTTGGGTAGGCTCCCCAAAGAAGGGTACCCTCCAGGCAAACGGGACCCCAACAGTGAGAAGCAAGAAGCAAGGAGACCTGACAGGGGCTGAGCCTCCCACTATGAGAACCAATATCTGGACACCAAATCACACTCAGTCAACCAGTAACAACCACAAAAGGAGTGGCGATTAAACTGTGGGAAATTAAGTAAAGGGAAATTACCCTTCTTCTCTCTCTTTCCTCAACACTGGAAAAGTTAGACCTGAGAAGGAAGGGAACGTGTACCAGGACCATCCCATGACCGCCTACACTCAACACCAGGCACAAGTGAACACACAAATATATCCCCCTCCAGCCAACTGCAGCAAATGGAGGGGTGAAAGGCTGACCAAAGCCCTTCCCCACATCCAAGTCCCTGCAGCAGAAACTGATCCCCAAGCCTGGAGAAGGATGACAGGGCGGGAACACAGATGATATATATCAGAAATGAGATGGCAGGGGTTTTTGTTTGTTTTTTTGTTTGTTCGTTTTGTTTTTGTTTGTTTTCTTTCTTTCTTTCTTTTTTTGAGATGGAGTCTCGCTCTGTCACCCAGGCAGGAGTGCAGCGGCACAATCTCAGCTTACTGCAACCTCCTCCTCCCGGGTTCAAGAGATTCTCCTGCCTACTAAGCCTCCCAAGCAGCTAGGACTACAGGCATGCGCCACCATGCCTGGCTAATTTTTGTATTTTAGTAGAGACAGGGTTTCGCCATGGTTGCCAGGCTGGTCTCGAACTCATGACCTCAAGTGATCTGCCCGTCTCAGCCTCCCAAAATGCTAGGATTACAGACGTGAGCCACCGTGCCCGGCTTGTTTTGTTTGTTTGTTTTGTTTTGTTTTGTTTTTGAGGCAGGGCCTTGCTCTGAGGTTGGAATGCAGTAGAGCAATCATGACTCACTGCAGGCTCGACCTCCTGGGCTCAAGCGATCCTCCAGCCTCAACCTCCCAAGTAGCAAGGACCACAGGTGTGCACCAGAAAGCCTGGCTAATTTTTAAGTTTTTCACAGAGATGGGGTTTTGCCATGTTGACGAGGCTAGTCTTGAACTCCTAGGCTTAAGCAATCCTCCCTCCTCAGCCTTCTACAGTGTTGGGGTTACAGGCCCTGATTGGGCTTTTAACGCTAAAAGTCATAATAAAGCTATGGAATCTATCCAAGACCTCAAGAAGGATACAGAAAGGGAAATGTGACAGAAATGGGTTAAAAGCCTTGAATGGAAAAGAAATAAAACCGTGTCATGTTAAGTCCCCACTGAGTTGAGATCGCTGATAAAAAGGTCATAATTTTTTTTTTTTTTTTCTCTGAGACGGAGTCTTGTTCTGTCACCCAGGCTGGAGTGCAGTGGCCCAATCTCGGCTCACTGCACCCTCTGACTTCCCGGTTCAAGCAATTCTCCTGCCTCAGCTTCCTGAGTCGTTGGGATTACAGGCATCTGCCACCACACCCAACTAATTTTTTTTTTTTTTTTTAGATGGAGTCTCACTCTGTCATCTAGGCTAGAGTGCAGTGGCGCGATATTGGCTCACTGCAACCTCCGCCTCCCGGGTTCAAGCGATTCTCCTGCCTCTGCCTCCCCAGCAGCTGGGATTACAGGCGTGCGCCACCGCACCTAGCTAATTTTTGTATTTTTAGTAGAGACGAGGTTTCACCATGTTGGCCAGGATGGTCTCAAACTCCTGACTTCAGGTGATCCACCTGCCTCAGCCTCCCAAAGTGCTGGGATTACAGGCGTGAGCCACCACGCCCAGCCTATTTTATTTTATTTTATTTTATTTTATTTTATTTTATTTTATTTTATTTTATTGAGACAGAGTCTTGCTCTGTTGCCTAGGCTGGAGTGCAGTGGTGCAATCTCAATTCACAGCAACCTCTGCCTCCCGGGTTCTAGTGATTCTCATTCTTCAGCCTCCCAAGTAGCTGTGATTACAGGTGCCCACCACCACGCCCAGCTAAGTTTTTGTATTTTTAGTAGAGATGGGGTTTCACTATATTGGCCAGGCTGGTCTTGAACTCCTGACCTCAGGTGATCCACCCACCTCTGCCTCCCAAAGTGCTGGGCTTCAGGCGTGAGCTACCATGCCCGGCCTATTTTTTAACTTTTGTAGAGATGGGGGCGGGGGCGGGGGTGGGTTGGTGGTAGTGGTCTCACTATGTTACCCAAGCTGGTCTCAAACTCCTGGCTTCCCAAAGTGCTGGGATTGCAGGTGTGAACTGCTGCACCCAACCCTGAGAAGGATTCTTAACCTTTCCAAATCTCTATTTGGAAAATGAGACTAAGAATGGTACCCCTCCCAGTCTCCTTGCAGGGCTGAGGTGAAGGGGGACAGAAGCAGTGCATTCAGCAGGTAGAGGGGACACTGTAGCTGACAGCTTGAGGCTCCCATAACCTCCATTTAGGGATCTCCTCCTTGTATAAAAGCCCCAGTCAGACCCCTGATCAACCCTTCTTGGTCTCCTCCCCACTGTAGATGAACCACAGCCAGGGGTGCTTTGATTGTCCATGCCTGGGCAGTTGCCCATTCCTACTGGAACCCTTGGAAATGGGGGAGGGTCAAGTCTCCAGAGAAAGGGGAGGTACCGTGCCTGGAAGAAAGAGGACAGGAAGCTGGACAGATCCAAACAACAGGTGCCCACTACATCCGATGATGCTGATTTTGCCTTCACCTTACAGAGGTCAGTTGCAATTCTTTCCTGTGTTGCCCAGGAAGAATTACACATCCAGGAATTTAAATCAGCATTGAACCTGTTTATCTGATCCAGTCCTCTTATGTTAAAGATAAAGGCCCCGAGGCCCAGCAAGTTGAGCTGGTTGCTAAATGTCTACAGGTAATTGGCACCTTGGCAATTGTTTGGGACAAACCTGAGAAAATCTGAATACTTGGGAATGAAGATCTCAAAGGCTCTATGGATTTCTGGGTGAGTTGGGACACGATAAGATTGAGGAATCAGGAACTTGCCTCATTAGTATGCCCGAGGTGATTTATTGCCACATGTGAGTTGTGCCAAGTTCTGTAGGTGTGGGTGCCGCTTACATAGACTGGAGCCTTCTAATGCCCACCAGTCCCTGCAGCCTTCCTCCCAGAGGAATTCCACTGGGATACCCACGAGCAATATATGAGACCAGTATTTTTCAAATGTGGATCAGTCAAGAAATCAGTTTAGTTGGATCAAGACACAGATTTAAGAAAAAGAACATAACTTATATCAATACATATAGTCTCTGGAAACTGAATTGTAATTTTCCATATAAGGCCACTGGCCAAGTGCTTCCCACTCATTTCCTACCCCTGGGCCCCAGAAGTATTATTCCTACTCCACTTTATTTTTTTTTTTTAGAGATGGGGTCTTGCTGTGTTGCCCAGGCTACAGTACAGTGGCTAATCACAGGACTAATTGTAACATGCTGCAGCCTCAAACTCCTGGGCTCAATTGATCCTTCTGCCTCAGCCTCCTGAGTAGCTGGGATTATAGGTGCACACCACTGCATGCTCATACCTTTTTTTTAAGGGAAGTCCAATTCATTCCATAAATGCATATGGAATGCTGGGCATTCCTGATACAGAGATGACTAGGATACAGTTTTTGTCCCCAAGGGATTCTAAACCCAATAAGAAATGGCCTCTAGCCCAGAGTACGGTAGAGAAGAAGGCAGACGGTGGCAAAATACCTAACAGAAAAATAATCCCTGGGCACTGAGATGAAGGGGAAGGAGGACCAACGTCTTCTACTTTATACACTGTGTTATTTGAATTTGTTGCAGTGAACATGTATAACGTTTGCATTTTAGAAGCCCAGTAAAAATAGAAAATTACACAAATGATCAAATGATTGAAATGTAATTGAAAATCTTGGACTGGGGAAGGAAAAGGAACTAATATTTATGAAGCAGTGCTTTCAAACTCTGGCTCATTTCGTCCTTTTGATGCAGCGAGAAGGGTCTCTTGATCCCCATCTTATTTATATATTTATTTATTTATTAATTTTAATTTTAATTTTTAATGTTTTTGAGATGGAGTCTTGCTGTGTCGCCCAGGCTGGAGTGCAGTGGCACAATCTTGGCTCACTGCAACGTCCGCCTCACAGGTTCACGCCATTCTCCTGCCTCAGCCTCCTGAGTAGCTGGGACTACAGGTGCCTGCCACCACGCCCGGCTAATTTTTTGTATTTTTAGTAGAGACGGGGTTTCACCGTGTTAGCCAGGATGGTCTTGGTCTCCTGACCTCGTGATCCGCCTGCCTCAGTCTCCCAAAGTGCTGGGATTACAGGCATGAGCCACCACGCCTGGCCTCCCATCTTATTTTTTAAATTATTTATTTTTATTTATTTTATGGATGTATTTATTTGTTTATTTTAGTCTTGCTCTTGTCGCCCAGGCAGGAGTGCAATGGCACAATGTCGACTCACTGCAACCTCTGCCTCTTGGATTCAAGCAATTCTCCTGCCTCAGCCTCCTGAGTAGCTGGAATTACAGGTGCACACCACCACACCTGGCTAATTTTTTTATTTTTAGTAGAGACGGGGTTTCACCATGTTGACCAGGCTGGTCTCGAACTTCTGACCTAAGGTGATCCACCCACCTTGGCCTCCCAAAGTGCTAGGATTACGGGTGTGAGCCACCACACCCGGCCTTTTTTTTTTTTTTTTTTTTTTTTTTTGAGACAGAGTCTCACTCTGTCGCCTAGGCTGGAGTTCAGTGCTGTGACCTCGGCTCACTGAAACCTCTGCCTCCCAGGTAATCCCCATCTTAAAAATGGAGAAACCAAGGCCGTAAGAGGTAAAGCACTTTGCCCCAATTCTCTGGTTAGCAAGGGACAGAGCCCTTGATATTTTTGCTATAGACTTTTATTCATTTGCCAACTCAGAAAAAGGGTCAGAAACTAGGGACAATGATTCCAAGCACTTTGTTATTAGGCCTTTATAAATACTCAGTGTCTGCTATCTTGTTCTTTCTTGTTTTTCTCTAGTGATTTATAGTTAATGTCTTAAAATAACGGTCTTTGTGTTTTTGGAGGTGGAAGGAAAAGCTTCCTGGGGTAGCCAGTCTTGGGGACAGAGGACGGGAGGATGGTGGCATGAGAGAGGGCAGGCCGAAGGACTCCCCCCCCAGGCCCTGGTACTAGCAGGGGCTTCCCAGGCAGGCCTTGCCTAAGGGCTTGCCAGGTGTCTGACACCGAATGAGAGGCTTCCCTCTCTTCCTGGCTTCCCCAGCCTTTTCAGCTTGAGCCCCTCTGTGCTGTGAAAACCTTTCTTAGGCTCTCTTCCAACAGGTTTCTCCTCCACTCCCGCCTCCTTTCTGTCCTCCCGACGGAGGCCCAAGGGTCCAATGGGGTCTTGCTTAGTCCCAGGTGGCCTCCCCCTCAGCCTCCCTTCTTCCCTCATCATCCACACCTGGTGTTCTCCCTCTGGAAGAAAGGGAAGAAAATGAACGAGAAGACTGTGGCTGCAGGTGGATGGAGAGACACACTGGAGCTAAGGAAATTTACAAGTGTCTTCTAAAAATCCTGGCTGTGGGTCTGGGTACAGTGGCTCACACTTGTAATCCCAACACTTTGGGAGGCCGAACTAGGAGGATCACTTGAGACCAGGAGTTCGAGACCAGACTGGGCAACATAGGGAGAACCCGTCTCTACAAAAAAACAAAAAAAATTAGCTGGGCATGGTGGCGTGCGCTGGGACTGTGGTCCCAGCTACTCAGGAGGCTGAGGTGGGAGGATTACTTGGCCTAGGGAGGTTGAGGCTACATTGAGCCATGATTATGCCACTGCATTCCAGCCTGGATGACAGAGCAAGACCCCGTCTTAAAAAAAAAGAAAAAGAAAAAAAATGATCCTGGCCACATCATTTTCATCATTATCATGGTGACTGGGCATGTTTATTGAGCTCTTACTATGGGCCAGGCACTTGTGAAGTACTTATGGCTCATCATTTCACTCAACACTCGAGAATGTCCCAGAGTCCCAGGTCACACAGGCAATCAGCAGCCAAGCCAGCCCCCAGGGTCCTTCAAAGCTGTGCTCTGAACCTCCATGGTGGGGTATCCTGCCTTCCATGGTCCTGCTCCCAAGAAAAACAATTTGTCCTATGGCCAGAGGAAGCTTGAAGCCCACTTACATAGTTAATACAAACCCCTTCACCTTTGCTGCTCTGGCATTCGACTTCCTTGGCCTGGACCCACTGATGTGATGCTCTCACTCCCTCCTCTGGCTCAATTAAACATTTGTCTCAGGCAGAAATCATGACATCCTCCTATCCAAGTCCTCATGCCCCCACTTGCTGGGATGACCTGAGTTGGGATTTGAGCACCACCCTAGCTAACTCCACGCTAACTCTGTCCTTCTGTAGAGGGTTGACTGCTCCTTCCTTCCTGAGACAATTTAACTGCATGGATGAGTCCTGCAGATGTTCAGGGCTATCATAGTAGACTCATGGGCAGCCGGTGAACAGGCCACTGCATGTACTGACGACGGGCATAGCTCACCCTGAAAAGATGTCTCATGGTCCCCAACCAGGTTCTCCAACCCCGGGGCCCACGGTGCACCCAGAGGGATTCTACCCATTGTGGGGCCAGGGCAGGCCTCAGGCTCTGAGCCCCACTAGCGGAAGGGCAGCTTCTCTGCCAGCAGCTTCTCTGCCAGCAGCTCCTCTGCCAGCAGCACCCCATCTTGGAGACCCAGAGGGTGAAGAGGGCTAAGAAGCTAGCCTGGGAGGATTAGATCCCAGGTTACTAATTCAGGATCCTTGTTCATCATCGGATCTCCAGCATCAGCATGATGCCAGGTACAAGTGAAGGGGCACTAAGCCTTTAAGACTGTTTCCCTGCACAGAACCAGAAGGGAGTGGGCTCAATTATGGGAGGTGTAGCCATGTTGCCATAGGGCTTACACCTGGAAAGAAGCAGTGAGCTCCAAGGATCTCATGACTAGGGTGCTGTTACATGCTCAGGGGTCCAGGATCAGGACTCCTCTGGGCAATTTCTACTTGCAAATAGAAGCAACTAGGTAAGTAAGGACTTGCCACCTTGAGGCAGAGAAAACAGGTTTGATCATGCCTTTATCTGCCCCCAAAGGAGAGAGGCTCCTCGCTTGCACGTTTGCTTTCTGCCATTCTCACCGCCTGGCTAACAGAGAGCCACACATGCATCCAAGCTTCCTGACTCAGCATGTTAATAGACTGCTATCTCCATGCTGTCCCTACGGTGGGAGAGGTATTTCGACATGGCAGATGCAGAAAAGGCAGACTCCCTAACCAGGGTTGCAAGCTGGCAGCAAATGAACCTGGACTTCGGCCTGGGCCCCGTGTGCCTTCTCCAACAAGTGATACTGTGTTTATCTTTTTATTTTTATTTATTTATTTATTTATTTATTTATTTATTTATTTATTTTTTGAGATGGAGTCTCGCTCTGTCACCCAGGCTGGAGTGAGTGGCGTGATCTCGGCTCACTGCAACCTCCGCCTCCCGGGTTCAAGTGATTCTCCTGCCTCAGCCTCCCGGGTAGCTGGGACTACAGGCGTGCATCACCTCACCTGGCTAACTGTGTATTTTTAGTAGAGACGGGGTTTCATCATCTTGGCCAGGCTGGTCTTGAACTCCTGACCTCAGGTGATCTGCCCGCCTTGGCCTCCCAAGGTCCTGGGACTACAGGTGTGCACCATCATGCCAAGCTAACTTTTTATTTTTTAAATTTTTAGTGGAAATGAGTTTTTGCTATGTTGCCCAAGCTGGTAATCCCACATTTAACCTAAATATCTAAAAAACTTATTTTTCCTTTTCTTTATTGGCTTCTGTCATTAGACTCAGTGCATATGAACAGAGCTTCTGAGTGTAGACAGCCTGAAAAGGGTAAAATAAAAGGAGCCAATTCGTACTTAAGCAGAAAAAAGACATAATAGAGAAAAAAATAAAATCATAAGAAAAAGGGAAAAAATAGCCAATTGATTGATAATAGAATGGGAAAGTTTCTAAGTATGGGAGGTGGGGGTAGGGGTGGAGCAGGGCGCTGGTGTTACAGCTCACTAGGAGATGAGGAGAGCTGGGTTTGCTTTGAGGCAATTCAGGTAGCTCTTCCTGGTTGGTGGAGACAGGGAAGGAACAGGCAGTCAAGGTTCTGCTTTTGTTCTGTCTCAGCCAGTGCCCATTCCAAGGCTCCTATTCCTCGAAAAAACTGACCTGCTGGGCACTCACTGCAAAGTATCCGCTATGAGTGGGGCCCCTACTAGCAACATACTTCTCCAGGCTGGCCTAGTTTACAGAACCCTCAATCCCAGCTAACAGGGCTTTCTTGAGTCAGGGCCTCTCTGCTACCACACCTCCTCCCACAACATTGTGTGATCCTTTCTGTTTAGGCTCCTTCCGTTTGGTACTGATTGCTGCTTTTATTAGCAAACATTACACCAAAATGAAAATAAATACAAGTGTCAGTGCGGGAAGGGAGTAAAGTGGGTTCTGTGTCTTCAGTACTGGCAAAAGATTTGCTGTGAGACCTGGTGGTCAACCCAGTACCTGATCTTCTCTGTGCACCTGTGCAATTATTGTAAGGATGTTTATCTGTCTGTCTTCTTCCCCCTCACAGGGCGGGCAGCTGTGGTCTTCCTTATACACCCTACTGACACAGGGCTAGGGCCATTCAGGAAGCAGTCATTTCAGGGATAGGCCCACTGCCGCGCCTGCCTGCTCATGTCCACAAGCAGCTGCCCAGCTGATCAATCACCACAATTTGGGGTTAGGAGTTTGGTCCTGGAAGGCAGGTAGCAACAACTACTACCTAGCCAAAGAATATTCTAAAGAGCTGTCCTGTCATGTTCAATGTCTAGGTCCACAATCCCGCAAGCTTAGCGAAGTAATGCTCTGTCATTCTTACCCCCATTTACAGATGGAGAAATGGGCTGGGAGATGACAGTATGGAGGCACCAGGATTTTTGTCTCGGCTCAATTTCTGCATCTCTAAATGGAAATAATTCTACTAACTCTGAGGGTTGTTGGGGGGATTTAATGAATATATGTGTTTACTTGTTTATCTCCTGTTTTCTGTTCTAGACTGTAAACCCCAATGGGCAGCGACTTTGGCTTGTTCACTGCTCTATTGTCAGAGCCTAGAACAAGTGCCTGGTACAAAGTAGGTGTTCAATAAATATCTATGCCTAAATGGAAGAGACAGGAGAGAAGTCTAGGCCAGAGCCTGCCCCTTCTATAACCTTAGTTCCCCAGATTTGCCTTCCACATCAGGCAGCCACTGGTTGATGGAAGCATCGTCGGGCTGGGGCTGGGGCTGGGGTAACCTACTTCTGGCCTTAGGACAAGGTCGGCAAAAATCTCAGCAGTGAGGAGGCCAGAAAAGTCTCCAAGGGGCAGGCTGCAATGCCAGCCTAAGCCCTCAGGTTTCCTTTTTCTTTTTCTACATCAGGAAAAGCACTTTTCTCGCCCTGCCTGCAGAGCGGGCCACCCCTAGCTGCAGGTGAGGGACGGGAGAGGAGCCTCCCACGTGCGGCCGTGCGAGGCCGAGGAACAGGAACGGCGTAGCTAGGAGACCAGGTCCCGGAGAAGGAGAGCTGGCCCCACTGGCAGAGAAAGGCGGGGAAGGGCGCGGAGGCGGAGCACTGGGCGGGTACCCGCTGGCGGCTCTCGCGCGGCGGCGCTGCTCCACCTTAAGCGACTGTACCCCCTTAAGGGCGGGCGCTCAAGCAGCGAGCCCCGGGGGCGGGGCCTCCAATGCAAATGAGGGGCGTGGGCAGGCGGGGCGGGGCGGGCGGGGCGCTGACCTGACGTCAGGCTCGCGGCCCGGGCAGTTGGCTCGGCGGCAGCGGAGCGGCCGGAGCTGCGGTGCGGACCGGGGCCGCGCGGCGTGGCGCGGGGAGCGGCGGCGGCGGCAGAGCCAGAGCAACATGGCGCCGGTGGGCGGGGGCGGGCGCCCGGTCGGCGGACCGGCCCGCGGGCGCCTCCTCCTGGCGGCGCCGGTGCTGCTGGTGCTGCTGTGGGCGCTGGGGGCCCGGGGCCAGGGCAGCCCCCAGCAGGGCACGATCGTGGGCATGAGGCTGGCGAGCTGCAACAAGTCGTGTGGGACGAACCCGGATGGCATCATCTTCGTGTCCGAGGGCAGCACCGTGAACCTGAGGCTGTACGGCTACAGCCTGGGCAACATCTCCAGCAACCTGATCTCCTTCACCGAGGTGGACGATGCCGAGACCCTCCACAAGTCCACCAGCTGCCTCGAGCTCACCAAGGACCTGGTCGTCCAGCAGCTGGTCAACGTGAGCCGCGGGAACACGTCCGGCGTGCTGGTGGTGCTCACCAAGTTCCTCCGGAGGAGCGAGAGCATGAAGCTGTATGCACTGTGCACCCGGGCCCAGCCCGACGGGCCCTGGCTGAAGTGGACGGACAAGGACTCACTGCTCTTCATGGTGGAGGAGCCTGGGAGGTTCCTGCCTCTCTGGCTGCACATTCTCCTAATTACGGTGCTGCTGGTGCTGTCGGGCATATTTTCTGGCCTCAACCTCGGGCTTATGGCCCTGGACCCCATGGAGCTGCGCATCGTGCAGAACTGTGGCACCGAGAAGGAGAGGCGCTATGCCCGCAAGATTGAGCCCATCCGGCGCAAGGGCAACTACCTTCTCTGCTCGTTGCTCCTAGGGAACGTGCTGGTCAACACCTCCCTCACAATCCTTCTAGACAACCTCATCGGGTCCGGCCTCATGGCGGTGGCCTCCTCCACCATTGGCATTGTCATCTTTGGGGAGATCCTACCTCAGGCCCTGTGCTCCCGACATGGGCTGGCTGTGGGTGCCAACACCATCCTTCTCACCAAATTCTTTATGCTACTCACCTTCCCCCTCAGTTTTCCCATTAGCAAGCTCCTGGACTTTTTTCTGGGCCAGGAGATTCGCACTGTTTACAACCGGGAGAAGCTGATGGAGATGTTGAAGGTGACGGAGCCCTATAATGACCTCGTGAAAGAGGAGCTCAATATGATCCAGGGTGCCCTGGAACTACGGACCAAAACTGTAGAGGATATCATGACCCAGCTCCAGGACTGCTTCATGATCCGCAGCGATGCCATCCTGGACTTCAACACCATGTCGGAGATAATGGAAAGCGGCTATACTCGCATCCCGGTGTTCGAAGACGAGCAGTCCAATATTGTAGATATTCTCTACGTCAAAGACTTGGCCTTTGTGGACCCCGATGACTGCACCCCCCTCAAGACTATCACTCGCTTCTATAACCACCCGGTGCACTTTGTCTTCCATGACACCAAGTTGGATGCCATGCTGGAGGAGTTCAAGAAGGGTAAGGCCAGATGTAGTTCCCCTGGTTCAATTTCCTCTTGACGCCTCTTTTCCCCTGGCGTGTTTTGTGTCTGCTGGCTTTAGTGTTCTGTTTGTGTGACTCTGTGTCCCTTTGCCTATCGCTTCCTATGCTTCTGAGGTGAACGATTTTGGAGCGGTAGACCCATTCTCAAGTGTCTGCCGTCTGCCAGGTAGTGTGCTGTGTGCTCCTGATGAATCAAAGCTGAATAAGACATACTCGCTCCCTTGGAGGGCTGGAGCAAGACCTCAGGGAGCTATTGAAGCAAGACAGAGTAAGACAGATGCCTGAAAAGAGGCCAGGGCGATGGAGATTTAGAGTATGGGGTGGAGTCAGGAAGGGGCTGGGAAATTGGGGAATCCACAGGGGAAGGAGCATTTGAGGAGAATCTTAAAAGGTAGAGAGGCTTGCTGCTTGAGGCAGAGGGAACCCCGCAAGCAGAGAACCGGAGTGGAGAAGCAAAAGTGTGCTTGTGGCCCAGCAGGTGGTCCTGTTTGGTGGGTATAGTGGCTCTGATGCTTAGTGGTCAATGGCTGGAGTAGTTTGGGGCCCGGTGGTGGACGCTAAGTTTGCTCCCAGCTTGGGAGCTACAGGTTTTTGAGCAGGGGAGTCATGTTACTGGAGGTGCTAGCCCACAGAAGCAGAATTGGGAGGTCTCTAATTGGCTCGCTTCTCAGAACAATGCCAAGTAGCGCTTTCGACTATTCAGCAGAAGCAAGCAGATTAAGTTTTGGTAATTGTGGCGCCAGCGTAAGCTTCCCTCCAGTGGTCTGCTGGAAATCTTCAGCTGCCTTGCACTGCCTTGTGTTTTTTTCTCACCTGGGTTCTTGGCCATTTCGCAGGTAGTTAGAGAGGCATTTGGAGGGTTTACTCATCAGCCTCAAAGCTCAAGGCACACACTCCTTTTCTTCCAGCAAAATTTTCCTCCCATCTCTGCCATTCAGAAACCCTCAAAGTGGCAGTAAACAAGCCAATTATGGAGTGGAACCCTCCCAGGCTGAAGGAAGTGAGGAGGCAGAAAGGGAAGCTCTTTTTTAAAGGAATGGGGGTGAGGGGCTCATCCTAAACTTGGGGACTTTGCTTTCTAAACATGCTCCCAGCCTTCATTCCCATAGGAGAGCTCCTACTGGCTGAGGCTGCTCAGGCCGACCTAGGGCTTGGAGGGACTTCGGAATCCTAGCAGGGAGTGAGCTGGCAGGTGTTTCTGTAACGGAGAGTGGAGGACAGCTTTGGAGTGGGATAGGGAGGAGCTGGCTTTGCCAGGTTTGGTCTGAAAAGATGCTGGGGTCAGGGCCAGGGTGGTGGGTTGGTACCCTCCTAAGTTCAACAGACTGAATCTTAGTATCGGAGCTGAGGACCACTTGAGTAAAGTAAGCCAGAGTCTGGGAGAGCCCCAGGGAAGGTGGCCTCCCTGCAGAGACTGGAGAGACAGACCCCTAGTGGTGAAGGCAGAGGCTGCGGTGGGGTGGGGGTGGGGGCGGCTTTGGGAGTGCAGACCCAGGAATCAGGTTTTCCCAGGTACCCGAGCCTGGGACAGAAAAGCAGTGAGGATCTGTGCCCCACCCCCACCCTAAGCCTTGGGACCTGAAGACTTCTCCTATTGCTTAGTTGGGAACCTGATTAGGACCCTCCAGGGCAACTTCCTCCTCACTGCCTCTGTGGTGTTTGGGACTATGGTTTGTGACACACCCAGTAGCACCTTCCCATCAGTTCATTTGGAATCTGGATCCAACCAGTATGGATTGGTCTGACCAGTCTCCCAGTCTTGATCAGCAGGGCTGAGCTCTCTTGGGTTGGAGCCTCCTGGGTCTTGAGAGGGCTGTCTTTGGGCTCTGTCTTGTCAAGTGCCCTTTCATTAAGTTGGGAAAACAGAGCTAGCATCTCTTAGGCCGTAGCAGAGCTCTGCTGAGCCAGAGTCCCCAGGTTCAGTTTACTCCGGGAAACTCTGCTTAACAGAGGCCAGTAGCCTGAGGCCAAGCCCTGGAGCAGTGCTGGTAAACCCAGGGAACTGCACACAGGCTGCCCAGCACAGCAGGCCGCCCTGGAGATGGTGATAGTCCCCCCTCTCTACCCACCCCCGACAAATGAACAGGCCCTGCGGCTTTATGCCATCACTTACTTCCCCATTCTCAGAGGTCTTGGAAAACCAGTTTTAACTCATTGCACACCGGGTTCCCTGCAGCGTGGCCTCTTCCAGACCTTCCAATCTGGCGTCCACCTTCTTAGTCTGAGATTACCCAGGACACAGCACACACCTAGTGTACATCTGCAATTTAAGAGTTTCTTGGCCAGGCGCGGTGGCTCATGCCTGTAATCCCAGCACTTTGGGAGGGCGAGGCGGACAGATCACGAGGTCAGGAGATTGAGACCATCCTGGCTAACATGGTGAAACCCCGTCTCTACTAAAAATACAAAAAATTATCCAGCCGTGGTGGCACATGCCTGTAGCCCCAGCTAGTCAGGAGGCTGAGGCAGGAGAATCGCTTGAACCCGGGAGGCAGAGGTTGCAGTGAGCCCAGATCGCACCACTGCACTCCAGCTTGGGCGACTGAGCAAGACTCTGTTTCAAAAAAAAAAGAGTTTAGGAGTCTGGTGTTGGGAATGGTTTTTTTTTTTTTTTTTTTTTTTTTTTTTTTTTTTTTTTTTTGCTAAGAGAAACAAGTGAGCAAAGTTAGAACAGCTGGCATTGTTTTATTTGTTTGTTTGTTGTTGTTTTTTTTTTTTGAGACGGAGTTTTGCTCTTGTTGTCCAGGCTGGAGTGTAATGGCACAATCTCGGCTCGCTGCAACCTCTACCTCCCGGGTTAAAGCGATTCTTCTGCCTCAGCCTCCTGAGTAGCTGGGGTTACGGGCATGTGCCACCACCCCTGGCTAATTTTGTTTATTTAGTAGAGACGGGGTTTCGCCATGTTGGTCAGGCTGGTCTTGAACTCCCGACCTCAGGTGATCCACCCGCCTTGGCCTCCCAAAGTGCTGGGATTACCGGTGTGAGCCACCCTGCCCAGCCTTTCAGCTGGCATTGTTAACAGCACCAGAGTCAGAGCTGGGGCAACTGTCTAGCCCAGCATCTCTCTCTGAGGGTCTGTCCTGGACCCTCCTCCACCCCAGGTTGGGTGAGGGTCCTGAGCCTAGCTTTGCCAGAGTCCTTCTGCCCCACAAGTAATCCTCTTTTAGGGCCTTTGTATTCTTTCTTTCCCCTTTCCAGCATTATAAGCTCCTTGAGGGTAGAGGCCATGCCTTCTTAGTGTTTTCACCACTCAGTGCTTGGTAAAGAGACGGGTCTCCAGTAAGTGTTGGACAAATGAATGAACAATGGATGACTCTCTGGCAAGCCCCACTGGCCTTTTTGCTGTTCTTTTTTTCTTTCTTTCTTTCTTTCTTTTTTTTTTTTTTGAGACGGAGTTTCGCTCTCATTGCCCCGGCTGGAGTGCAATGGCACCATCTCGGCTCACTGCAACCTCCACCTCCGATTCTCCTGTCTCAGCCTCCCGAGTAGCTGGGATTACAGGCGCCCGCCACCACGCCCGGCTATTTTTTGTATTTTTAGTAGAGATGGGGTTTCACCATGTTGGCCAGGCTGGTTGCGAACTCCTGACCTCAGGTGATCCACCCACCTCAGCCTCCCAAAGTGCTGGGATTACAGGTGTGAGCCACCACACCTGGCCTTTTTTTTTTTCTTTTCTTTTTTTTTTTTTTGAGACAGAGTTTCACTCTGGCATGATCTCGGCTCACTGCAACCTCCACCTCCCAGGTTCAAGCTATTCTTGTGCCTCAGCCTCCCAAGTAACAGGGATTACAGGTGCATGCTACCACATCTGGCTGATTTTTGTATTTTTAGTAGAGATGGGGTTTCACCATGTTAGCTAGGCTAGTCTTGAACTCCTGACCTCAAGCGATCTGCCCACCTCGGCCTCCCAAAGTGCTGGGATTACAGGTGTGAGCCACCGTGCCTGGCCCTTTTTGCTGTTCTTAAACACACCAGGATGCTCCCACCATGGGGCCTTTGCCCTGGTTGTTTCCTTGGGCTGGAATATTCTTCTCCAGAAGTCAGCATGGCTCACTGTCTTCCCAGGTCACCTCTCAGTGGGGCCTTCTTGCCACCTTGTTTAAAACTGCACCCACCATCCCACCCCAACTTCCTAATCTCCCCTGCCCTGTGCCGATTTCTTCTCTTCTCGTAGCACACATTGCTCTCTAGCATCTATGTAATTTGCTGATTTACTGTGTTGTCTACTGTCTGTCTCCTCCCACTGGCATATAAGTTTCAAAGGGCAGGTCTCTTTGTTTTGCTCATCAATGTATCTCTAGCCCCTAGAATGGCTCTTGGCACATAGTAAGGCCTCCATCCATGGCACTGAGTGAGTAAGTGAGTGAATGAATACCTGTCTGTTTTGGCAGAGGATCATTCCCATTTTAATAGTGTTAGAATTCTGAGGAGCTGATGAGTGCAAAGAAAAATGGGTGTTGTGCACTTACCGGGTTCAGAGTTCCAGCCACACAGGACAGACAGGAGGAGTGCCTGGGATGACATGTCAGGGACTGAGAAGTAGAGTTTGGGGCCTTGAGTGTGATGCATGGTTCCTCTCCATGTGCCTCAGTTTCCCCACCAGTAAGTGGTCTTTGGCCACTGGGGGTTTACACAGCTTCCCTCATTAGATGAGTCATGAATGTGCTCCTACACACTTAGAGACGGGCTAGGGGCATCGATGCAGAGGTAGGGGCCGAGTGTCCCTAGGAGTAAGGCAGGGGTACAGCCTTGCAGCACTTCTGTCTCCCAGCTCACGGCAGTTAGTGCCAGATATCTGTGGAACCCCATGCTGCGTGCAAGACGTGATGCTAGGTGATGCAGGACCACAGGAGTAAGATCATCGAGTTGGTGAGACAAGCCCTCAGGCCTGAGAGTCTCCTGTGATTTGAACCTTGGCCCTTCCGCTTAAACCTCGCCTGGAACTGTTTGCAGTACTGGGTGTTGTGGGTGGGTTTGTCCACCTTGGAATCTCAGAACAAAGCCACCTCCAGCTCCTCCTGCCCCAGTTTGTGTTTTGCCTTCACCACTCTCCCAGACCCTGAAGCTAAGTAATGAAGGAAGAGGGCAGAGCTCTGCACCCCCCTTGCAGCCCACCTTCCAGCTTCTAGCTGTGCCTCACCCTCTGGGACACTCCTTCCCTCCCAGGTACTTAGCTCATCTTTAAACACCTTATCTTTCCCCACCCACCTTATAACCACCTAGACCCTGTATAGACCTGGGTGTAACTCCAGCCAGCCTGGTCACTGACCTGTGAGGTGGCCTTGGACCTGTTACTCCTCCTCTCAGCAAGGTAGTGCAGTATAAATTGGTGGGGAAAAGCTAGAAATATTTTCATTAAAAAAATCCTCCTGGCTGTGGCTCACGCCTGTAATCCTAGCACTTTGGGAGCTCTTTGGGTGGGTCACTTGAGGCTAGGAGTTCGAGACCAGCCTGGCCAACATGGCAAAACCCCATCTTTACTAAAAAAATGCAAAAATTAGCTGGGTATGATGGCACATGCCTATAATCCCAGCTACTGGGGTGGCTGAGGCAGGAGAATCGCTTGAACGGAGGTTGCAGTGAGCTGAGATTGCACCACTGCACTCCAGCCTGGGCGATAGAGCAAGACTCTGTCTCAAAAAACAAAACAAAACGAAACAACAACAACAACAAAACACCCATATTTTCATCTAGGCTGTGTCAGATTTTCCCACTGACTTAATTTTATTCCCGCAACAACTTTATGAAGTTGAGAAAAAACACTGCATGATTTTTGCATTCACTTTTGGTTCCTCTTATCTGACACACCTTAAGTAACTTATCCTCCACACCCCACCCTCCCATCCGCACCTGCTTATTCATCCATTTGTTCAACCAACAGTGACCGTTTTGAAGCCTCTGTGTCAGACACTGTGCAGGCTGTTGGGAATCAGAGATGAATAAAACTGCCCTGTTCACAGAACTCACAGTCTACCAAGGAGAGAGACACGTGAACAACGCCTAGCTGCACAGAGCTCACAGATAGGGTGCCGTGGGGCTGAGGGAGGGCAGGCCTGTGAGATGCTTCTGAAGTGAGAGTAACTAGACTCGTTGATCCTTGTGGAGATCTGGGAGTCAGGGCCCGGAAGTAGTTGTGAAAGTCTGAGGTTTCTAGCTTGGGATTCAGGTTGATTATGTCATTTAACTGCAATCGGGAAAGGGGGACGAAGAGACAGTTTAGTGAGGGCAGAGGGAGGTAAGTGGTGGTCATAATAATGGTGTGACCCGTTGCTGAGCTCCTTCTCCGTGCCCAGCATTGTTTACACTGGAGCTTCTCACACTCGACTGCCTGGACATTTTGTTGAAATGCAGACTTGAACTCAGTGGGTCTGGGTGTGGCCCGAGAGTCTGCATTTCTGACAGGTTCTCAGATGATGCCCATGCTGCTGGCCCTGGACCACACCAGTGTGCAGTAACATCTAGGCAGGCATGCAGGGGAAAATGCCCACGTGAGGCTGAGGAGCAAGGCCAGGACAACGCTAAAAGGTTTAAGAGTCAGCCAAGAGGCCGGGTGCGGTGGCTTACGCCTGTAATCCCAGCACTTTGGGAGGCCGAGGCGGGCGGATCATGAGGTCAGGAGATCGAGACCATCCTGGCTAACACGGTAAAACCCTGTCTCTACTAAAAATACAAAAAATTAGCTGGGTGTGGTGGTGGGCGCCTGTAGTCCCAGCTACTCGGGAGGCTGAGGCAGGAGAATGGTGTGAACCCGGGAGGTGGAGCTTGCAGTGAGCCGAGATCGCGCCACTGCACTCCAGCCTGGGCAACAGAGCGAGACTCCGTCTCAATAAAAAAGGAGTCGGCCAAGAGCAGGCAGAATGGAGAGCTGCTGGGCACAGTGGCTTTGTAATCCCAGCACTTTGGGAGGCTGAGGCAGGTGGATCACCTGAGGTCAGGAGTTCAAGACCAGCCTGACCAACATGGTGAAACCCCGTCTCTACTAAAAATACAAAAATTAGGCGTGGTGGTGGGTGCCTGTAATCCCAGCTACTGCGGAGGCTGAGGCAGGAGAATAGCTTGAATCGGGAGGCGGAGGTTGCAGTGAGCCGAGATCGCGCCATTGCACTCCAGCCTGGGTGACAGAGTGAGACTCTGTCTCAAAAAAAAAAAAAAAAAGAATGTGTGAGAGAGGAAAGGACAGTGCAGGGGGTGTCAGTGTGTAAAAGCCAGGCTGAGGCGACTCCTTGATGGAGACGAAGAGAACCAAGGGGGCACGCTATTCGGGAGCCTCCTTGGAGGGTCAGATGGGGTGAAGACCATGCACAGACTGTGGGATGGGACCTTAGGCTGTGGGGTGCCCAGCGAGAGCAGCCTCGGACAAGTGGTGCCCGAAGGCAGCTTTGCACCGGTTCTCCGTCAGCCCTGCCTGGTAATAGCCTCAATATGGTGATTTGATCTCAAGAAGCTGCCTGGGGGCAGGTGTATCTGAGAGTGACAGGAGCTGGTTAATACTCCGGGTGCAGGCAGAGGTCCCAGCAGGGACAGCTGACAGAGCTGTGGCCAGGCTCCTTCTCACTTTCCCTTTAGTGCAGTGCTGTGGGAAGGGAACATGAGCACGTGGAGGGGCCTGGTGCGTGCCAGCCAGTGGGCAGCTGCACCTCCTTCCTGGCTGGCCCCATGCAGCCTATGGGCGGGTTCCCAAAGAGGAGCCAGCACTGAGAGGACACTCACGTGTCTTCACTTGACAGTTCTCTTCTCAGAGCTCTTGTTTGTGCAATGGAAGGCAATGCTGTGCATCGAGGCCCTGATAGGTTCTTAGTTATTCTGGTGTTTACTTTTCAAAGGTCTCGTATTTTTAACTAGGAAATCCCGCTCCAGTGTTTTTCTGCTCACCTCTGGTCAGGACGGGAAGCACCGAGCAGATGTTTAACCTTGAAAATGGGTGAATACACAGGAGCACAACATCAGGGAATGGCCCTACAGGATCAGCAGGGGGCCCTTGGGAAGGGGAGGCCTGTCTCGTAAGTAAAAGTCTGGGAAGACATTTCAGCGGAATTTGCTAGGGCGGGTAGACATGGCGTTTTCCACTCTGGTACGTGTTGCCCTGGGAGAGCTTGGACAAGACCCGAAGGCTGAGAGGTGAGCCTCACCGTCCTTCGCAGCAGCTTTGGGGGTGTGGCTCAGGCCTCCCGGGCTGCTTCCCCTCCTTTTCTAGACGGACTTGGCGGTGCGGATCCCTGGGTGCCTTCTCTCTGCACCCCTCCCACATGAACCTGGTTGACTGAACAGCAAGGACATCTTTGAGGGGAAGGAAGCCTGGCCCCTCTGAAGGAGTCGCTACTACAGGCCTCCAGTCTCCTTGAGGGCAGGGGCCAGCATGGTTGTCCTGCACTGAGCGCTGGCTCCTGAAAGGCCGCGCAGCCATGGAGAGTGTGTATGGAAAGGCAGCCTGGGCCAGGCCTCTGTCGCTGCCTTGGTGACTGATTTTCGCAGAGCCTCCTGGTTCCTTCTCCCCAGCCCGTGGGGGATGGACAGGCTGTCTCAAAGCCTTCCTGTGGTCTTAGGGATTCTTGGAACTCCTTAGCAGAACTGACTCTGAGATGTGTGAAGGTGCTAGAATTTCCAGAGGTACCCGGCTGGCCCTCGGCTGAGGGGGTGGGAAGCAGCTGTCTGGCCGGTAGCTGCCATTTGCTCCAACCTGCTGCACTACAGCTCTCAGCCCCTGTGTCTGCTGCCACGCCTGCCCTGCGCCTCGCTTACCCCTCTCCTCTCACCAGAATGTACTGTCGTGGAGAGGGTCAGAAGCTCCATAAAGGGCCCCTGGCTTATGTCGTAGGCTAGAGCCTGGACTCCTTACTTCTGTGCTTATTCCACTGTTAGATGATTTTCTTTTTTTTTTTTTTTATTTTGTTATTAGTGTTTATTATTTTTCCGTAGCCATAAAAGAGATACATCTCATTGCTGGAACTTGTCTCTATTAAAAACAAAACAAAACAAAAACCTTATAACAAACAGCATGGCTGGATGCAGTGGTTCACACCTATAATCCCAGTACTTTGGGAGGCCGAGGCGGGTGGATCACCTGAGGTCAGGAGTTCAAGACCAGCCTGGCCAACATGGTGAAACCCTGTCTCTACTTTTTAGACAAATACAAAAAATTTTAGCCGGTCGTGGTGGTGCATGCCTGTAATCCCAACTACTTGGGAGGCTGAGGCAGGAGAATTGCTTGAACCCGGTAGGTGGAGGTTACAGTGAGCCAAGATCGTGCCACTGCACTCCAGCCTGGGCGACAGAGCCACACTCCATCTCAAAAAAAAAAAAAAGAAAGAAAAAAGAAAGAAATCCTTGCTTTTTGGAACACAGTTTAGATGGGTTCTTCAGATTCCCTGCTGATAAGAAATTAAATCCTTATCCCCATCATCCTTTCGGAGTCTCTCAGAGAATCTGCACCAGGACAAGGGCTGGGCAGTGCTGTGCGCCTCTGCGGGAAGGTGAGCCCAGAGGCTGGGTGTACAGCTGCTAGTTTGTTTTGCTGGGGGTTAAACTTGGTGTTGCTGGAGCATTCCCCAGAGGTTACGATCAGAATTGCTTCCATGCTGCAGGGCTGATTTACTGTGAAGGGGTAGGGTTGTTGCAGGACTGGTTTCCCAGGCTCTCTGGAACGCCTGGTCTCTGGCCAGGAGGCAGCCTGGAGCCTCAGTGCAAGGAGGATCCCTCCCCTACCCCAGGTAGGGCCACTCCCACACATGTGCACACCCACACTCATACCCCACATAGGCACAGGCAGGCTTACTCCCACCTATGCTCACACACACACTCATACCCCCACAAAGGCACAGGCAGGCGCTTACACACCCCATGCGCGCACACACACTCATACCCCCACATAGGCACAGGCAGGCTCTACTCCCACCCGTGCGCACACACACTCATACCCCTCACATAGGCACAGGCAGGTGCTCACACACACGTGCGCACACACACTCATGCCCCCCACGTAGGCACAGGCAGGCGCTCACACACACATGCGCACACACACTCATACCCCCACATAGGCACAGGCAGGCTCGCTCTCACCCATGCACGCACACACACACTCATACCCCCCACAAAGGCACAGGCAGGCACTCACACACACATGCGTGCACACACATACACACTCATACCCCCACATAGGTACAGGCAGGCGCTCACTCACACATGCGCACACACACTCATACCCCCACATAGGCACAGGCAGGCGCTCACACACACATGCGTGCACACACACACACACACTCATACCCCCACATAGGCACAGGCAGGCGCTCACACACACATGCGTGCACACACACACACACACTCATACCCCCACATAGGCACAGGCAGGCGCTCACACACACATGCGCACACACACACACACTCATACCCGCACATAGGCACAGGCAGGCTCACTCCCACCCATGCTCACACACCCACACTCATACTCCCCACAAAGGCACAGGCAGGCTCGCTCTCACCCATGCACGCACACACACACTCATACCCCCCACAAAGGCACAGGCAGGTGCTCTCACACACTTGCACACACACACACTCCTACCTCCCAGATGCACAGGCAGGGCCACTCACACATGTTCACACCCACCTGCTAACCCCCCATGTGCACACACAGGCTCGCAAACGCCCACATTTATGCATACATGGACTGTCACCAGGAGTCCTGCCTTAAACCGAAACCTATTTCTCATGAAACTTTCCCAAGAGTTAGAAGTCAGTTTCAAAAATTAGTAAATGCTTGTACAGTGTGATTTATTTCATGAAATGCTCAAAATAGTGACTTTCTCTTCAGCTGCTAGTGATCTGGTCATCCACATTGAAGACTGTGTCCCCCTCAGACCTCATGGTGAGGACTAAGTGAGGTAAGGCGTGCAAGGTGCCGAGCCCTGTGCCCGGCACTGCGTAATCATGCTGTAAATATTAGTTATTTTTAAAATTATTATTGCTATTATCCAAAGGTGCCCCAGTTGACACTGATGCCAACCTGTGGCCACAGCAGTTCTCATACACTGTCTCCGTTGGCAGGCTGCCCTGCTGTTCAGGGTGGTGTCATTTTTGGAATTATAAATACACTGACACCTACCATGTACCCACAAAAATTTAAAATTAAATGAAATGGCAAGGCGCGGTGGCTCATGGCTGTAATCCCAGCACTTTGGGAGGTCGAGGTGGACAGACCACCTGAGGTCAGGAGTTTGAGACCAGCCTGGCCAACATGGTGAAATGCTGTCTCTACTAAAAGTACAAAAATTAGCTGGATGCGGTGGCGTGTGCCTGTAGTCCCACCTACTCAGGAGGCTAAGACTGGAGAATTGCTTGAACCCAGGAGGTGGAGGTTGCAGTGAGCCAAGATCATGCCACTGCACTCCAGCCTGGGTGACAGAGTAAGACTCCATCTAAAAAAAAAAAAAAAAAAGTTAATTAAATATAGAAAGCTTATTAAAAATAAATAAATAAATAAACTGAGCTCAAAAGAACCCTCTATATAATTATATGCTAATTCAGATGCCATCTTATCTGAACCCCAGTGTATATAGTCAGGGTAACAGAAGGCAGAGCTCAAGGGAGAAAAATGAAAGTGAAAGAGGAAATTCACCTCATTTACTTAGTTTTCCCCCCTTCCAAATTGGGGAGAGTTAAACCCACCGTCCTGACCGCCAGCGCATCCATGTTCCGACTGCAGGAGCGTCATGTGAGGGCTGCCCTGTGGGAGGGGGCAGGGGAAGGAAGGAGCACAGCTCTATTTGCCAGTCACGTGTTTTCATTTCAGCTTCACTGGTCCTCTGCTGCCTCCCAGGTGTCTCAGGGAGGGAGGGAAGAGGCCACCAGGTGAGTCTCTGTTCCCTTGGAGCCCCATCTTGCCTCCGCAACAAAGATCTTTGGTCACTTGGAGGCCAGGAGTTTGAGGTTACATGAGCTATGATTGCACCACTGCGCTTCAGCCTGGGTGGCAGAGCGAGACCCTGTGTTTAAAAATTTTTTTTAAATTAAAAAGTTAAAAAAAAAGAACGAACAGGGGAAATGCCTGTGCCTGTGTTAGTGGTTAACATTTATGAAATAATTATTTAATCCTCCAAGTGCTGTAGATGGGAAACTGAGGCTTAGAGAGGCCAACAGTCTTTCCCAGTCACATGACAGCTAAGTGGCAACCTCAGGCTGTGTGGCCCTAGCAGCCATGCTCTGAAGCACTATGCAGTGTCTCCTTGCAGTGAGATTGTAGCTGTTAAGAAAGAGAGCAGGCTGGGTGCAGTGGCTCACGCCTGTAATCCCAGCACTTTGAGAGGCCAGGGCGAGTGGATCACCTGAGGTTAGGAGTTCGAGACCAGCCTGACCAACATGGCAAAACCACATCTCTACTAAAAATACAAAAATTAGCTGGGTGTGATGTGTGCCTGTACTCCCAGCTACTTGGGAGGCTGAGGCAGGAGATTCGCTTGAACCCAGGAGGTGGAAGTTGCAGTGAGCAGAGATCATGCCACTGCACTCTAGCCTGGGAGACAGAGTGAGACTCCATCTCAAAAAAAAAAAAAAAAAAAAAAAAAAAAAAAAAAAAAAGCCAGAAGATTGGGAGATTCCAGTAAGTTCAGGCTAAAAAATGCTAAAAAATGTACTGTCAGTTTTAGATTTTTTTTAGGTAAACTTTTTGTTGATGCATAATATAGAGAAAAGTGCATAAATCATAAGGGTACAGCCTGATAGCTTTTCACAAAACAAACACCCCTAACTGCCACTGAGCTCCAGTAATAACACATTATCCACACCCTGGAAGCCCACCCCTGACCCCATGCACCCTCCCAGTCCCTGCCCTGCTCCCTCAGTCATTGTGGGTCAAAGTTTTTCTGTTTATAAACTTTTGTAAGTGAATCATATCATATATACACACTTTTGTGTCTGGCTTCTGCTGAATGTTAAGGGTCTGAGCTTCATCCATGCTGTGTGTAGCTGTCATTCATTCCTTTTGGTTGCTGTCATAATATTCCCTTATATAACCAGTAATATTGTTGATGGACATTGCATTGTTTGCAGTTTGGGACTATTACAAATGATGCTGCTAAGAACACTCTTGTGCATGTCTCTTGCTGAACGTATGAAGGCATTTCTGTTAGGAATATGCCCGGGAACGGAATTGCTAAGGCACAGGGATGGTAGAGATGAGAGTTTTACAAAGTGCTTGTATCAGTGTTCACTCCTATCCCTACCAACTCTGGTATTGTTAAGTATGTGTATGTGTGTTTAATGTTTGCCATTAAGGTGTGTGCATGGTTGTGTCTCACTGTGTTTTGTTTTTGTTTTGTTTTTGTTTTTGTTTTGTCTCTCTGTCATCCAGGCTGGAGTATAGTAGCATGATCACAGCTCACTGCAGCCCCCACCTCCCAGGCTCAAGCAGTCCTCCCACCTCAGCCTCCCAAGTAGCTGGGACCACAGGTGTGGGCCACCACGCCTGGCTAATTTTTAAATTTGTATAGAGAATGTGGTCTTGCATTGTTGTCCAGGCTGGTCTCGAACTCCTGGCCTCAAACCATCTTCCCTCCTCGGCCTCCTAAAGTGCTGGGATTACAGGCCAGAGCCACTGTGCCATTGTGGTTTTTTTTTTTTTTTTTTTGAGGTGGAGTCTCGCTCTGTTGCCCAGGCTGGAGTGCAGTGGCGTGATCTCAGCTCACCACAACCTCCACCTCCCGGGTTCAAGTGATTCCTCCGCCTCAGCCTCCCAAGTAGCTGGGACCACAGGCCGCACACCACCACGCCTGGCTAATTTTTTATATTTTAGTAGAGACGGGCTTTCACCGTGTTGATCAGGATGGTCTCGATCTCCTGACCTCATGATCCACCTGCCTCGGCCTCCGAAAGTGCTGGGATTACAGGCGTGAGCCACTGCACCCGGCCGCCATTGTGTTTTTTTTTAATTTACTTTTATTGATACATAATAGCTATTTTCACAGTACATGTGATAATTTGATAGATTCATGTAATCAAATCAGGGTAATTGGGATATTCATCACCTTGAATAGTTATGTGTTCTTTATGCTTGGAACATTTGAATTATTCTCTCCTAGTTATTTTGAAATGTAAAATTGACTAATGTTAACCATTATCACCTACTGATCTATGGAGCACCAGGTCTTATTTCTTCTAAGTGTATATTTGTACCCATTAATAAACCTCTTTTCATCCCCCTCATTGTGGTTTTGAGATGGAGTCTCGCTCTCTCGCCCAGCCTGGAGTGCGGTGATGCATCTCGGCTCACTGCAACCTCTGCCTCATGGGTTTAAGCAATTCTCCTGCCTTAGCCTCCTGAGTAGCTGGGATTACAGGCATGAGCCACCATACCAGGCTAATTTTTTTGTATTTTTAGTAGAGATGGGGTTTCACCATATTGGCCAGGCTGGTCTCCAACTCCTGACCTTGTGATCCCCTTGCCTTGGCCTCCCAAAGTGCTGGGATTACAGGCGTGAGCCACTGCGCCCCACCTCATTGTGGTTTTAATTTAGATTTCCCTAGTGAATTATGATATTGAGCACATTTTTATATGCTTATTGTCCATTTGACTATTCTTTTTATTTGTGTCTTAACTGTTTTCTTTTTTTTTTGTTTTTGAGACGGAGTCTCACTCTTGTTGCCCCGGCTGGAGTGTAATGGCGCAATCTCAGCTCACTGCAACCCCCGCCTCCTGGGTTCAGGCAATTCTCCTGCCTCAGCCTCCCGAGTAGCTGGGACTACAGGAGCGCGCCACCACACCCAGCTAATGTTTGTATTTTTAGTAGAAACAGGGTTTCACCACGTTGGCCAGGATGGTCTCAATCTCTTGATCTTGTGATCTGCCCGCCTCGGCCTCCCAAAGTGCTGGGATTACAGGCGTGAGCCACTGCGCCCGGCCTGTTGCCTGTTTTCTAGGAGGTTTGCCTTGCCTTTTTATTTCTTTTTTGAGATACAGTCTCTCTGTCACGTAGGCTGGATGCAGTGATGCAATCATGGCTCACTATAGCTTCAACTTCCCAGGCTCAAGCAATATATTCCACTTTACAACCTCCTGAGTAGCTGGGACCACAGCTGTGCGCCACCACACCTGGCTACTTTGAGACAGAGTCTTGCTTTATTGCTCAGTCTGGAGTGTAGTGGCACGATCTTGGCTCACTGCAACCTCCACCTCCTGGGTTCAAGTGATTCTCCTGCCTTAGCCTCCTGAGTAGCTAGGATTACAAGCGTGTGCCACCACACCCGGCTAATTTTTTATATTTTTGGTAGAGATGGGGTTTCACTGTGTTGGCCAGGCTGGTCTTGAACTCCTGACCTCAGGTGATTCACCTGCCTTGGCCTCCCAAAGTGCTGGGATTACAGGAGTGAGCCACCACGCCTGGCCAACTTTGTGTATTTTTTGTAGAGAGAGGGTTTTCCCTGTGTTGCCTTGGCTGGTCTTGAACTCTCTGCCTTTTTTTTTTTTCTGAAACAGGATCTTGCTTTGTCACCCAGGCTGGAGCACAGTAGTGCGATCTTGGCTCACTGAAGCCTCGACTTCCTGGGCTCAAGAAATCCTCCCACCTCAGCCCGCCAAGTAGCTGGGATCACAGGCACATGCTACCATGACTGGCTAATTTTTGTATATTTTGTAGAGGTGGGGTTTCACCATGTTGCCCAGGCTGGTCTTGAACTCTTGAACTCAAGTGATCTGCCCACCTTGCCCTCCCAAAGTGCTGGGATTACAGGTGTGAGCCACCGTGCCTTACCCTCTCTGCCTTTTTCTTAACCATGTTTAGGAGTTATTTATATATTATTTATTCTATATATTCTTTATATAGTTATGTATATCTGGACCCTTTAAAAATTTATTCCTAGGGGCCAGGTGCAGTGGCTCACGCCTGTAATCCCAGCACTTTTGGAGGCCGAGGCAGGCAGATCACAAGGTCAGGAGTTCAAGACCAGCCTGGCCAAGATGGTGAAACCTTGTCTCTACTAAAAATACAAAAAAATTAGCTGGGCATGGTGGCGGGCACCTGTAATCCCAGCTACTCCGGAGTCTGAGACAGAGAATTGCTTGAACCCGGGAGGTGGAGGTTGCAGTGAGTCGAGATGGCACCACTGCACTCCAGCCTGGGCGACAGAGCAAGACTCTGTCTCAAAAAAAAAAAAAAAATTATTTCTATGTATCTTTTTTTTGTAGCTATTGTAAGCAGGATTGCCTTAAAAATTTTTTTTTATATGAGGGTCTCACTATGTTGCCCAGGCTGGTCTTGAACTCCTGGGCTCAAGTAATCCTCCTGCCTCAGCCTCCTCAGTAGCTGGGACTATAGGTGCATGCCACTTGTCCCAGTTAATTTTTATGAACCCTTTATCAGACATATGTATTGCAAATACATTCTCCCACTCTGCGGATTTTAGCCTTTACATAGCTTTTTTATTTTAAGCATTTAATTGACAAAAACCATATATATTTGTGGTGTACAACAAGCTAATTAATATGTATGTGACCTTATCTACTGTCTAAGTCTGGTTTGTGAGACTGGGTGATTTATTTATTTTATTTATTTATTTTTTTGAGATGGAGTCTCGCTCTGTTGCCCAGGCTGGAGTGCAGTGGCGCGATTTTGGCTCACTGCAAGCTCTGCCTCCTGGCTTCACGCCATTCTCCTGCCTCAGCCTCTTGAGTAGATGGGACTATAGGCGCCTGCCACCATGCCCGGCTAATTTTTTGCATTTTTTCAGTAGAGACGGGGTTTCACCGTGTTAGCCAGGATGGTCTCGATCTCCTGAGCTCGTGATCCGCCCGCCTCGGCCTCCCAAAATGCTGGGATTACAGGCGTGAGCCACCGCGCCTGGCCAATATTCTTTCTTTAAAAGCTGTATGGAATCACTTGAACTCAGGAATTTGAGACTAGCCTGGGCAACATGGTGAAACCCTGTCTCTACCAAAAATACAAAAATTAGCTGGGCGTGGTGGCATGCACCTTTGATCCCAGCTACTTGGGAGGCTGAGGTGGGAGGGTTGTTTGAGCCTGGGAGGCAGAAGTTGCAGTGAGCTAAGATTGTGCCACTGCCCTCCAGCCTGGGTGACAGAGCAAGACCTCGTCTCAAAAAAAAAAAAAAAAAAAAAATCCATATGATACCCAGGACTTTGTATTGAGAAGATCCCTTTTCTCACTGGACTGTGGTGCACATGTGGGTCTCTCTGGACTCTTAGATTTAATTGATCTGTTTCTTTTTCTTTGCTCCAGTAACCATGTTGGCATAATTGCAGTAACTTTATAAGTTTTGATATCTGGTAATGTTAAGCCTTTTGTTCTTCAAGATTGTCTTAGCTATTCTTAGCTTTTTACCTGGGAATTTTATGGAATTGCACTGAATCTACAGATCAACTCAAAGACTTGACATTTTTTTTTTTTTTTTAGACGGAGTCTCACTTTGTCTCCAGGCCGGAGTGCAGTGGTGTGATCTCGGCTCACTGCAACCTCCGCCTCCTGGGTTCAAGCAATTCTCCTGCCTCAGCCTCCTGAGTAGCTGGGGCTACAGGCACGTGCCACCACACCCAGCTAATTTTTGTATTTTAGTAGAGACGGGGTTTCACCATGTTGGCTGGGATGGTCTCGATCTCTTGACCTTGTAATCTGCCCGTCTTGGCCTCCCAAAGTGCTGGGGTTACAGGCAGGAGCCACCGCGCCTGGCCAGACTTGACATTTTATAGTAGTGAATCTTCCAATCTGTGAACACGATGACCTTTTCATTTGTGTCCTCTTAGTTTCTTTCAAAAATATTTTTGTGTGGAAATCTTACACATCTTTTCTTGAGTATATTCCTAGTTATTTGGTGATCATAAATGAGGGCTCTAAAATTTGATTTTCCAAAGTTTGTTATAGGTTGTTCCATCTCCACCCCAGCTGGGGTGTACTGTAGTTTAGTTCTGGCGCCAGCTGCCTGGAGTTAGCATCACTGGATTCCACAGGTTTAAGGTTTCTGCCCTCCCCAAGACTGCCCACTTGCTCTCCCTTTTTTTTTTTTTTTTTCTTTTTTAGAGACGGGCTTCACCGTGTTGTCCAGGCTGGTCTCAAACTCCTGACTTCAAGTGATCCTCCCGCCTTGGCCTCCCAAATTGCTGGGATTACAGGCGTGAGCCACCATGTCCGGCCTCACTTGTGCACTGCTAACCAACAGACTCTGTGTATGGGGGTTCTCATGACCTCAGGTTCAGTAATTCATTAGAACAACTCACAGAACTCAGGACAGTGCTACACTTAGGATTACAGGTTTTTGTTTTGTTTGTTTTGTTTTTTTAAGAGACAGGTTTTTTTGTTTGTTTTTATTTGTTTGTTTGTTTGTTTTTTTGAGATGGAGTCTCCCTCTATTGCCCAGGCTGGAGTCCAGTGGCACGATCTTGGCTCGCTGCAACCTCTGCCTCCTGGGTTCAAGCAATTCTTCTGCCTCAGCCTCCCCAAGTAGCTGGGACTACAGGCGCGTACCACCACACCCAGCTAATTTTTTTTTTTTTGTATTTTTAGTAGAAATGAGGTTTCGCCATGTTGGCCAGGCTGATCTCGAACTCTTTTTTTTTTTTTTTTTTTTTTTTGAGATGGAGTCTCACTGTGTTGCCCAGGCTGGAATGCAGTGGCACAATCTCGGCTCACTGCAAGCTCCGCCTCCCGGGTTCACGCCATTCTCCTGCCTCAGCCTCCCGAGTAGCTGGGACTACAGGCACCCGCCACAATGCCCAGCTAATTTTTTGTGTTTTTTAGTAGAGACGGGGTTTCACTGTGTTAGCCAAGATGGTCTCGCTCTCCTGACCTCGTGATCCACCTGCCTCAGCCTCCCAAAGTGCTGGGATTACAGGCGTGAGCCACCGTGCCCGGCCTGATCTCGAACTCTTGACCTCAGGTGATCCACCTGCCTCAGCCTCCTGAAGTGCTGGGATTACAGACTTGAGCCACCATGCCCAGCCAAGAGACAGAGTCTTGTTCTGTTGCCCAGGCTAGAGCGCAGTGGCACAATCATAGCTCACTGCAGCCTCAAACTCCTGGGCTTAAGTGATCCTCTACCTTGGCCTCCCAAAATGCTGAGATCACAGGCTTGAGCCACCATGCCCGCACCTGATTATAGTTTTATTTTGAGGGATACACATAGGATGAGGCTTTGTCGGTCCTAGAGGAGCTTCATGCCCTCTGCCTGTGGTGTCAGGGCACTCTGTCTAGATATGTTAATGTATTCACCAACCAGGAAGCTCAGTGAGCTTTGGGGTCCAGAGTTTTTATCCAGACCTCATTACATGTTTGATTTAAGTCATTCACCACAGGATTGAACCCAATCTCTAGACCCCTCCCTTCCCTGGAGGAAGGACAATTCAAAGCCCAACTGGGTAATCACCTGCTTAGTCTTCACCATGTTGCCCAGGCTGTTCTGGAACTCCTGGGAAGGCTTTCAAAGTTGATCATTTTGTATGATTTTGGTAGGGTTTTTTGTAGATTTCCTTTACCAGATCAAGGAAATTCCCTTCTCCCCTTAGTTTGCTAAGAATTTTTATGATGAATAGGTGTTGAATTTTGCCAAATGCTCTTTTTGTATCTGTTGAGATGATTGAATAACCTATTTTCTTTATTCTGAAATACACTGATTGATTTTTTAATGCTAATCCCAAATTTATTGTATAACCGGAGTAGAACTAACTTAGTGTCATTATTCTATTTACACACCACTGTATTTGATTTGCCAATATCTTTATTTAGGATTTTGGCATCGGCCAGGCGTGGTGGCTCATGCCTGTAATCCCAGCACTTTGGGAGGCTGAGACGAATGGATTGCTTGAGCCCAGAAGACCCTGTCTTTACTGAAAATAAAAAAATTAGCTGAGTGTGGTGGCATGAGCCTGTAGTCCCAGCTACTTGGGAGGCTGAGGTGGGAGGATCATTTGAGCCTGACAGGCAGAGGTTGCCGTGAGCTGAGATTGCACCATTGCACTCTAGCCTGGGCGACAGAGTGAGACATTGTCTCAAAAAAAAAAAAAAAAGAATTTTGGCATTTATGCTCATGAGACAGATGAGACTATAATTGTTTTCCCGCTGTTAAACTGAAGAAAGATACCATATCATTTTTTTTTCTTTAATGGCAGGAAAAATAATTGTTTGATAGTGAGCAAGTAATATTCTTGTCCTCTTCCTCCCCTTCTGTTCCTACACCTAACAACCAGTATCAGCCTCTGGCATCACCTCAACTGTTGCTATAGTTTTCCTCTCTGTTTGACATCAATGATTCCTTGGAATGATTTTAGTAGTTTGTAAACATTTGGAAACAGTATATGATGACCAGGAACCAACTGGGGTTTACTAAGGGGAAAAAAAGCTAATTTTCATTTCTTTTGTGTATGTTGGGGAGGGTAGGATTACTAGGTTAGTGCAATGGAAAGCTAGTCCCAGAATAGATGTATTTCAGCAAAGTATTTAACAGAATTTCGGTTAAGTCTTTAGGATCAACATGGGACCTGTGGGCTCTTTAATAGTGGTCCACGCTGGGAATGGGGGCTCACACGTGTAATCCTACCACTTTGGGAGGTCAATGCGGGAGGATCTCTTGGGGTCAGGAGTTCAAGACCAGCCTGGTCAACATGTGAGACTCTGTCTCTATTTTAAAAATTATAAATAAAAAAAAATTAATGGTCTCACTTTTAGGTTGATTTGCCTGTGGATTATTAGCTGGTTGCCAAAAAGGTTCAAAGAATGGAGCCTCACAAGGCCATGAGTGAGCTGTGCCTCTCTGTAAGCAATTGAGCAAAGGTACAGCGGGGAAGGGGTTCCCTGCCACCTCTGGTAGGGGATGCTGGGGCAGGGGCGAGATGGCTGTGAGCCATGCTTCCAGCTCTGCAGTTCCAGGAGAAAATGCCAGAGGTGCTTCTGAGAATACGGACTGGGTGGAAAGGAAGAAGCAGTTTGCTGGAAGGGTCTGAACTCAGAAGGACGCTGATGGTGCTGGTAGGACTGCTGGGACCCCCTGCACCTCCTGGCCACGGAGAGATCCTGCTCCCAGGGACCAGCGTCTGGGTGGGACACAGTTCACTCCTCTCTCCACTTCATGTTCTTTTTCTTCAGCAGATGGCTCAAGTTCCTTGTTTTTCTCCTTGCTTTCTGACAGCCGTAGCTTCTGAAACCTGCCATTTTTGGTCTCCTGATGCCTGATTTCCTAATTGTCCTGACTGTGTCTTCTAGGAAGCATTAAGTCTGAACTGACTTATTAGGGAACTTCAGAAAGTTAAACACACAAAACCCTTTCTTTGACTCCTATCTTAAGGACATGGAGATACAGTTACATATATTTATACACAAGGATATTCATATGGCAAAAACGGGGAGAAGGCACAATTTAAGAGCCCAATGGGGACTGGGATTGTGTATGCATCTGTACAATGACATGTTATGAAGTCATTCTGTTTTTTATAAAACTTTTTAGTGACATGGGAAAATACAAAGAATGTAAAGAATTTAAAAAGCAGCGTACAAAACAATATATGTGATCCAATTTGTGGTGGAAATATTTTATCTATATATATCCATTTTAAAACACCAAAGAAAATACACAGTTAACAGTAGTTATCTTTGGAAGGCAGGATTATAAGTGATCTTAGTTTTCTTCCTTCCACTTTTGTTACCGATATCAGAAAAAAACTCTGTCTCTACGAAAATAAAATAAAATGAAATAAAATAAAATTAGCTGGGTGCAGTGGCTCATGCCTGTTGCCTCAGCTCCTCAGGAGGCTGAGGCGGGAGAATCACTTGAGCCCAGCAGGTCGAGGCTGCAGTGAGCTAGGATCGTGCCACTGCACTCTAGCCTGGGTGGCAGCAAGACCTTGTCTCAAAAAAAAAGAAAAAAAAAGTCCTTATCTTTTAGAGATACATATTGAAATACTAAATATTTTCAGGTAAAATGTATACATGTTTACAGATAAAACCTGGGCTTTGCTTCAAAATCAGTGAGTAGAGCAAGTGGGAGTAGCGAGGAAGAAAGGCTGGTCATGAGGAGCTGTTAATTGTT
This sequence comes from Homo sapiens, assembly GCF_000001405.40. Lineage (NCBI taxonomy): Eukaryota > Metazoa > Chordata > Mammalia > Primates > Hominidae > Homo > Homo sapiens. The sequence continues at coordinate 96,784,443 of NC_000002.12, forward strand.
AGGTGAGGGTGTAATTAGATTATTATCTCTACTTTTGTAGATGCTTGATATTTTCCATAGTAAAAGCTTAAAAATCTAGAGACTACTAGCTAAATGGAAAATCAGAGGCATAAAGACCTGTCCCCAGGGTGAGGGGCCAGTCTTAGAGTCCCCATCATCAGTTTGTCAATAGCTTCACCCACTATGGGCTTGTATTAAAGGAAGAAGGCTATCTGTAGCAGAAGTCCCATTTCTGTATCCCAGCCTGATCACCCCTTGGGGTGTGACCCTGGGCATGACTTCTCTGGGCCTTAGCTTCCTCCTAGGAAGAGTGGGATTGACAGTAGATGTAGGGCAACTCTCTCCTGGGAACATGGTCACCCAGACAGGTTGGTGGCAGGGGGAGGTTGACCATGTCCTGTGCGAAGAGGCAACTGAGGCATAGCTATCTTTATGGGGCTATTTTTTCTTTTTGAGATAGAGTCTGGCTCTGTCACCCAGGCTGGAGTGCAGTGTTGCAGTCTTGGCTCACTGCAACCTCTGCCTCCCGGGTTCAAGCGATTCTCATGCCTCAGCCTCCTGAGCAGCTGAGATTATAGGTGGGCACCACCACGCCCAGCTAATTTGTGTGTTTTTAGTAGAGATAGGATTTCATCATGTTGGCCAGGCTGGTCTCAGACTTCTGACCTCAGATGATCCTCCTGCCTCAGCCTCCCAACGTGCTGGGATTACAGGCATGAGCCACTGTGCCCAGCATTTACGGGGTATTCTAAAGGGAGCTCTTCAAGCTTTTCATCTTGCCCCTATTTTAAAACCTTTTTTTTTCTTTTTAGTTTGTGCCTCCATTCAATCAAAAATTATGTACATGTGCTGTTATACTAGTACATGTATTATAGAATGAACACAGAAAAAATTTAAAGAAGTAAAACCGAAGTCCAGGTGCAGTGGCTCATACCTGTAATCTTAGCACTTTGGGAGGCTGAGGCAGGAGGATTCCTGTAGCCCCAGAGTTTGAGACCAACCTGGGCAACATGGCGAAACCCCATCTCTACAAAAAATACGA